>NC_000003.12:142493452-142796483 GCF_000001405.40 Homo sapiens
ATTCTAAAACTGAAACATTGCTTCATCTCATTCATTCATTTACTAATTAATTTTATAACTGCAGTTGGCTCTCTGTAGCCACAGGTTCCACATCAATGGATTCAACCAACAGTGGATAGAAAATATTAGGAATGGCTGGGCACAGTGGCTCATCTCTGCAATTCCAGTGCTTTTGGATGCCAAGGCAGGGGGACTGCTTGGGGCCAGGAGTTTGATACTAGCCTGGGCAACATAGCAAGATCCTGTCTCTACAAAAAATTTAAAAATTACCCAGGTGTAGTGGCTCATGCCTATAATTCCAGCTACTCGGGAGGCTGAGGGGGAAGGATCGCTTGAGCCCAGGAATTCGCAGTTACAGTGAGCTATGACACACCACTGCTCTCCAGCCTGGGTGACAGAGCAAGATCCTCTCTCTTAAAAAAAAAAAAAGAAAGCTAGGCATGATGGCTTATGCTTATAGCCTTTGATACAAAGTTCAGGGTGAGGTGGGAGGATTGCTTGAGAGCAGGAGTCCAAGGCATCAGTGAGCTATGATCATGCCACTGCACTCCAGCCTGGGCAACAGAGCAAGACTCTGTCTCTCTCAAAACATAAAAATTTAAATTAAAAAAAAAAAGAAATATTACAAAGAAAAAATTAAAAATAATATGAATAAGCAATACAAGTATAACAACTGTTTACAAAGCATTTGCACTGTATTAGGTATTATAAGTAGCCTAGAGAAGTATACAAGAGGATGTCCGCAGGTTATATGCAAATACTGTGTATGCCACTTTATATAAAGGACTTGAGTATCCACAGATTTTGTTATCCATAGAGAATCCTGGGACCAATCCCTCCATGGATATCAAGAAAGGACTATAATCAAAGTTCAGGGAATTGAAGACAATCACAAACAAATTAAAATCCCTGACATAAAAAAAGTTCATAGTCACATGAGAAAAGAAACTATGTGAAATAAAAGCATATTTGCTAAGTGTTACAACAGAGGAATATACATCAGCATTATACAGGATAGAGAAGAGAGTCCCTTAAACCTACCTGAAGAATATAGGAAAATGGAGGAGAACTACAGTCAGGAAAAGTTATCAACGAAGAAAATTTGAATTAGGTTTTCAAGAATGAGTAGAAATCTTCTTGGCAGAGAATTTAGTGAAAGGCATTCTAGGTAGATGGAATAATAATTTTAATTGGAAGAAAAGCACATAGTCTGATTTTAGCTGAAGTTTAAAGGGTTTTTGAGATGGTGATGAATGACACTGAGGAAGTAGGCCAGGACTTGATCAGAAAGGGATTTGTGTAGTTCCTAGAGTTAGGCTTAATCCTAAAGGTATGAAGAATACTTTGTAAGATTTAATCTTTTTGAAGGAGCAACATGATTCGATGTGGATTTTAGAAAGATCACAAACTGCAATAACGTATACAGGGAAATGGTGAGATCCTAAAATGGTTGTTAATATTGTTAGAGGAAGTAAATAATAAAGTCATAAGTTAAAGCAGTGGAAATAAATAAGAGGGAGAGGATTCAAGAGATATTTCTAAGGTTGAAGAACAAAGATTTAGTCTCCAGCTGGATGTGAAAAGTGAGGTTGCAGAAGGAATTTAAGATGATGTCCAGATTTCTGTTTTTGATGGAAGGATGGAATAAAGTCTTGTTCAGAGAAGTAGGAAACATGAGAGGAGAAACAGATATTGAGTATTAGGTAATAAATTGCATTTTGAACATTTTGAGTTTAAGGTATTATAATACATAGACTACCACTAGCTCAATAAAATGACCAGGTACTGACTAATGCACACTGAATAAATTGCTTTCCCCTCTCATCCAGGAAACCTCTCCTGTCCTTTCTCAGCCACCACAAGTTGGTGTAACCACAAATGGCACCAACAATAGTTGCTAAGTATCAATTCCAGAACATGCTATTATTATTAGTAATGCCTATTACTAATTCTAAACTGGTGACTAGCCTGAGGAGAAATTTAAGTAATAGCCATTAAATCTGGGTTATTGGCCAGGCGCGGTGGCTCACGCCTGTAATCCCAGCACTTTGGGTGGCTGAGGCAGGTGGATCATGAGGTCAGGAGATCGAGACCACCCTGGCTAACACGGTGAAACCCCATCTCTACTAAAAATACAAAAAATTAGCCAGGTGTGGTGGCACACACCCGTAGTCCCAGCTACTCAGGAGGCTGAGGCAGGAGAATCACTTGAACTCGGGAGGCAGAGGTTGTAGTGAGCGGAGATCGTGCCACTGCACTCCAGCCTGGGCAACAGAGTGAGACTCCGGTTCAAAATAAATAAATAAATAAATAAATAAAAATAAAAAATAAATCTGGGTCATAAACCTTGCAAGTAGTTCCAATGTTTAAAAAACCCCCTTCTTATTACTTTGGCTTTAATCTGAGGTCTGCCGTGAACTTCTGTTCAGATGCTAGGCCCTTTCTGGCTAGATCAGAGCTGAATATTTACAGTAACACTGGCAAGTCTACAGAGAGCTAATTATCTGCCAGCAACTAAGTGACAGAGTTACATTCATTTAACCAACATTTACTGGGTCACTACTATATACACCCTGTATACATACATAAGGTGAAAAATTAAGAGGTCGTTTTCCTCAAGGAAAATGTAAGATAGATGAAAACTGAAAAAACTCCACATTCAGCCTTGAAATGGGAAGGTATCTGGGGACTGTAGAGTAAAAAGAACAATTACTTCCAGGCTATGGTAGATAACTAATGAAGAAAAGTGATAGAAAAGGAAGGTTCTTAATTTGGATTAGTTATGTTCTCTCAGTTGGCCTTTTAAGGAAGTACATAATTCCCGACTATATATATATATATATATATATATATATATATATATATATATATATATATATATATATGATGACATTTCCCTGGCCATTACCTTGGACCAGAGCCACTTTGCCCTTTCCACGTACAGTTCAGCGAGTCGTGATTCCCCTGCATTAAGGAGAGCATTGTAGGCTGTCTGGTGGTGACCAGCCTTTCTAGCTACCCTGGCACTCTGCAGCCAGCATTCTCCAACCATTTCATTGTAATCTGGTCTAAAGGAAGTAACAACACATTGGTGAGAGAGACCATTGGTAAGTGTACACAACAACTTAACTTAAAACAATTTAAATCTAGGTCATAAACTTTGCAAGTAGTTCCAATGTTTTGAAAGCCTCTGTTCCCAATACAGAACCTTCTTCATATACTATTTCAAAGGAATTAATTATTAATTTGTTTAAAAAGCCTTGACTTAACTTTTCTTACAGTGTTCTGTTTTACCTATTATGAACCTTATTCTTGATTTTTATCAGTAAAAAACATATCCCCCAGATATGTTTTTAACATCTTAAAAAAGAGAAAGAAATGGTGTCTAAAAGTGATTCTTAAGTTCTAGGTTCCTTTCAACCAGATAGTGTAGCCCTGATCATTAAAAATAGAAAAATGTAGATTCAGACAGAAAATTAAGAAATACAAACACCCCCAAATAATATCCAAATACCAAATTCAAGATAAGTGACATTTTTAAAAAAAGTAGTGTGAGAAACCTTTTGTTGAGGCTTAGTAAAGCCCTCCGGAGAGCCAGGATAGGCTCCTTGGCTCTGTAGGAATTCTGGGTCATTTCTAGTCGAGCTACCCAGTTTAGAGAATCTTCTTGAGAACTGTCACCTGGAGAATGCTGGAAAAGTGGTTTGATGCTATGCTCCAACTCACATAACATGTGCAATCTGAAGATAGATAGAGCCTATGTTAAAATGTTATCATATTCAGCCTTATTAATCTCATATATAAAGCAAGTACTTTAAATCAGAAATAAAGAATTTAAAATACACAGTTGTCTTTGGTAGAACTTTAATATATCCTTGCTAAGTAAATAATTACATTTATATCTTTTCAAACTGAATGTAAACACCAATTTATGCTGGTTTATACATTTGGTGCTTTAGCCAGGCATGGTAGCGTGCACCTGTACTCCAGCTACTCAGGAGACTGAGGCAGGTGGATCACTTGAACTCAGGAGTTCAAGGTTGCAGTGAGCTATGATTATGCCTGTGAATAGCCACTGCACTCCAGCTCAGGTGACATAGCAAGACCCCGTCCCTTAAAATAATAAATAAATAAATAAATAAATAAATAAAATTAATTACATTAAACTTTTAAAATAAATATTTAGGGATTTGCAGTGAATCCCAAATTCCTAATTAAACTGGAGAATGATGGATAAAACTAAATTCAAATGTATGAAACCAAAATTTACCACCTAAATGAAGATAAAAGAAAATATGGATCCATTATAAACCAACATGAGGTATTTGCATATATTGCTGGTGCTACTATAAGAGGGCCTGGCATAGCAGATGATAGTAAAAAATTATGAAATTAATGTAGTTTTTTTCTAAGAGTGATGGAAACTTTGATACATTCACACTAGCTTTTTCCCCCTTGTATGATAGTCAGTGTCTATGATTCAGTGTTCAAGGTACAAGGATATAGCTGAGTAGCTACAGAACAGAATTAAACTCAGTGGTCCAATCTCTAGTTTCATTAAGATATCACCAAACGGGTTGATACTAAATATAATGAATTCTTCTAACTTAAAAAAACAGTGCTATGTAGTAAATTTCTTATACCTTAATTACAATATTTAGTTTATCATTTTTCCTCAGGTAGAATTCATAGACCTAAAATGTTTTCCAACATTTTCTTCTTCACCTATAAAAGTTAATATTCTTTCTAGTAATGTGATGCCTATATTTTTGGGGGGAAATATCAAACACATTTCTAAATGAAAAGGAAAGGGAAACAACAAATACCAAGCACCAATGTGCCAGGTGCTATAGATGTCTATATTATATTTGGTTATATAGAAAGCAAACTATGACATTACAAGAGGACAAACATAAGATATTTTTATTATGTTTTTCATTAGTCTCATAGTTGCCTTTCCTTAAAAGGATGTATGTTAGAATTTTAACTGTAGGGTGATTGTGAGGTAAAAAGAATGAAAGAGCTGTCTAGTGTAGCTATGCATGAAACCAAACTCACTATCAATTATTTACTCAAAAAAATTTTCCAATCCTGTCAGGTGACATTTATAGGCCAGAAATATAAAAATGGAAATTCCAAAATACCTCACAATATATTCATATCCTCGTTGGTAGGAGCCTCTTTCAAAGCTTGCAGCTGAAAGAGGTACAATTTGTTCTGCTCTCACTAGTTTCAGTGAGTCATAAAAAGCTGTGATATCTCTTTTTTTGGCTGATAATAATAGCTGTCCCAGTCTGACACTCCATGTTGTAGATTTTCCATCTGAAAAACAAATGAAGAGTCAAGAAATGTCACGGTAGCTGGGTCCAAGAGTCAGCTTTATTTCATTAGATAAAATGGTCAGCTGAAATATCAAACAGGTGGCTTCATTCCTTTTTTTTTTTTTGAGACAGAGTCTCACTCTGTGGTCCAGGATAGAGGGCTATGGCATGATTATAGCTCACTGCAGCCTTGAACTTCTGGGCTCCAGTGATCCTCCCACCTCAGTCTCCTGAGTAGGTGAACAGGCATGAGCCACCATGCCCAGCTAAGTTTTTTAAAAAACATTTTTGCAGAGACAGTCTCAGTATTTTGCCCAGACTGGTCTAGAGCTCTTGGCTTCAAGCAATCCTCCCACCTTGGCCTCCCAAAACACTGAGATTACAGGTGTGAGCCACCATGCCCAGCCTGGTTTCATTCTACTTTGAACAACTAAACAAGGCAATCATAAAACAGGCTAAGATATTAAGTATGAATGTTGCTAAGTTACTTAAGTCTGAATATTTATGTCATATTAAAACCGCTTTTTTTTTTTTTCTTTGAGATGGAGTCTCACTCTGTCACCCAGGCTGGAGTGCAGTGGCGCGATCTCAGCTCACTGCAACCTCCAACTCCCAGGTTCAAGCAATTCTCCTGCCTCAGCCTCCCGAGTAGTTGGGACTACAGGCGCGTGCCACCACGCCCAGCTAATTTTTTGTATTTTTAGTAGAGACGGGGTTTCACTGTGTTAGCCAGGATGGTCTCGATCTCCTGACCTCATGATCCGCCCGCCTCAGCCGCCCAAAGTGCTGGGATTACAGGCGTGAGCCACCGCACCCATCCTAAAACTGCTTATATTTTAAGAAGTAATTTTACCTGCTGCCAAATAGTTTTCCACCAAATCCCACTGTGACAATTTCCAAGCTGCTTCCACTCTGTACGTGTTTAATTCATCTGTCCACTCGGACCTATTAAAAGAAACCCATATCAACTAAACTTTAATTTATTTAAGGTGACATTCAGAGATTTTTCATTGGTTTACATACTCTATTTATTATATTTATTGAATTTGCATTATATTGTATTTTGTTCTTAGATATAAAATAATTATCTCTATCCAGAAACTATCCAGAAAATTTTAATCTTTCCATCCTTCAAAAATATTTTTTCACTAATTACTTCTGATACACCATTTAAAATGACATTCTTCAACAAATTAAAGTGTGCCATATATTAGAGCAGAGTTAATTCCTGAATAATAACTAAGCCCATTGTAAAAATAGCTGCATGCTTAATTTGAACAAAGAGCAAGGAAGAAAAAGAGCCAACTGAACACACATAAATTCAGAGGTAAGCAATTCCAATAACTCAGAATTCTGAATTAAATTTAAGACAAAAATACAGGGGGGCCAGTGGTATAACTTACGGACAGTTGGGAGGTATCTAGAACAATACCAAGAGCAAAAGAAAGTTACAATGATTTGTCAATGGCATAACAAAGTATATAAAACTAGCTACGTAAAATATATACCTATTTTTAAACTACTTTCAGTTAGTTTAAAATTTGAGTTTGCAAAACCAGTATGATATAGGCTAATTATTTTGTTCTAAGCATTCTACTTAGGTGACATTAGGATGACCAGTGATATTTGAGATCATGACTACACAGAAACCGCTAGGCTTTCCTCATGTTTCTTTTTTATTAATCATACTTTCTGAATTTCTGCCATATGTTTAGATCCTAGGCTAGGTACAATTTTCCATTTAATAATCTAATAACACTGCATACAGCACATATATATCCATATTATAAATAAAGTAACAGAGAGGCTGGAATCAATATCCTCAAAAGTTTTCCTTGCTCTTTTTATTGTAGTAAAAACACATAAAGAAAAGACAACAAGTGATCTAACAAGTTTCATTTTTAAAAATTCTAAAAATAGAAGCTAGAGGATTCCAATTTCTAAATTTATGACCACCACCAAAAACAGTTTAGAATAAGGCTAAAGAAATACAACTGAAATGTAATTTTCAAAAGTCCAATTTTGAAGGACTTTACAAGCTTACCATCAGACACCAAAATATAAAAATTTCAGGATAAAAATCTCAGTAGAATTAGGCAGTATTTGTTATCCAACTGTGGGATAACAGATTATCTATGGGATATCAGATAACAAAGGGGATGTGTCACACGAAGACTTATAGCAAAAAGTACAAATGGCAATCAGGATCAGGCTGTGAGAATGTATCCACATAAATGGGTACATTAAAAAGAATGATAAATAGGGCAGGCACAGTCAATATTTTAGGAAAAATATTTGTTTAATGCAAACAGAAATTACCCCAAGAAAAACATGCCCCATCCATAATCATTTGCTTCACCATGACACAGCACCCCTTCATTGAATATTGACGCATGCCTTTTTCACAACCCAAATCAGGAGGCTCTATGTATCCCAGACCCAAAGAGAAGAAAAGAGGAGTCTGAATGTGTAGTCTATGTCAAAAAGAAATTTGACACCCCAATTTGAGCCATGACTCTCCCAAATCCCTGTAATCTATTTATTCATAAAGTCTCTCAACTAATCTGGAGAAACATATCCACAACATATAAGCATTCCTTCTTTACTTCTGTAAAACTTCCCTTGTGATTTCATAAATTCCACTACTGTGATACCATCTGACCAACAGTGAACTTCTCTGCCCTTAGACATTGTAAAATGATAGTCTTTATGAATCACAGTTTTGGAACCTATACAAACAGTACTTAGAAAAGGCTGGCTTCAGAATCTATAAAAAGCTCAAATAAATCAACAAGCAAAAAAACAAACAACCCCATTAAAAAGTAGGCAAAGGACATGAGCAGACACTTCTCAAAAGAAGACATACAAGCAGCCAACAAGCATATGAAAACATGCTCGTCGTCACAATTATTTGAGAAATGAAAATCAAAGCCACAATGAGATACCACCTCACACTAATCAGAATGGCTACTATTATTATTATTATTTTGAGACAAAGTCTCCCTCTGCTGCCCAGGCTGGAGTGCAGTGGTGCAATCTCAGCTCACTGCAACCTCCATCTCCCAGGTTCAAGCAATTCTCCTGCCTCAGTCTCCCGAGTAGCTGGGATTACAGATGTGCACCATCACGCCCAGCTAATTTTTGTATTATTTTAGTAGAGATGGGGTTTTACCATGTTGGCCAGGCTGGTCTTGAACTACTGGCCTCAAATGATACACCCGCCTTGGCCTCCCAGAGTGCTGCAATTACAGGCATGAGCCACCACACCCAGCCCAGAATGGCTATTATTAAAAAGTCAAAAAAGATGTAGAAGGGGCTGCAGAGAAAAGAGAATACTTATACACTGTTGGTGGGAATATAAATTAGTTCAGCCACTGTGGAAGGCGGTTTAGAGATTTCCCAAAGAACTGAAAATAGAACACACAGCAATCCCATTACTGGGTATATTCCCAAAGGAAAATAATCCATTCTACCAAAAAGATACATACACTCGTATGTTCATTGCAGCACTATTCATAATAGCAAAGACATGAAATCAACCTAAGTGCCCATCAATGGTAGATGGGATAAAGAAAATGTGGCACATATACACAATGGAATACTATGCAGCTATAAAAAAGAATAAAATGGGAGCTAAACATTGGGTACACATGGACACAAAAATGGGAACAATAGACACTGCAGACTACAAGGGGTGGGGGAGGGAGGGAGGCAAGAGTTGAAAAACTATCTTTTGGGTACTATGCTCACTACCTGGGTGATGGGTTCAATTGTATCCTAAACCTCAGTATCACGTAATATGCCCTTGTCACTAACTTGCACATGTACCCTCAGAATCTAAAATAAAAGTTGAAAAAAAAGAGAAAGAAAAACTTGGCTTCAGAGTAGTCCAAAAACAGTGGCCTGTATAATCTTTGTTTAACTGAGATCCCATTCCCTTTTGACCAGATTTTACTGCCCAGAATAGCCATTTAGAGTCTGGTGAATAAATCAAGGAATACAGCTGTCAGCTCTCACAGCAAAGCAGCTTCAAGAGCAGTGCTAATCTCCACATTTAATCTCCAAACTGGAAGAACTACTCAGCCTTAATGTTTTGCCACATACATGTATTATTTTTTGTTTAATTTGATTTTCTACAATAAACCCACCTTCTTTAGGAAAGGAAGGCTGCTTTCACATTCATCAATCATTTAGGGTAAAATCAATGCACACAGTCTACAGTGGTATTCCGTAAATCAGTCACAACCTCTAGCACGGAAAATAAGTGGTACTGATACTGTAAGCAGAGCATAGATGCCCTTTGAGGCCCAGGAAGTCCCATCTGAGCCTCACCAATAGCCAGTGGGTTCTAGAAGTTCCTTGTGTTAAAGCAAATCTAATTCAAGGATGGCTCTTTAGACAGAAGCTGTTAAGTGGTAGACTGACTATGAAAAACTTGAGGAAAAAAAAATGTTGGTGCTTATCTCCAATACCATGAAAACACATAAAACATTTATTACTCTACTAAACATTAAATTACCCAATTCACTAACTAAAAATTCTCCATTCAGATGCAATAACAAAAGAAAATCATTTTATAAAATATTACCTGTTAGCATGCACTCCATTCACCTGAGTGATAACAGTAGACAGCTGACCAAGACCTAACATGGACTTTACTACACCATGATAATGAATGATCTAGAAATTTAAAAATATTTAAAATAGCAATTATCACTTCAATAATAGCTTGGGGACCAAAAACAGTTTAACTGATATTCTTTAAAAATTACTATTTACCTTATTGCCCTTATTTTTTTATTATTATTATTATTTTAATTTTTTGTAGAGACAGGGTCTTGCCATGTTGCCCAGGCTGGTCTCAAACTCCTGGGCTCAAGTGATCCTCCTGCCTCAGCCTCCCAAAGTGCTGGGATTACAGGCATGAGCCACCATGCCCAGTCACACCTTTCTTAATTTAACAATTGATTTGCTTACTTACATGGCAGGACCCCCATCAATGTCCTAACACATTTAAAGTAACATAAATAAATGTAGACAACATAGAAAATCTCAGATTGAAGTTATTATATTTTTCAATTTGGACTACTTTTTGGTTCACATCCAATATAAAAAGTATCTAATATCTTTGATATTCTGTTTAAAGATTGTCATATTTCTCACATAAACATTCAAGCTCAAAGGTCCTGATGTTTTAAATATGGATTTCGGGCTTTAGCACTAAAAAGTTAAAGAGGATTATGTACTATCCTTTAAAATGAAAAGAAGATTGTGAAAAATAAAGAATTTATATATTGTGCTTCTGAGAAACATGTCAAATATGACAAAAAGCAATATCCCAAAATTAGAAAGAATCTAAAGGCAAGATTGTAAATTAATGATTCTAAACCCCTTTCCCATTCCAATAGACACACAGCTTATTCCCATTACTAACTGTAACTCTGTGATTCTACAGGACCATTTTAGAGACGTGCAGGTGGGTGAGTAGGTGTATAAAATATGAAAATGTTTCTCAGGCTATGGAGAATCCCTAGTTCTACAAACTGATCCATGGCTTACACTTTTAATAGCAAACTAAAATTATATACATTTTAGAGTTATTAAATGAACATTTTAATACAGATATACTCCATAATAAATCTTATTCATTTAGGGGATTTCTAAAGTCATATAAATATAGTATTGGAAGGGACCTTTTTTTTTTTTGAGATAGAGTTTCACTCATGTTGCCCAGGCTGGAGTGCAATGGTATGATCTTGGCTCACTGCAACCTCCACCTCCCGGGTTCAAGCAATTCTCTTGCCTCAGCCTCCCAAGTAGCTGGGATTACAGGCGCTCGCCACCACACCCAGCTAATTTTTTGTATTTTTGGTAGAGACAGGGTTTCACTATGTTGGCCAGGCTAGTCTCGAACTCCTGACCTCGGGGAATCCACCCGTCTTGGTCTCCCAAAGTGCTGGGATTACAGGCATGAGCCGCCGCATCCGGCCTGGAAGGAATTTTTAAAATCATCTAGTAAAGTCTCTAATTTTATCTGTTAGGAAACTCAAGCTTAGAGAGGGTTAAATATTTTCCAGACACTCAGTGACACTGACAGAAACAGTATTAAAACTAAGGTTTCGGCTGGATGTGGTGTGGTGGCACACGCCTGTAATCCCAGCTACTCGGGAGGCTGAGGCAGAATTGCTTGAGCCCGGGAGACAGAGGTTGCAGTGAGCCAAGATCATGCCACTGCACTCCAGCCTGGCCAACAGAGCGAGACTCTGTCTCAAAAACAAAACAAAACAAAACAAAAAAAACTAAGGTTTCCAGAGTTCCTATTCAGGGCTATTTTCATTACAGTTGCCTTTCAATTATTATCTTACCTGGTCTGGTTCTAGCTGAATAGCCCTGTCATAACAAGCAGTGGCATCCCTCAGCAAGCCAAGGCTTTCATGTTCAAGGATCTGTTCTTTTAGAGATGGTTCTGCCTTTCTAATTGCACTGACTCCGGCCACTCCATCAGGTTCATGCATAGCAGCATACAATTTCTTTGTTCAATGATTAAAAAACAATCAAAAACAAGAAAAAAACACAACTGGAAATAAAACTATAAAACCACCTGTTTATATTGAAACAGCAATTTTTTGAGAAATTTTTCCTCAAAGTAATAGTAAGCATTTGTTTCATGGCAAAGTCACAGTAAAATTATAAACTTATTTCCAGGCATTCTATTCCCTCAACATTCTTACTCCTTTTAAATACAAATCTATATCAATAGCTGTTATTGATCATAAGGTTTATAAAGAACCTCAGGATCCTAAAACTGTCTAGATCCAAATGATAACATATTCTGTTGAGTATAGCTTATAAGAGTTTTATTGAATTTTTAAATTTTTAAAAATGTAAATAACCATTTTAATATATTGTTATTGAGATGACTTCAAGAAAACCAAGACAGCAATCTGGGCTCAAAGGAGATATTCAAGCTAAAGATAAAAATTTAGGAATCAGTTAGCACAAAGACAGTCTCTCACAACATGAGAAAGAATGGGATGATCTAGGAAATGGATAAAGAAGAAAAGCAGACTGACGATAGAGATTAGAGTTTCTACATTTATCAAGAAGGAAGAGCTGGCAAATGAAACAGGAGAAGTGAGATAACTTGGAAGAAAACTGGAGAATAAAATATCCCAGAAGCCATGGGAGAAAAGCAAATGATGTCTTAATGAGAAAGGCATGGTCAATGATACTGAGGTTAAGAAAATGAGGGCTGGGAAAAATTTACTGGATTTGGTAACATGTGGCCACCAATTTTCTTAGCAAGAATAGTGTCAACAGAAAAGAAAAAGAGAAGTCTTGTTGAAATGGGCAGAGTGAATGAGAAACAAAGAAGTGACTGCAGTATAAAGAAACTAGACAATTCCTTCAAAAACTGGTTGTGAAGTTCCGGAAACAGAGAGATGGGATGTATCTAAAGGAGAAGGTAGGATTTACCAGAGCATGTCTATATGCTCCATATACTCTGGTTCCCAAAGAGAAATTAATTACACTAGAGAAAGAAGGAATATATGAAGAAGTTACATCTTGAAATTGAGAACACAAGTAGAAAGATTGAATTTTGACAGGAAGAAATCCTTCCTTAAAAATAACAGAAGAAGCCAGGCACAGTGGCTCATGCCTGTAATCCCAGCACTTTGAGAGGCCAAGGCAGGCAGATCACTTGAGGTCAGGAGGCCAGCCCAGGCAACATGGAAAACCCCGTCTCTACAAAAAATACAAAAAATTAGCCAGGTGTGGTAGCAGCGCCTGTGGTCCCAGCTGCTCGGGAGGCTGAGGTGTGAGGATCCCTTGAGCCTGGGAGGTGGAGGTTGCAGTGAGCCGAGCTCGTGCCACTGTACTCCAGCCTAGGTGATAGAGCAAGACCCTATCTCAAAATAAATAAATAAATAAAATAACAGAAGGGAAGAAAAAGAATATGGTGCAGATGCTGTTTCATTTGCAGATTTTTCCTAATGAATCATGAAGCAAGATTGTCAGCTGGAAGCAGGGAAACAAAGTGAAGGTAAGAGACAGTCATCTTGACAAAGGGGAAAGTAGCCTTACTAGAGAAACACAGCCAGCCTGAAGGTAATGTTAGAGTCCTGCAGTTTTAAAGATGTTTGAGATCATGAACTTAAACTGAAACCAGTTATAACACCCACTGTGTAATTTTTCTCCAGCTGCTTACATGGTTGGAGTTTGACAAACGGAGTACAACACAGTGGGAAAAAGACAAGAAGTTGAGCATCACTCTAAGGGAACGATTTTAACCATGAACCATAGACTTAAAGCTGGACAAGGAGGAACACAAAGATAGGAAGGGGCTAATATTCATCTTAAGACTGCAAGTTACTAATTTTCTAGTTATTTTATCACACTTTGCTTTTTGATTTGAAAAGCCCACCAATCTTGAGCTCTTATTTAATTCCACTGTATTCGCCTCACCTGCTCTTACTTTCTTTTCTTCCCTACACAATCATAACATCGCCTAAATCATTATTTCACCAGCATTTTCATGCTTGATACCTGACATAACCGGCACTTGCCCCCACTAACTCACTCCCAAATTCAGGACCACAACTCTCACAAGGAGAAGAGTAATTCCTTGAATCATAGCCCTTCCAAACTCCTCCTCCACAACTGCCACAGGCATTTAGCTAAAATTCCATTGTGACCATAACACTTCCCTAGTTCGCACCCTCCAAGAAGTTTGGGCAACTTAAAAAGTCTTCTATTATTTGTGATCTTTCCTCTACCATTCCAAAACCGACACTTTACTCTTTGGCATATACCATGCTCTTTTCAAACACTCCACAGAGATGCCTCTGATTATAATGTCTTGCCTCCCTATACTGCTCATTTTTTAAGACACCATCTCCAAGAAGCCATTCCTGACCTCTGGCTCATCCGCTTCCATCTCCCACCCTATTCCACATGGATGAGTTAAGTGTCCTTCCTCAGGGTACATGTGTGTTACTGTACTTAAAATATTATACCAAATTGATGTTTATCTCTCCCCACTAATCTATAAGCTTCTAAGCATAGCATATAAAACATTCAATAAAATGAACAACATAAACATAAAAGACTGGCCACATTAATTTTCATTATTAAATTCACTATATTAACTTCAGACCTGTAAAAATCCAAGATGTTCCTGAATATTTTGCTTCTTTTCTGTAATAAATGATTCAAAGTGCATTACAGCTCGTGTGTATGCTTTGGAGCGAAAGGAAGCTACTGCCAGAGTATCCTGGGGTATGAGGTCTAGAAAACGGGTTACACTCTGATAGTCTTCATAATCCACAGTAGATACTAGATCATAAAAAAAGTTGAGTAATTAAAGACTTATAAGATAAAATTTAAAAGTGTCAATTTAAGTATTTAAGTTCAATTTATTTCACTAAACAAATTAATCTGAATATATTAGGATATCATATTTAGAATGTAACTAACAACAGAACAATTGTTCAGAGAGTCTTGCTCCAACTCTGCCATTATAACTTACCTTTCTTTGGACAGTCATTTAATTTACTGAGCCTCTATTTCTTTACCTATAAAAGGAAAATGTTAGTACCTGTCTTGCCTTCCTTACAACGTTGTTGGTGAGGATTAAATATCAATCTATTATTAAATTTTGAAAAGATATAATGATGATACAAAAGATACAAGATTAGTCATTATTTTTGATGACTATAAAAAATGATTAAATGTAGCTATTTTGTAGGGAAACTTCAAAACTATGGAAATAATCTTTTTTAAAGTTTAGAATTCATTGTTATCCACCTATTTTTTCTTGGTTGCCAAAAATACAGTATCACCTATTACAATAGAAATTGAAAGTAATGGCTGGGCATGATGGTTCACGCCTGTAATCCCAGCACTTTGGGAGGCCGAGGCAGGCGGATCACAAGGTTAGGAGATCGAGACCATCCCGGCTAACACGGTGAAACCCCGTCTCTACTAAAAATACAAAAAAATTAGCCGGGCGTGGTGACGGGTGCCTTTAGTCCCAGCTACTCGGGGGGCTGAGGCAGGAGAATGGCGTGAACCTGGGAGGCGGAGCTTGCAGTGAGCTGAGATCACGCCACTGCACTCCAGCCTGGGTGACAGAGCGAGACTCCGTATCAAAAAAAAAAAAAAAAAGAAAGAAATTGAAAGTAAAAGTGCCTTCAAAGTAAAACCACAAGTACTTTAGGATAATTTTTCAAGAGTGTACAAAAAGACAAAAATTAAAAACTTCTAAATGAGGACAGTCTAGTTTATGAATTATTTAAAACTTCTAAATTTTAATGATTCATAAGTGTGTAGAAAACAGGCAACAAATTTCTTCAAAATTTAAATAAGGCAGTATATTTTATTTTTATTTATTTACTTACTTTTTAAAAAAAATTATTTTGATCTCATTCTCACTGAGGCTGCAGTGCAGTGGCAAGATCATAGCTCACTGCAGCCTTCACCTCCTGGACTTAAGTGATCCTGCCTCAGCCTCCCGAGTAGCTGGGACCATAGGCATGTGCCACCACGCCTGGCCAAGTTTTGTATTTTTTGTAAAGATGAAGTCTCATTATGTTGCACAGGTTGATCTTGAACTCCTGAGCTCAAGTGATCCTCCTGCCTCGGCCTCCCAAAGTGCTAGGATTACAGGTGTGAGCTACCACACCTAGCCTAAGGTAGTATATTCTAAACAGATTATATTTAAAATAAGGTCCTTATTTCCATCAAAATTTGTAGATGATTTCAAATTCTGATTTTTTTTTTTTTTTTTTTTTTTTTTTTGGAGACAGGGTCTCACTCTGCTGCCCAGGCTGGAGTGCAGGGGTGTGATCTTGTCTCACCGTAGCCTCAATCTCACAGGCTCAAGCAATCCCCACACTTCAGCCTTGTGAGTAACCTAGGACTACAGGTGCACACCACCACACCCAGCTAATTTTTGTATTTTTTGTAGAGATGGGGGTCTCTACAAAAATGTTAAAGAAATGTTAAAGGTATTGTACTTTTGAATCATTACAAATGTTATTCTTAAAAGCTAGAATTTTGGCCAGGCACAGTGGCTCACGTCTGTAATCCCAGCACTCTGGGAGGCCAAGGCAGGTGGATCGCCTGAGCGCAGGAGTTTGGGACCACCCTGGGCAGTGTGGTGAAACCCTGTCTCCATTAAAATACAAAAAATTAGTCGGGTATGGTGGCATGTGCCTGTAGCCCCAGCTACTCAGGAGGCTGAGGCACAAGAATCGCTTAAGCCTGGGAGGTGGAGGTTGCAGTGAGCCAAGATCATGCCACTGCACTCCAGCTTGGGCTATAGAGTGAGACTGTCTCAGAAAAAAAAAAAAAAAAAAAGCTACTGTCACTGAAAATGGTGATAATAGAGTGTTTGGTTTTACAGTACCATTTTGACATGCAGAAATAAAAACTAACAGGCTGGTTGTGCTGGCTCACACCTATAATTCCAACACTTTGGGAGATCGAGGCAGATGGACTGCTTGAGCCCAGGAGTTAGAGACCAGCCTGGCCAACATGGTGAAGCCCCGTCTCTACTAAAAGTACAAAATATTAGCTGGGCATGAGGCATGAGAATCACTTGAACCCAGGAGGTGGAAGCTGCAGTGAGCCAAGATCACACCACTGCAACTCCAGCCTGGGCAACAGAGAGAGACTTAGTCTCAAAAAAAGAAAAAAAAATTAAAAAACAAACATTCAATAGTTAAATATAAAAATATATTAATAGCCACATTCCAGACAAAAACATTCTCCAAGCAGGTAATTATTGGCAAGTCCAGGAAATTTCAGAAAAATAATAAACTATTTTGCTTAACAACAGGAAAGTATCTGCTTCAACAGAACAAGAGGGAGATGCTCACAAACTGAGAATTATGGAAGTGAAGGCCTCTTTAAGGACTGTTAGATAGTTTTTCAATTAGCCTGAAAGCCTGAAGGAAAAATACTTGATGTCTGTGAGAACAGCTAAGGTATAAGGCCAGATTATAACCATCCACTTATTGCCAAGAATGGAAAAAAAAAAAAGGTTCAAAGAAAGTAAGAATATCCATTAGTGTGTGATGAATATAATTCTTCTCATCAATGCTTATATCATAGGGACAAATTAGCAGTTGTCATTTTTAAATCAAGATTCTTCTTAGTGAAAGTTGTAATATCACAGGAAAAAAACAGTGCAAGGTAAGATAGAGCAGGGTGTAGTGTAGTAATGCATACTAAGCATATCTGGACAGCTGGCTAGATATCAAACACTACTAGAGACAAGAAAAATAAATAAATAAAAATAGCTTCTCTTTAGGCCATGAAATAAATAAAATTAAAATCTCCCTTGAAATTTAAAACTTAAATGTGAAAAAGATTACAAAGAATATTTTCCAAGTGAAGAATGACAAAGAACAGAGTACACACATACACACACACACACACACAAAAACTGAGGAAACATATAATATGTTAACAGGGAGGATTAGGTTAATAACAATATTAGCATCTCATTTATTTCACATTTTATAATTTATCTGTTCATCATCTCATTTATTCCTCACAATAATCTCCTAAGGGAGATAATATTAACCCCATTTTGGCCAGGTGTGGTGGCTCACACCTGTAATCCCAGCACTTTGGGAGGCTGAGGTGGGTGGATCTCTTGAGGCCAGGAGTTGGAGACCAGCCTGGCCAACATGGTGAAACCCCGTCTCTACTAAAAATACAAAAATTAGCTGGCCATGGTGGCACACACCTGTAATCCCAGCTACTCGCAAAGCTGAGGCAGGAGAACTGCTTGAACCCAGGAGGTAGAGGTTGCAGTGAGCCAAGATCCTGTCACTGCACTCCAGCCTGGGCAACAGAGCAAGACTCCATCTCAAAAAAAAATTAATAAATAAAAATAAAAATATTAACCCCATTTTATACAAAGAAAAAATAAATATGTGCCTTGTCGAAGTGAGAGTAAGAAGAGAGAAAGGTCTTATTACTATAAATTCACTGTTTTTTCTCAGTGAAAAGGCCACACTATTACCCATTTTAAAAATACACAAAACAGCTGGGTGCGGTGGCTCATGCCTGTAATCCCAGCACTTTGGGAGGCCAAGGCAGATAGATCACCTGAGGTCAGGAGTTCGAGACCAGTCTGGCCAATATGGCAAAACCCTGTCTCTACTAAAAATACACGAAAAAATTAGCTGGGTGTGGTGGTGGGCACCTGTAATCCCAACTACTTGGGAGGCTGAGGCAGGAGAATTGCTTGAACCCGGGAGGCAGAGATTGCAGTGAGCCGAGGTCACGCCACTGCACTCCAGCCTGGGCAACAAGAGGGAAACTCCATCTCCAAACAACAACAACAACAATAAAAAACATGAAGCAAGGTATTTTTTAAGCTAGTGCTTAAATTATAGAACTGATAAAGGGAAGAGCTAATTGGTGAATAGCTAAAAAAAAAAAAAAAAAAGAAACAGAAGTGATAACTCACCCATTGAGTCTACCTTATTTCTGTTTGATTTGCTGTGTGGACATTTCTCAGCTTTCAGTGCCTGAAATTTGTGCCTTGCCCACTGTGTGAGATGGTCAAGCATGGAGAACACAGTCTGTGTACTGAGTTGACACAGATCAGATGCAATGTCTTGGGTATTTATGGTATGCTGATCGTCATGCTTTAGAACTGCCATAATTTCTGCATAAACCTATGAGAATCATTTATAATTAATAATAATATCTATATAATACCATTTAACTATTATATGACATCTAAAGCTAACCATTCTAAGGCAAAAATTTTCAAAAGAAAAAACACAATTGGCCAGGCATGTTGGCCTGTAATCCCAGCACTTTGGGAGGCTGAGGCAGCCCAATTGCCTGAGGTCAAGACCAGCCTGGTCAACATGGTGAAACCCTGTCTATACTAAAAATACAAAAAAATTAGCCAGGCATGGTGGCACATGTGTGTAATCCCAGCTACTCAGAAGGCTGAGGCAGGAGAATCACTTGAACCTGGGAGGTGGAGGTTGCAGTGAGCCAAGAGCATCACTGCACCCCAACCTGGGCAACAAAGGGAGGCTCTGTCTCAAAAAAAGAAAAGGAAAACACAATTGATCAATAATACATTCCTCTATTGTTCTTATCTATAATTAAATCAATCCAAATATTAGTCTAAAAAGAAAATATGTTAACGACTAAAGAAAATTTTAAAAATTTTAAAATATTCTAGATTATTCAATAAATGATAATGAAACTTTGTTAACAGTGAAAAAAACTTACAGTAATATTTCACACTATATGCAAAATTAAGTTCAGAGTAATTGAAGACTAAATATAAAAACAGAAGGATTAAAAGAAAATATAGCAAATAAGTTCATGACATTAGATGAGGCATCACATAAAAGGTTTAAAATTAATAATCTATAAAAGATGTATAAATTTTGCATTTACATTTAAAATTTCTGCGTGGCAAAATGTGAAAAGGTTAAAAAGAAAATGACTAAGTTGGAATAATTTTTGAAAATATGACTGGCAACAAATTGGTAGCTAGAATATACATAGAACGTCTATCAATTAAAGGGATACACACACCAAACAGGCAAAGATATGTAAATGAACATACATAGCCATACATAGGTCTACATTTCCTACTAATAGGTAGCCTTTCTAATACTAATTACATTGGAGAAAGTAAGTTTCACATGTTCAAAAACCAAGTAAGATGATTTATCTCACCTCCTGCTGATCTTCTTGATTACAACCCAGTAAGACATACACCAGAATATGTGGAAGAAGATAGATGGTCACTTTGAAATCATGCTTCATCATAATGCTACAGCAGGTGAAAATTTTACTGGCAAGATCATGTCGAACCTGTAAATGCAAAATGTGTAGACAGTAACACACTTTCACATATTGATTAAATGTCAAAGAGTAGCATGTGAGATAATTTATCACAAACGAGTATTCATTTTTAAATTTAAAAAGTTTTTTAATTAATTTTTTAATTAAATTATTTGGGGTTAAAGTCAAATTTTGTTATGACTTAACTTTTGATTTGCTAACACTGTTGAACTCATAAAATTTTAAAGAGATTTTTTCTTCAAATACAAAGCCAAAAAACAAAAAAAAACCCATAATATTCCAGAGCTGAAAATAGTTAACAGTATTCCACATTTCACACATTATATTTTCAGTATATTCATTAAAAAAAGAAAATGTCAGCCGGGCATGGTGGCTCACGCCTGTAATCCCAGCACTTTGGGAGGCCAAGGTGGGAGGATCACGAGGTCAAGAGATCGAGACCATCCTGGCCAACATGGTGAAACCCAGTCTCTACAAAAAAAACACACACAAAAATTAGCTGGTATGGTGGCGGGTGCCTGTAGTTCCAGATACTCGGGAGGCTGAGGCAGGAGAACCACTTAAACCCGGGAGGCGGAGGTTGCAGTGAGCCGAGACTGCACTCCAGCCTGAGTGACAGAGCGAGATTCCGTCTCAAAAAAAAAGAAAATGTCTTGAAGTTACTAACTACGAATTAGTATAATGATATTTTAAAACACTAACAGAAATGTTAATTAAAGGTGGGGCACGGTGGCTCACGCCTGTAATACCAGTACTTTGAGGGGCAGAGGCGGGCAGATCACCTGAGGTCAGGAGATCGAGACCATCCTGGCTAACACGGTGAAACCCCGTCTCTACTAAAAAAATACAAAAAAATTAGCCGGGCGTGGTGGTGGGCACCTGTAATCCCAGCCACTTGGGAGGCTGAGGCAGGAGAATGGCATGAACCCGGGAGGCGGAGCTTGCAGTGAGCTGAGATCGCGCCACTGCACTCCAGCCTGGGCGACAGAGTGAGACTCTGTCTCGAAAAAAAAAAAAAAATACAAAGATTAGCCGGGTGTGATGACTCATGCCTGTAATCCCAGCTACTCAGGAGGCTGAGGCGGGAGAATCACTTGAACCCGGTAGGCGGAGACTTACAGTGAGCCGAGATCGCACCACTGCACTCCGGCTGGGTGGCAAGAGCAAGACTCCGTCACAAAAAAAAAAAAAAAAAAAAAGAAAGGTAAATTAAAAACAAAAATTGTAAATTTTAAATATACTGTAAACATTTTCTTGGAACACAGAGTACCTTTTGTCTATCCAGCATGTAAAAATTTCTCATTAAGGAAATAGAAATATACCTGTTTTTCTATGAAAATTCATTGTAAAAATCTTTATTTTTATTTTAGAGAAAGTTCAGATAATATAACTTCTTTTAGAAATGCTATTAGAGTATAATATATCTCTTTATTGAATGTCTTTTTATTATGTAAAAAACTCTGACATAGCATTTACATCCTTTTACATAGTATTATTTTACAATATAAAAGGAATAAATGTAATTTTACACACACATTAAGACCATAGTAATTTTCTTGGTAAAACAATTACTTTTCACTCAGAAGCTATTATTAGTAACTACAGAGAAATTATTATTCTCTATTAGTTAACATTTTCTTCAAAAATTTCTATGATTATCAGCACAAATACTTCAATGATTATTGTGTGTGCTAGGCATTCAGATAGATGTTCTGGTTTCCTTTAGAATTTCCATTCAGTTAACAAACTGAACAGGGTTTCTTACCTTTGTAATAAGATAACCTGCCCAAGATGCTGACCATTCTGCAAAGTTACTACCCAATTTACTTAAGTAAATTGGCTTCTTTACTCCAGACCAATCGGTTGACTTCTGAGAACTCTTGTATCTGTAATTTTGAAAATTTGTTTATTAAAAAGATAAATCCACCTGTTTAGAATTTTAGTAAATTACAGCAACTCCTTCAGTTGACTACCTCAGTACTGCCTTGCCTTTACTGCAATCTGCTTACCTTTTTCCAGTATCCTTCTTAGGGGTGAAGTAGGTCATTCTTGGACACCTAAAGTACTTCTAAGGATTTGAGTCTGCCCCCTCCTCTTCCTCAGATCCTTCCAACTCTCTTCTTATATAAGAAAAACCTGTTCCTTTGAAGTTCAAGCCACCCAGGTATACTACCATTTTCTACTCCTCATTATGGGTAACTATGCAACACACTGATTACCAAACTCATTGATAACTTTAGAACACTGCTCAGGGTTTTCTTTCTTCCCAGTGTTATTATCATCCTGGGTGACTTCAGTGTCTAGCTGGAGCACTTAATCAAGCTCAGAAGTTTCCAATGACTTTCTTCTCTACTTATCAGGGCTCAGGAATTATCAGGGCTCCCATGCTAATTCAAAGAATTTCTTCACTTTGAAATCAATTATTTAGACATCTCATTGTATGGTCATAGTTTCCTAAATTTCCAGTTTTTTCACCCAGTTATTCCAGCACACCCATTCTCTCTTGTTGAGATCTTCTGTTCCGTGACCCTGCTAAGCTCTCCTGATCTATGACACCCCTGTCTCTTTGCCTCTTTCCACAACCATCTTAGTCTGTATGGTCCTTCACTTCTAGCATTCTCTTGGTAATATCCTCTACCCACTCCATTGCCACACTGTCTTTTCCAGCGGTATTCATCTGCTAACCTCCCAACCTTGAATCAGTCTAAATATTTGTCTTTACTGAAATGATACTCAGGCTACTGCACTGATACAGGAAAATCACTAACCCACTTATAAGATTAGTACTACTATGTATTCTTAGTCTTCAAAGTCAGTGGGCCGCTAAAGTTACAGAATTCCTTCTACGTTTTCATTATTGGCTCTCTTCTGTTTTCCAGTGATTATTTCAAACCATCACCACCCTCCTAAAGTCACCTACACCAACTCCATTGCCACTTTCAGCCAATGAGGTCATCTCCTATACCTCCTACTTCACAGAGTAAAAACAAAATCATTGCTTCCCGCAATGAAATCTGTAAACTTAGCTGTGTTCCATCCATTATTTTATCTTTCCCTATTGCAAAAAAAGAGATCTATTCCTTCTAAGTATAATTCCCTATAAGGGCCACGGCTCTCCCATTCCGGATGCTCCTTGGGGTCCTTACTACACCAACTATCACTTCTCTCTCACATTACTTCAACATGACCCTTTCTATTTGTTCCTCAGCATTAACATTTAAACATGTTCACACAGCTCTCATCTTACGGCTACCTGTGTGTAGGATTTTTTTGAATGGCATGGGTTTCTTTCAAATCACCAATAAAAGCTTAGGAAATAACAAATGCCCTATACCCAAAGTCTTATACCCAAATAATATATATATATATATATATATACATATTTCACTGTATTCCAAGTTTCTAACAGTTGAAAAATCCAATAATCTCTCAGTTAACCATCACACTAAACCAGGAGAAAAAATTCAAATCCCTATTTTGAATCATCACGCGTATAGTTCTCTGGATGATTTTTATCAAATTTATAGTAAACTTAGCTAGAAAACTACTGATACTGGGATACAAGCCAGGCTCTGCCTAGTCATAACCTGATGTTTTCTCCTAAAGTTATTTCTATGGTGATTTTGAACTGCAGTTGTTCTATCTGGTTCTAAATTTCAGTCTCCCAAATACAGCCATCCTTTAATCCAGATTTAGTGATTATATATAAAGAGCCCAAATTAAAAAAAAAAAAAACATAAAGTAGGGAGTATAACTTAAAGGCAGCAAAAATATGAATAT
Organism: Homo sapiens; assembly: GCF_000001405.40. Taxonomy (NCBI): domain Eukaryota; kingdom Metazoa; phylum Chordata; class Mammalia; order Primates; family Hominidae; genus Homo; species Homo sapiens. The sequence continues at coordinate 142,517,410 of NC_000003.12, forward strand.
GCTTTTAAGAAATTCCATATTTCCCTAGGTCCTCTGGAGTAAATATCAAGCAGTCCAAGCTATAAAATTGAGCTACAGGCTAACCTGGTATTTTAGTTTTTCATACAAAAGGGAATCAACGCTATTGAAAACGCACTCTATCAACCTCTTAATTTTATGTGGCTCCAATTTCAATAAGCAGATCCCAACTAGGTAAATCTCCTAACTTCCATCATTGAGGAACCATTCGAGAGGTTATTCTAACTGCTCAGGTATAAAAGCTAAAGACCAAAAGAATTTCCATTGCTTTGTTAAGATCTACTTTTAAAAGACCACTTAAAAGTTGCTTCCTATGAAAAACATGACAAGTAGGCAGAAATGTTGGCTTCTACTTCTTATGAAGTATATGATAGCCAACCTCACAAATTCTCCCCCCAAAAACAAAGAACTTATTAAGCAAGCTAGGATTGAATAAGCATTTATTATTGAGTGTCAACTAAATATCAGGCACTTTGCTAAGTACTTTTAATATTATCTCCTTTATTCCTAACAATAATCATACAAAGTGGGTAAAATTATCCATGTTTTCAAAATTAAAAAATTAAAACCTGGAAATGTTAAATAACTTGCCCAAGACTTCAGAGCTAGCAAATGCAAAGCCAACAATCAAACCTAAGCCTGTGTGACTACAAAGGTCATAAACTTTCCAGTAGATTACAGAAATTCTTTGACATCTACAGGTGCTATACAAAATACAGACTAAGAAAATGGGGGAAGTATGGAGTCCTCAAAAATGAAAATCCAAATTTTAACTTTAGTCTTTAACTTTACTTTTTAAATAATGCTAATAGTGGCCAGGTGTGATGGCTCATGCCTGCAATCCCAGCACTTTGGGAAGCCCAGACAGGCAGATCACTTAAGGCCAGGAGACCAGCCTGGCCAATATGATGAAACTTCATCTCTACTAAAAATACAAAAAGTAGCCAGGCATGGCGGTGCACGCCTGTAATCCCAGCTACTTGGGAGACTGAGGCAGGAGAATCACTTGAACCCAGGAGGTAGAGGCTGCAGTGAGCTGATACCGCATCACTGCACTCCAGCCTGGGCAACAGAGTGAGACTCTGTCTCAAAAATAATAATAATAACAGTAATAATTCTTCTTTAATAAGGCTAATAATAATAATGCTAAATAATCACTTCTTTAATAATGCTAGTCATAAGACATAAAATGATGTTTAAAAGATTTCTAAGTATAAAAAATTATCTAGGAAATAAATATGCATACCTCTGGGCTTTTATAAAGACTGTTAGTATAAGTCTAGGCACTTTCTAAGGTTCAAAGAAGTTATTTGTCCAAAGTCAAGTATCTAATATGCATGTGTACCTAGGGTACCAAAAAGTAGTTTCTAAATAGAAATAATTTATAGTTGTATGGATTTTTTTCATATAAAATGCTTCATGTATTTGCATGTCATCTTGCATATTTCGTCAGTCCTAACAAAGTCATTTAAATTTTTTAAGAGATTAAATACATTTTTTTAAAAGCAGAGGGTGAAAATATATTCATGAGGAGAAATTGGGAGTAATGAAAATCTTTAATTGGGCCTACTAAAGGCTTTCTGACTAGCTTTAAACTTTAAATTTCTGTATTACTTATACCTATCAAAGAATTCAACTCACATTCAGCTTAAAGTATATTCTTTCAATTTACTACCGACCATTGAACTTTTAAAAAAATCAATCCTTTTAACTTCAATAAATTTATCTGAATATTTAAAGTTGTAGAATTTAACCCAATGAGCAGACTGCACTTCTCATCTAGACAAATTATAAGCATAAATCATAGTGAAAAATATACATGAGGAGATACTAAAACACTTTTAATGTTAAAAAACTATATCAAAAATCACATTAATTTTTTTTTTTTTTTCCAAACAAAGTCTCGCTCTGTCACCCAGGCTGTAGTGCAATGGCACAATCTCGGCTCACTGCAACCTCTGCCTCCTGGGTTCAAGTGATTCTCCTGCCCCAGCCTCCCAAGTAGCTGGGATTACAGATGTGCACCACCACGCCCGGCTAATTTTTGTATTTTTAGTAGAGATGGCGTTTCACCATGTTGGTCAGGCTGATCTCGAACTCCTGACCTCGTGATCCGCCCGCCTCAGCCTCCCAAAGTGCTGGGATTACAGGCGTGAGCCACTGCACCCGGCCAAAAAAATCGCATTATTTTTATATAATTAAAAACAATTTTATGAAAATACATTAAATAAGCCTACATACCTGGTATTTAGATGAGGTTCTAGTATTTCCCGAACATGCTCAGGAAATCTCCTCCACAATTGGTGACCTGGGCCGTTGGTCTCCATCTCTCTACAGTCATAAATAGAAAGCAACTCCTACAAATACATATTTTACATTTGTAAGTCCACAGTGAAGCAGATAACGCTTTATATTCGTCAATGTTCTACATATCTTAGTTATAAAAATACAGCCATAACTCATTTTATTGCACTTCGCTTTATTTATGCTTCATGGATGCTGTTTTTTTTGTCTGTTTGTTTTTTTAGAAATAGAAGGTTTGTGGCCACTATGCATGCAGTAAATCTATCAGTGCCATTTTCCCAACAACATATGCTCACTTCATGTCTCTATGTCGCATTTCGGTAATTCTCAAAATATTTCAAACTTTTTCATTATTACTATATCTGTTATAGTGATATATGATCAGTGATCTTTGATGTTACTGTTGTAATTGCTTTGGGGCTCCACAAACTGTGCCCATATAAGACAGTGAACCTAATCGATAAATGTGGTGTGTGTTCTGACCAGCCGTTCCATCCCCCTCACTCTCTTTGGGACTTCATATTTCCAAAGACATAAGAATATTGAAATTAGGCCAATTAATGACCCTACAGTGGCCTCTAAGTATACATATGAAAGGAGGAATCGCACATCTCTCACTTTAAATCAAAAGCTAGAAATGACTAAGCCTAGTGAAGAAGGCATGTCAAAAACCTAGACAAGCCAAAAGCTAGGTGTCTTGCACCTAACAGCCAAGTATAAATGCAAAGAAAAAGTTCTTGAAGGAAATTAAAAGTGTTACTCCAATGAATACATCAAATATAAGAAAGAGAAACAGTCTTATTTCTGATATAGAGAAAGTTTTAGTGGTCTGGATAAAAGATCAAACTAGCCACAACATTCCCTTAAGCCAAAGCCTAATCCAAAGAAAAGCCCTAGTTCTCTCCAATTCTATGAAATCTGAGAGAGGAGAATAAGTTGCAGAAAAAAAGTTTGAAGTGATACAACTCAAGGGGCGCTTCTTAAAAAACAAAAAAAAACCCAAAAAGTTTGAAGCAAACAGAGGTTGCTTCATGAGGTTTAAGGAAAAGAAGCTGTCTCTATAACATAAAAGTGTAAGGTGAAGAAGCAACTATTGATAGAGAAGCTGCAGCAAGTTATCCAGAAGATCTAGCTAAAATCATTCTATTCTGTTGGAAGAAGATGCTATCCAGGACTTTCACAGCTAGAGAGGAGAAGTCAATGCCTGGCTTCAAAGCTTCAAAGGACAGGTTAATAACTCTCTTGTTAAGGGCTAATGCAATTGGTGACTTTAAATTGAAGCCAATGCTCATTGACGATTCCATACATCCTAGGGCTGTTAGGAATTAGGCTAAATCTAAATATATGCGTCTACTATATACCCATAAAAATTGAAAATTAGAACAATAAAAGTAAAAAAAATTTAAAAATAAAAAATTATGTGAAATCTACTCTGCCTGTGCTCTATAAATGCAGCAACAAAGCCTGAATGACAACACATCTGTTTACAGCATGGTTTACTGAATATTTTAAGCTCACTGTTGAGACCTACTGGTCACAATAAAAGATTCCTTTCCAAATATTACTGCTCATTGACAATGTACCTGTCACCTGGGAGCTCTGATGGAGCTATACAAGGATATTAATGTTGTTTTCGTGCCTGCTAACACAACATCCATTTTGCAGCCCGTGTATCAAGGGGTAATTTTGACTTTCAAGTTTTATTACTTAAGAAATACATTTTATAAGGTTATAGCGGCCACAGATAGTAATTCCTCTGATGGATCTGGGCAGAGTAAACTGAAAACCTTCTGGAAAGAATTCACTATTCTAGATATCATTAAGAACGTTCATGATTCATGAGAAGTCAAAATATCTATCAACATTAACAGGAGTTTGAAAGAAGTTGATTCCAACCCCTCCTGGATAACTCTGAGAGGCTCAAAATTTCAGTGGAGGAAGTAACTAGAGATGTGATAAAAACAGCAAGAAAACTAGAGTTAGAAGTGGAGCCTGAAGATAGGACTGAATTACTGCCTTCTCATGATAAAACCTGAATGGACGAGGAGTTGCTTTTTATAAGCAAAGAAAGTGGTTTCTGGAGATGGAATCTACTGTGGTTCCACTCAAAATGCTGTGAACACTGTTCAGGTGACAACGAAGGATTTAGAACATTACATAAACTTAGTTGATTAAGCAGTGGCAAGGTTTGAGAGGACTCATTCAAATTTTGAAAGAAGTTCTACTGTGGGGAAAATGGTATCAAACAGCATCACAGGCTACAGAGAAACCTTTCATGAAAGGCAACTGATGTGGCAAACTTCGTTGTCTGATTTTTTTAAGAAATTGCCACAGCCATTCCAACCTTCAGCAACCACCACGGTAATTAATCAGCATCATCAACATTGAGGCAAAATCTTCCACCAGCAAAACCATTATGACTTGCGAAGGCTCAGAAGATGGTTAGCATTTTTTAGTAACAAAGTATTTTTTAAATAAAGGCATTTACATTGGTTTTTAGACATAATGCTATTGCACACCTGACAGACTATAGTATAGTGTAAACATAATGTTAATATGCACTGGGAAACTGAAGAATTCATGTAACTTGCTTTATAGAGATACTTGCTTTATTGTGGTGGTCTGGAACTGAACCCCTACTATCTCTGAGTTATGCTTGTACATAGAAAAATAAACAGAATTTTATAGTTTTAGAGCTGTGAACATCCTTAGGACATTTATTTCAATGCCTAGAATGATTTAAGTAACTCATTTAAGTCACAAAGCTGAGGCAGTAGTATATATTTGTATATACATACAAAAATTTTGAAAGTAACTATACCTATAATAATTGGTTAAGAGGTATGCTTCTGTACTCTAAAATGTTTATCATGAACTTGTATAACTTTGATAAAAGTGAGAATTAAAACAAAAAGGAGTTTCACAAGTATAGAATTTACAACGTTCTTATTTGAATTAAACAATTTAAAGCCAGTAATGACTATATCCACTCTTACCTGAATGGCATAGGCAGCTGAATCTTGAGCTCGGCTATTATCAGCATACGCAAGGTAAGCTCTTGTTAGCTCCATCAATAATCCATAGGCAAAGCTTGAATCTTCTACTCCAGTCTCAATCAGAAAAAAAAAAAAGAAAATTCCAGGATAACTGCTATAAATTTTCTTAGGTGTACTGCTTTTTCCATGGTGAATTTAACTTAACTGCGTAAGTGAATTTAACTTAGACAAAGGAAAAGACAGTGAGGTTCAAACTAAGTTTGGTATCAAGACTACAATATAATCTGTAGCTAAAAAGCCAAAATGTAAAGCTTTTTAGGCTATTTCTAAGGTGTACAAAAAATTATTCAACTTTTGCATATCTCTGACAATTTGCATTGTTTGTTTTTTAACCCTTAAAAAGCAAAATGTAGGCCAGGCATGGTGGCTAATGGCTCTAATTCCAGCATTCTGGGAGGCCAAGGAGAGCGGATCATGAGGTCAGGAGTTCAAGACCAGACTGGCCAATATGGTGAAAGCCCATCTCTACTAAAAATACAAAAATTAGCCAGGCGTGGTGGTGCACGCCTGTAATCCCAGCTACTCGGGAGGCTGAGGCAGGACAATCGCTTGAATCCAGGAGGCAGAGGTTGCAGTAAGCCAAGATCGCACCACTGCACTCCAGCCTGGGTGACAGAGCGAGACTCCGTCCAAAAAAAAACACAAAATGTATACATAGCATCTCCTACGTTGCATTCTGTAGAGCCCAAGAGTCATCTGAGAACCTCTAAGGAATAATTTTAATATACGCATATAGTATAACTCTTGGAGATATAGTCTTAGAGATTCACAATGCACACAGATACATTAAAAGTCACATTTTTTTTAAAAGGTCACATTTAATTTTGTTCTATATGGAGTTCCCAAACTCATTTGACTACAAAACATTACTACTGTAATATCCTGGAAACTAGTTATCCATGGAAACACTAGCAATAATGTTTAAAAAGTAATATTTAAATAATTGATTAGGCTTTAAGTATTGTCATTATTATATTAGGAAGCTTTATTTACAAGAATATAACACCCTAGATGGGGTTCAAACTTTATTGCTTTTGGCTAAAGGTTTCTGCAATAGTAAAAGAAATAAACTCAGAAGTTAACTGATTGTCTGGTTCTAGGTGAAGCTTTTATTAAGGATAAGCTGAATAGTTCTTTGTAAATGAAATATATAAACCTCAATAGGACAGAGAACTCTTTTGTCATTCCAAATTTCCACTACTTACCACAAATGTAAAATCTTTTCCTTGAGTTTCAGTTGTTGAGAAATCTAATCGACCTGGATCTATCGCCCCCAATTCCCCTAAACATTCCCCACAGAGCAACCGAGCTTGAGAGTTTGCATCTTGGCAACCTTTCAAAAGCACTGTCACCAACTGTGAGATAATAGGTTCTACTGTTTCACTGTCTGTTGCATACTTTATCAGTTTTTCCTAAAATAAAAGTAGAAAGAAAATTTATACGTAATTTCTACAAACTAGTATGTTTTCCTGAGCTAGGAAGCTTAAAAATATTAAGGAATATCTAACATAAATATTGACAAAATTAAATTTCTGTATCTGCAATTTTTTCAGCTAGTTTTTGATGAGTTCACATAATATAGTTCAACAATATGTCCTGTACAATTAGAATCATTAAATGTCTGAAAGTCTTTGATCATTAATCCATTAAACAAGCAGTTACTGTGCATTTTATCAATATACAAAAAATCAGTAAAACAAGTCTTAACAAGTTCACAGTCTAAGAGGAAAACAGACAAATAACTAAAATATCATATGATATGTACAATAACAAATATACTTGTACGGCAAAGAAGCAATGAATAAGAAAAAACACAGAGTAACTTTTAAAGGACAGTGGACAGATATTTCAGTAGATAAGTGGAGGAGCAACTATTAGGTTAAAACAAGAAGTTTGAAAAGTGTATAACAACTAGTAAAGAAGGAAAAAAGATATAAAAAAGGGTTCTGTGAGGATGGAAAAGAGGGAGGAAGAAAGAGGTAGCCTAATGATAAATATGTCAATTCAAATAGTCTTTTTTCAGCTATCTCTTCAGGATGCTGTAATGAATAAAATGTTAAGTAAGAAGAAACAATTCTCAAGCCAGTGAAGATTTAGACCTTGCACTTGTGTGATCACTTTAAAGCTACTTCATTTATATTATTTTCTTTCTAGCACAAGTCAAGTGTATAGGAGCATCTCAAACTCCATGTTAGAACTGTAATGAGTAATACAAATTACTGTAATACATTTCAAAAGAAAAACGAAAAGACATTTAATCTTATCCAGAATCTTCAATAGCTGATTTCTTAAATAACATTACAGGTTAATTCAGCTGTAAAGACCGCCTCCCCACCCCCACACATACACACCCTGGTAATCAGTTAAAAGTAAAACTCAGATAAGAAGTGTCACTTTTTATCATATACTAAATGTCCATATGTACTTGGGTCTATTTCTAGACCTCCTATTGTTTCCCACTGGTCTGGTTATTCATATACTAGTTACCTCTTTGTTATAACTGTAGTGGCTACAAAGTATATTAATGTTTGGTTGGGCTACTATATTCTCATAACCTTTTTTTTTACAGGGGGAGTTTACTAGCTATTTTTTACATGTTTTATTTTTCCATATGAGCATTATTATAAACCTCCTACAGTTAAAAAAAAAACAACTTTGGTGACATTTTCATTGGGATTGCATTCCATTAATTAACCTAAGGAGAACTGAAATCGTTATAACATCAACCTACCCAATAATAAGGGATTGATATAGCTTAGGTATCTGTCCATTCCAAATCTCATATTGAAATGTGACCCCCAGTGTTGGAGGTGAGATCTGGTGGCAGGTGTTTGGGTCACATGGGTGGATCCCTCATGAATGGCTTGGTGCCATCCCTGTGATAATAAGTGAGTTCTTTCTCTATTAGTTCAGGTGTGAGCTGGACTCCATTAGTTCAAGTGATAACTGGTTATTTGAGAGTATGGCACTCCTCCCATTGCTTTCTTGCTCCCTCTCTCACCATGTGATATGCCAACTCCCCTTCCCCTTTGGCTATGAGTAAAGGCTCAGGCTTGCTGAAACCCTCACCAGAAGCAGATGCTGGCACCATGCTTCTTGTATAGGTTGCAGAACCATAAGCCAAATAAACCTCTTCTTTTTAATAAATTACCCAGCCTCAGGGTAATTTACTATAATTCCTTTACAGCAAAGCAAACAGACTAAAACAGTGATGGTTTCCATTTAGTTAAATCTATTACCCTTTTGTGTCTTTCAGAAGCATTTTAAAATTTTTCTTTTGTTGGTGTATGCATTTCTTGTTAAGTTTATACTCAACTATATTGTTTTCCTGTTGCTATTGTAAATGGGGTATTCCAAAAAAATTTCTACCTAGTTACCACTTGTCATATGAAAATTATTAATTTTTATGTTAATTTTATATCCCCTATTTTACTGAATTCATCTGTGGTCAAGTTAGTTTTATCAGTAATTCTCTATAATTTCCGAAGTATATTAGCATAAGAAATGGAGATAATTTTACATCTTTTCCAATTCTTATGTCTCTGATTATCATATCATCTGTAAATATAGTTTTACATCTTTTCCAACTTTTATGTCTGATTGCTTTTTTCCCTAAATTCCTTAGCCAATACCTCCAAGTGAACGCTAAATAGTGCAGATAATAGGAAACCTTGCTTTCAGTGGGAATGTTTCTTGTTTCCCATTAAGTATGTGTATATATGTACTATGTATATATATACATAGTACATATATAAACATGCATACATATATGTACACATATACATTAAGATAATATTCATCAATTTCTGTTTTCTTGAGTGTTTTCATTTGAAGTAGGTGATGAAATGTGTCAAAGTCTATTCGGCATCTATGGAAATAATAGCATGATTTTCTCTTTAGATCTATTAATATAGTGAATTACATTCGTGGATTGCTAAGTATTAACCATCTTTGCAATACTGGAATAAAATGCAACTGGTCATGGGGTATTGTGGGTTTGTTTTTGTTTTTTTTTTTTTGAGACAGGGTCCCGCTCTGTTGCCCTGGCTGGAATGCAGTGGCATGATCTTGGCTCACTGCAGCCTCAAACTCCCCAGGCCAAGGTGATCCTCCCACCTCAACCTCCAAGTAGCTTGGACTTTAGGCATGTGCCACCATGCCTGGCTAATTTTTGTATTTTTTGTAGAGATGGGGTCTTGCTATATTGCTCAGGCTGGTCTCGAACCCTTGGGCTCAAGCAATCCATCTGCCTTGGCCTCCCAAAGTGTTGGGATTACAGGCATGAGCCACTACACCCAGCATGGGGTGTTTTCTTAATGTGAAATTGATTTGTTTGATAATATTTCATTTATAAATTTTTACACTGATATTAATATGATAATCTTTAATTTTTTGTTTCATGCTATCTTTTTTCGGTCTACTGAACACTGTTATATATTGCCGCTTTTTTAAAAATGGAAGTTTTCTTTCATTTCCTATACTCCAGGACAATTTAAACACCACTGAGACTATTTAGTTTGTGAAAATTTGATTTAAAAATCCCCTTATCTGGGCCTGGTGCTTTCCTATGGATGAAGTTCTTTTATAATATTCTCTATTTCTCCTACAGAAACTAATCTTTTAAGCTTTCTATTTCAGCTAGAGTTCATTTTGATACACTATATATTCCAGGAAAAGTATACATGTTTACAAATTTATTTGTGTAAAAGGGTACAAAGTAGTCTCTTGTGATTTTTAAATACCTTCTATGTTTCAACAGTTTATTATTTACATATTTGACATTTACCAATTTCGCTAGTTTTTTGCTAGCATTTTTACTCATTAATTAATTTTACTGCTTTCTGTTCTCTATATTTCTGCTTTTATTTTTATTATTTTCTTCCTGTACTATCTTTTCTTAAATAGTTTTAATAAAATATTTGTTTCACATACTATAAAATTAACTCTTCTAAGGTGTACAAATGAATGGTCTTTAGTATATTCACAAGTTTTAGTATAATGAAGTATATCACAAGTGCAACCATCACTTCTATTTAATTTCAGAACATTTTTACCATCTCAAAAGGAATCTGTACCCATCAGCAATCACTCCCCATTTCCCCCAAACCTCCTAACCCTAGGCAACCATTAATCTACTTTCTATCTCTATGGATCTGTTTATTCAAGAATACCAAAGGTTGCCAGCAAACCACCAGAAGCTCTCAAAAGGAACCAACCCTGCCACCACCTTGATCTCAAACTTCTAGCCCATGGGAGCTGTGAGACAATAAATTTCTGTTTCTGTTGTTTAAAGTCATTCAGTTTGTAGTACTTTGTTATAGCAGCCCTAGCAAACTAACACAAAGATCCAACTAATACAATAATCAATTTTTATGAATGTTCTATCTGCTCTTTAAAGTATGCTTCTATTATCAAGGTGTAACGTCTGACATATATTCACAATAGCTACTTTATTATGTTATTTAGATCTTCTACGTATTTATCTACTAACTTATTTTATACTGAGAATAACATGGTAGTCTCCTCTGATTGAGTTTCTATATATATCTTCTTAAGCTTCTTATTTTGGCTTTATCAAGGTGGCTGGTGTGTTATTTGGAGCATATTCATAACTATTAAATCTTCCTTATGAATTATGGCATTAAGCATTAAAAAGTATCCATTTTGGTCATATTTAATGCTTTTCAGCTTCAGTTCTATTTTGTTTGGTGGCAGAATGAGAATTCCTGCTTTCTTATACTTTCCACTTATCTGGATAATTTTTGCTTATCCCTTTATTTTTGGCCTTTCTGAATCACTTTAGGTACGTATCTTGCATGTGGTAGAGAGTTGTTTCTTACTTTGTAAGCCAATTTGTAAATTTTTTAATTTTAAGGTTGTTCACACTTATTAATGTGACTCAGATGCTTGGCTACAATTCTGTCAGATTTTTTATTATAATACAATGGATTATAATTATAATACAGTATACTATAATTAGTGCTTTCTTCCCTCTATCCTGTTTCGTGTTTAAAAAATCATTTATTTGGGTAAGGATGACAGTTTATACTTTTGTTCTGGAATTATCATATATATATATATATATATATATATTTTTTTTTTTTTTTTTTTTTTGAGGCAGAGTCTCACTGTGTCACCCAGGCTGGAGTGCAGTGGCGCAATCTCGGCTCACTGCAACCTCTGCCTCCCGGGTTCAAGCGATTCTCCTGCTTCAGCCTCCTGAGCAGCTGGGATTACAGGTGCGCCATCATGCCTGGTTAATTTTTGTATTTTTAGTAGAGACAGCGTTTCACCATGTTGGTCAGGCTGGTCTTGAACTCCTGACCTCGTGATCTGCCTGCCTTGGCCTCCCAAAGTGCTGGGATTACAGGCGTGAGCTACCGTGCCCAGCCTATCCAATATATTAATACCTTTAATATTAATTAAAGGTGAAATATTATTTACCTTAAAGGTAAAATAAAAATTAAGGTAATTTTTTGAAATACCTACACTCCCTCTTTTCCTTATTTGACTTTCTATAACTAGTTTGCCGGTGTAAAATGGTATATTTTGACTTCCAGTTATTGCCTATGCAACAATTACTGAGCTTATCTTACTTACTCCTTACTCTCCCCCTTCTCTCATTTAAAAAAATTGCATTATTTCTAGTTTATTAGAATATAACATTTACATATAATTATCCCACACTTGCCCTATTGTTGTTTTAGTCTTATATATTTCGTTAAATACATAAACAGTAACCATCAGACCTTTTGCCAAAGTCTGCCCAGTCATCTCTTGACTTAATGAAGCTCATCCTCTAATACATCTCTTAGGAAGGGATCACTTGTGAAAACCATATTACTTCAATTCTTGTAGGTTTAAAACCGTGTTCTCATACATGATACTCTAAGGACAGCTTGACTCTTTCTTGACTCATACTTTATGACATTTTTTGACATTTTAAAAAAATGCTGCTATTTTCTAGGCCCACTCTGTACATTCCTACTGAGAATTCTGATACCAATCTACTTTTTTTTCTCCTTGCAAGTAATTTTTTGAAAAAAAATTTTTTGGCCAGGAAGCTTTGAAGACTTTTTATTATTAAAGTCTAGGATATGTCTCAGAGTTAATTATCCTGGGTCAATTTTCTCCAGGATACAAGTCTTTTCAATATGTAGATTAGGTCTTTTATTTCCAGAAAGCTTTCTTGGATTATAATTTTAAATATTAATTCTGTTCTCTTGTTTTGGTTTTATTCTTCAGAGACATCAATTATTTGCAGGTGAAATCTTTGCCAATCTTCCATTTCAACTACTTTTTCTTTTTACTCCTTTTTACTCCTTTATCTATTTTACTCCTTTATCTCATTTTTCTTCTGTTTTTTATACCTTTATTCAATGCCCCTTGCTAAATGTTTAGTCAAATATATTCTCCCCTGTAGTTCTTGTAATTTAATCTTCATTTCAATTTCTTTCCTAAGTTCAATCACCCTCGTTTCATCTTGGTTTTTATTTCTCTTGTTTTTTAAATTTTTCATGCAACTTTTTTTATATCTGAAAATGATTGTTTAAAATATTCAATTAAAGTTATACTGCTAAGTTCAATCTTCTTCCATGTTATGGTTGGTTTTGAGGAGGAACTGTCATCAATTCACAGACTTTATTTTCATTTTCTATTTTTGTCTTACAGGAACCTTGCATACATATATTTTTTCTACACATATTGTGAAATTTCTAAACTAGAAAACCCTCCATAACAGCTATCTGCAGTAAGCATTCTGTAGTGGCTTCAGGATTTCTCTTTCATGAGTATCCACGTCAGCATAGTGAAGTGCAGTTTTCTTCATGAATAGCTTTTTTTTCTTTTTCTGGTAGCAGGGGGAGGATTTGGTTCATCTCTGATTTTGTACATTTCTTTTACTTCTGCAGGACCCTTAAAATTCTCCCTCTTACTTTCTTCTTTCTGTTTATGCCATAGTCTCTGAAGAGTGCCTCTCCTCTCCTCTTCTTTTACTACTCCCAAGAAACTGATTTTCAGAGACTACAAACGTTGGGCATACTTTCAAGTACCTTCCCTGTAGCCAGTAGTCTGACATACCACATCCTGGACTTATTTTCAGTAATGTTGCACTTAAGAGTATGACTCTCTTTCTGTTGGTGATTTTCTCTTTGCTCCATCAATTCTTAGTTCCTATTCTTCATTTTCTTCTTTTTTTATACAGTCTCATCAGAACGTACCCGCTCTCAACACCATACAAGGTTAAGATATGAGCTCCACAGATATCTCTGTTAGTTACAAGTAATTTGAAGTTCATAATATTCTGTCTCAAAGTTCTGTTGAAGGTGTAAATTATGTGTGGTTTCAATTGCTCTGCTTGACACTCTTTATGATATTTCAGGGGCTACACAGAAATTCAGATGTAGGCATCCACCATTATCCTAAGACAACCTGAAAGTCTCTAGCAGTTTTATTTTATTTTATTTTATTTTATTTTTATTATTATACTTTAAGTTTTAGGGTACTTGTACACAACGTGCAGGTTTGTTACATATGTATACATGTGCCATGTTGGTGTGCTGCACCCATTAACTCGTCATTTAACATTAGGTATATCTCCTAATGCTATCCCTCCCCCAGCCCCTCACCCCACAACAGGCCCCAGTGTGTGATGTTCCCCTTCCTGTGTCCATGTGTTCTCATTGTTCAATTCCCACCAATGAGTGAGAACATGCGGTGTTTCGTTTTTTGTCCTTGAAATAGTTTGCTGAGAATGATGGTTTCCAGCTTCATCCATGTCCCTACAAAGGACATGAACTCATCCTTTTTTATGGCTGCATAGTATTCCATGGGGTATATGTGCCACATTTTCTTAATTCAGTCTATCATTCTTGGACATTTGGGTTGGTTCCAAGTCTTTGCTATTGTGAATAGTGCTGCAATAAACATATGTGTGCATGTGTCTTTATAGCAGCATGTTTTATAATCCTTTGGGTATATACCCAGTAATGGGATGGCTGGGTCAAATGGTATTTCTAGTTCTAGATCCCTGAGGAATCGCCACACTGACTTCCACAATGGTTGAACTAGTTTACAGTCCCACCAACAGTGTAAAAGTGTTCCTATTTCCCCACATCCTCTCCAGCACCTGTTGTTTCCTGACTTTTTAATGATCACCATTCTAACTGGTGTGAGATGGTATCTCATTGTGGTTTTGATTTGCATTTCTCTGATGGCCAGTGAGGATGAGCATTTTTTCATGTGTTTTTTGGCTGCATAAATGTCTTCTTTTGAGAAGTGCCCTGCTTCGGCTCATGCTCGGTGGGCTGCACCCACTGTCCTGCACCCACTGTCTGACACTCCCCAGTGAGATGAACCCGGTACCTCAGTTGGAAATGCAGAAATCACCCATCTTCTGCGTCACTCACGCTGGGAGCTGTAGACTGGAGCTGTTCCTATTTGGCCATCTTGGCTCCACCTCCCAGTTTTATTTTCAATAGCCTCTTCTCTTATGTGTAAACGTTAGTAAATGTCATTTTATTAGAATTCTGCATTGCCATAAAAGTTTATTTTGGCTTCTTACAAAGTTATCTTTTTGGGATTTTATCAAATGGATTCCTGACTAGTATCAATCTTCAGAAACCAATTATATGGTTTCTTAATTTGATCTCTAGTCTGACTTTTCTACATAGAAATCATTTTCTGCCATCCACTGAGCTTAGAAGTCTTCTATTCCTTCAAAAATATATATTCCTCCTTAAAAATAAGTAGAAGGTGTCATCTCTTCAATGTCAATGACTGTCTGGGACTACCCATCAGTACAGGGCTTTTGCAGGGTCATTCCATAAAAAATAGTTAAGTATCTAATGCTATACCAGCGATCATCTTATTAACTTTCCTATCACCACCTCTTGGAATTTGCTTTGTTGCTACATTACACCCAATCATTTGTTTAGCCACTCCTACCACAACTTCAGGTGTATTTTTAAATAAAAACCTCCTTTCAATCCACTCTTAAAGTATCTTTTCCTCTCCCTGTGGCTAAATTTTAAATTCTAAAACAGAATCTTTTGCATCTGTTGTCTCATGGACTCTTAAGAGTACTGACTACAAAGACTCTGGCCTCTCATCCTCTTATCTTATGCCAGTTTCATGCTCTGGTGGTATTCCTGTAGGTTCAACCAACTTGTAGAGCTGCACTGTCCAATACAATAGCTACTATCCACATGTGGCTATTTAAATTTAAATTAGGCCAGGTAGAGTGGCTCACACCTGTAATACCAGTACTCCCAGAGGCCCAGGCAAGGGGACTGCATGAGGCCAGGAGTTCAAGACCAGCCTGGGCAACATAGCAAGACCCCATCTCTTAAAAAAAAAAATTAGGTGAGCATGGTGGCACACACCTGTAATCTTAGCTACTCAGGAGGCTGAAGTGGGAGAATTGCTTGAGCCCAGGAGTTTCAGGCTGCAGGGAGCTATCATCACACCCCTGTACTGGAGAGACCCTGCCTCTAAAAGTAAATAAGTAAATAAATTTAAATTAGCAAAATTAAATAGAATTAAAAATTCTGTTACTCAGAACATAATGTTTGAGCATATATTTCAAGTGCTCAAGAGAGCCACATGTGGCTAGTGGCTACTGCTGAAGAGTATAGATATAGAATATTTTCATCCTCACAGAAAGGTCCTTTGGACAGTACTATTGGAAGTCTTAATTCAATTGTATTCAACTTTAATGCTATCTTCTTGCCACAGTTGGGAAAAAACCCATTTCCTTCTCTCTTTATTCCTAGGTGTTTTGGGCCAGTGCCTGCTGGAGTATGGTTAGGAAGACGTGTTTCTGGATCTTTATTCTTTTCTTACCTCCTCATGGATCTTCCAATCTTCCTTGCCTTTAGTTTTTCTTACCAGCCTGCCATAAATTTATCCAGTTATAGATGCTAAACTACATTAAATACTTACTTTAAAAAAATCCCATAATAATATACGGCTATTATATCTTAATCAGAGTACTCAAGACTCCTACAAGTACACTTCCCTTCTTATTCTGTCTAGGTAATCTATTAGCATTGGGGCTTTACATTGAAGGAATCCTGTAAGGAAGTTGCCACATATGATTTATCTTCTGTGATCCAGGAGGCAAAGTGAGGCAGCTGCAGCTTTCCTTAAGACTGTAAGAAATCTTCTTGAATTCTCAGATTTAGTTATTTATATCTAGGAAGTGATGATTGAGGTGAAGTTTCCTTATGTTAGACAATGACTGTGCCATCTGCTTGGAAATAACCTAAACTAGAAAACCTCTATGCAAAGAGGAGAAAACCTTTGTGATTCATAAATCTCTGTATTAAATTAAAAGGCTAAAAGTCCTTTGAGTTACCTGAAAACCAGGTAAAGGTATGGGGCTAGGGGCAAGCACAGGGTAGTTTCATTGTAGTTTAGAGCAGGAATAGAGGCTGTAACGTTGATAATGCACATCTATAGTCAGGAAGGCACAACACTTAACCTAGAGGAGATTCAAGGCTCCTCCCCTCTGTTGGGATCATCTCCACACTGGCTGCTACCCACATTGGTTATACAAACTCACTGCCCCAGAAAAATGTGCTCATTACCATCACGTATATCTTTTGTCCTAAGTAAGTGCTTGCTTCTATTAATGGAAGGAAATATAACCCTTCCATTATAGAATGGTAATCCCAAAATTCATGAGGGTCTTAGGCTCTCATATCTTACCATATGGGTTCTAGATATGCAAAAATGAGTAATTCCGTTAAATTTTTTCCAATTTATTCATATACAGTGATCTGGTATTTTAAATACCAGTTCTCACTATCATCAAGTTTAGGGATAATCTACATTATGTTGCCAAAGAAAAGAATAAAGTTCACTCACCCCTTGAAAAAGTAAACTTAAAGATTTAGCTTCATTAAAACTAACGTTAATTCAGTCAAAATGTACAATAGTAAAATTGCTGACATTTCATATGACATATATCCATAGGAAATATGTGAGAAGACTTACATAAACTGCTGCTGTATTATACAATTATATACATGTTTACTTACGAAGATGCAGTAACCTAAAATATAACCATCAAATCATGATCCTTCAAAAACAACAAAAACTGCAAATCCCTAAGATTCAAGCTCAAAGGGCATCTCATGGATTCCTAATTCTCAGTCAGATCTGATAATTCAGGTAAAATAAAAATTTCTTCTTTCACTAAATCTCAAACAAAAATGTCATTTTGTCATCTTTTCTTTAAGCCTCCAATCTTTCTTTGTTATACATTTTTAATTATATCATATTAGCATACCTGATTTTTATACAAGGTTTCCTTCAAGCTTGTAAGAGCATGAATACGAACATCGACATTTTCATGTTGAATGGCCTTCATAGAGAGCTGAAGAGTTGTCTGAAGATCAGTGCTCTCAGAGGTCTCCTATATACAAAGCACAGAGAGACAGAACTTATTAATCAACTATTTTAACAACCATTTCCAAAGGCCTGAATTCTCTATATAGTTACCATTAAACTATACCAAACCAATTTTTTAAAGTAATGAAATTTCCATTCCTTCCTTTGTACAGCACAAATCATTTTTAGTAATTCTGAGGGAAAGGGATTTCATTGTAAAACTGTTAGACCTGGAGAAAAATTTTATCCCAACTAAGTAAGAATTTACTTCTCTAAAATAAGTACTTCTTGACAGGAAGTACAAGTTTCCCTTAATTTACAAAGGGCTACATAATAGCTTTGAACCAGGTCTATGGATTATATAGGTAATTCAATTCCTTTCACTACCCAAGGTGACACCTAAGGTCAGGTGTCCCACTTTCTACCCAGAAGTTCTATGAAATCACCACTAACATCTTCATAATTTTAGAGAGCTCACTAAGATTTAAGATGCTGGAATTATAAATTATTCCCCTTCTAAATCTCAGGAATCATTCACATCTGACATTTCTATATCATGGTTTGTAGCACAACAAAACTAGAATCATCCCACAGCTTTCCTTTCTTCTCTTAGGGTGTGCCGCTGTGGTAGCGCTTCTTTTTGGGACAATAAGTAAGGACACTTTGGTCTGGGTAGTAAAGGCATAAGAATTGTATTTTTTGCTCTCTGTTCTATCTAATGGTGTTACATATTTAATCTAAATGCTAAAACTTCCCTCCAAAAGTCATGGATTCATGGTAGCATTATCTACTCACCAGGAATTAGCTATCAGAATAGGACTATATTATCCCTAGATATGATCCTAAAGGATCTTTATTTCATGTATTGGAACTTGGGAACAATTCTGTATTAATGATCTCCTAAACCACAAATTAAAAATTAAATACCTTTCTGTATTCCTGGAGAACGGCTTTTATCTTTTTTAATTCTGGATGATCAGGTAAAAAATATATTTCATGAAGAAAATCTTGCACAGCATCCCTAATAGTTAGTTGGAATAAAAAGAATTATTTGCCAAGAATATGAATACTAAAAAAATGTAAAGTAAAAGTTGAAACTAAGGCCAATTTAATTCATAATTAAAAGTGCTAGTTGATTACTGAGCTGCAAAGTATTTTCTAACTATGTCTAAGATGCTCAGCTAAATTATTAGTGGAAAATGACCAAAGCTATGAAAATCACTCTATAATAGTGCTACAATAAACCATGCTTCTCAGCATACAAACCCATATATACAGTCCCTTCCTCTTCAAGCTGGGCTGAGTGTGTGACTTGCTTTAGCAAATAGACTGTGGCAGAAGATATACTGTGCCAATTTGGGGCCTGTTAAAAATGCCTGCAAGTTTCCATTTGTGTGTTCTGGAGAGCCCTGAGTCACTACGTAAGAAGTGTTGCCACCAACATGGACAGACCGTGGTACAGAGAGACAGACTGTGAGACTACACGGAATGAGAGAGGGCCCAGCCCAGTCTACCTGCCCCCTGAATGTGGCCACATCAGTGACCACTTGTAAGACCAGTAGAACTGACCAGCTGAGCACAGTCCAGATTGCAAAATTATGAGCAAATAAAAATGCTCATTGTTTTAAGATACTAGGTTTTGGAGTGATTTGGAATGTAGCAATAGACAGACAAAGACTACCTCAATATACAAATTATCATGAAGAATTATAGAAAAAAATACATAAATAATCCTTGTCAGGGCTATAATTTTTAATTTCCTTCTAATATAATAAATGCTCTAATCTTTCTGGGTCCAAATATAAGCATTTCTAAATCCTAGTCTTCATTAACTCATGCAATAAATATATATTAAATAACTACTATGTGCTACTACATGCTAAGCACTCTGCTAGTCACTGGGGATGGAACAATAAACAAAGCCAAAGTAGTGCCTTCATTCAGCAAGCTTAAGGTCTTCTATCTTGCAGCATGATCATAACTCACTGCAGCCTCAAACTCCTGGGTTCAAACAATCTTCCTGCCTCAGCCTGCAGTAGCTAGGATTACAGGCTCTTTTTGCTTTTTTTTTTTTAAATGTTTCTGTATTTTTTGTAGAGATGAGGTTCTCACTATGTTGCCCAGGCTCCTGGCCTCAAGCAATCCTCCAGCCTTGTCCTCCCAAAGTATTGGTATTGTTGGCATGAGCCACCATGCCTGGTCAGGATTTTTCTTATGATTATGAGAAAGGTAGAGAAATGACACTTCTGCAATAAACAGCAAAGACATGACTATGTACAAAAAAATTTAAAAGGTACTTGAAAAGTAGTCCCAAAATCTAAATTAGTGATTTTGTTGTTTTATCATGCACAAAATATAAAAATATCAAAAATAAAAGTATTTTAACTAAATAAAAACACATTAACTTTTCCTTCTTCTATGATTTCTCCCTCATTAGACAGTTACTGCAACTGACTAAAGGGACCAGCAATAGCATATGGGTGAGTAGGTAAATAAGTAGTACTTCAATCCCAACTTTTCACAAGCAAAGGAATGATTATATACAACATTAAGTAAAATCACAGAAAAAAAATTAAATATATAAAAAGACATCCCAGTCTAAAAAGCAGCCTGAATCAAAAATACAAATGGGAAAGAATAATGCATGTTCTGTCAATAGTAATCCACACTGGCTATAGCCTAATGCCTGTTTTGAAAAATTATGGGGGAAGATAGTAAGAAATAGTCTGTGGCCACATTTTTAGAAAGCCTTCAATATCAAGCTAAGCAATTTGGAATTTATCAATTAGGAAATGGAGAATCTCAGAATGCCTTTGTATGCTGGAATGACACCAATAAAGAGATATTTTTAAAACACAGTTCTAGTAACAATATCAAGAAAAGTGATGAAAGCTTAAAGGAAGAGAGGCTGGTTCAAAGCTTAACGCAATGAGGTAATAAGGGTTTCAACTAAGGTAAGCTGCAGAAAGTAGGTATCTCTCCTAACCTTTCTCATGCTATTCAACTATCTGCCTTTTGACTGTGAAAAGAAAGGTAAATTAGGTTACACATTTACAGAATTAATGAAAAGTAATTTTTAACTGGTGACCTATTAGTGAGCTTTGGAAATAATTATAATAGAAGCAATGCCACAACTGAAATAGCATCATTTCAATATGTAATTACATGCCAATTACTTTTGTTTATTGATAAACCCTGAAATTCAAAAAAGTGACAGTTTCCACATTACCATCAGTAATTTTGAGACATAAAAATACAGTTTAAAAAGTTATTATTTTACTATTAATTTCAGTTACAATACCTGTTTTCAATTATGAGGTAGTGGAAGATAGCTGCAGTTTCTTTAGGCTGGATGTGTATAAGAGGTAACAAAGCTACTATTACATGACTGAGAAGGGAGCCCAGACAAGCATGATCCAGGCAGCGAACAAAGCAGTCCCAAGCTCTATGTGAAAAAACAAATAGAAATGAAGTCCAATTACTTTTATTATTTGTAAAGCTCTATCAATCAGTAATTAGTTGAAGACACATGATATATACAAACAATAGATTAAAAGGCAGCTTTAAACATGGAATAAAGATCAGTGCTATATATTCAAATAAAGTGATGTCCAAATTATGTGAAGTCAAAAAAGCAAGGTGAAAAACAGTGTTTGGGGCAGAATTAATAATAAAAAAAAAGTATGTGTGTGTGCATTTACTTATTCTTTTACAGAGGGTGGATATACAAAAATTAATAAAAATAGATATCTGTAGAGGTCGAAATTGGAATCTAGATTTCTGACTATAATTTGTTACACAGATTTGAATTTGGGACTATGCAAATGTTTTATATAACTTTTAAATTAAATAAAATAGAGGGAAAAAGCAACCCTTAAAAGTTTTAAAGAAACTGAAACAAGTGAACCTAACTAAATGTTAAATTGGTAGCACATGCACACAGAAAATAAGTACTTCACGTGATTCTAAAACCTATTCTTTATAAAAATTTTCTAGTAGCTACATTCACTTAAGACTTAGAAGCAATGACAGTAGGCCCAAAGAGTGCCTATGCTTGGAATTAATCTGGGCTCAAAGGAACCAGAGCCAGGTTTCCTTGAAGAAATCACTAATTTTGAGTCAGAGGCAGGAAATGTTCAAGATAAGCCCAGGTCATCTTGTCATGCCAGAAAGCAGAGAATCTATAAGAGATTAATAGAGGTCATATCAAAACTCATAGATGCCAACTTGAAGGGATTTCTACTTGCTTAAGATGGGACAATTTCAGCAATAAAAAAGGATAGTGACTTTAATGGATAAAAAATAATCAAACTTATAAAAATCTACGTTATCAAAATGATATTAAAAAAACTTCACTGGAGGTTGCTACAGCACAAACCTATATTCCTAAATTGATTAACTAAAGGGAAATATTCAAGTATTTATGAACTGCTTTATATGAACTATGGTTGTTTTGCTTTTAAAGACAAGGTCCTGCTATGTTGCCCAGGCTAGACTCAAACTCCTGGCCTCAAATGATCCTTCCACCTCAGCTTCCTAAGCAGCTGGGACTACAGATACGCACAATCATGCCCGGCTAGCCAAATTTTATGAGGAATTTTGTTTTAAGAAGAATCCCACCTAGTAAATACAGAAGGAATAATAAAATTAGAAAATCATTATTTCATCAACTGCAATGAAATAATGGACTTAGGCAATGATCATTAATTAATGCTAAAATCATCAGATGAAAGATTAGTGGGGAATTTTATAATAAAGGGATTCAGGTTGATAAAACCTACTGTCTAATCTTACCATTACTAAAAGTGGACAACCAGATATTATTATGTGGCTCATACTGTGCCACAAGAGAAGCACAAAGCCTCACCTATGAGGTATGTTATCATAATAAATTGAACCTAAATCTAATCAAGCATCTATATCTAAGTACCCATTTATAGAAAAGACAGGGAGGAAAGAAAAAATAGAGGGAAAAGTTAAATTAGCTATTCGCCAAATCCAACATCCTAAAATCTTAACAGCCTAAAATAAGTAAAATGTGTGAGTAGAGAATTTAAGGGATGAGGCTGTTTACAAGAGACACTTAAGGAGCCAGGCAACCAAATACACATATGTAAACTTCATTTATAGTCTAATTCAAGAAACTATGATACATACAAACATCTCTGGAAAAACATCTCTGATACATACAAACATCTCTGGTCATATACAACATAATATATACAATGTCTTTGGGAAAAATACCTTTGAGACAACTGGAGGAAATGTGACTAAGGACTGAGTTTTAGATTAGATATTTCTATTAATCCTGCTAAGTATAATAATTCATGAAGGTTATTTTTTAAATGTCCTCATCCGTTAGATACATCTAAAGTATTTACAAGCACAATGATAAGATTCTGGGATCTTCTCTAAAATACCCCAACCAACAATCAAAAAGGTAGAAGTGGATTAAAAAAAACTAGCAATGTTGATAACTGCTAAAGTTGGGAAATAGGTATGTAGGTTCATTGATAACTCTTCTATTTCCCAGTATGTTAAAAGACTTCCATAGTAAAATGTTTTAAAAGAAGTAAATATGTTCTATTTTAAATACAAATAAATAGTCTTTCTACCTTATTTATTATTTGAACCCAATTTCCCTCAAAGAGATAAGAATTCAAGTTAGTGCTACTGGAAAATGCAAAAAAAAAAAAAATTAATAAACTCAGGCAGTCATTTACCTGCAACACAATTCAGGAAAATCATCCTTGAATCGAAGGCCAGTTCTCAGTGTGGTCATCATCTTCACCCTCACAGAACTGACATGTTTGGGTCCCATTAACTTCATCAAAGACATCAAACTGTTCAAGGCCTATAGAGTTAAGTAGTGCTTCAGAGTAAAGCTTATAAACATGCTGCCAGAAGCAGATGAGCCCTAAGGACAAGTGCTTCCCACCCAGTATCAGGGTGTCATCTATTCTCAGATAATACAAAAGATTGAATAAATGTTGGCCAGTTTGTTTTGTCCAATTGCTTATGTCTTATGTGGTAATTATAAATTTGAAAAATACAAGTTGAGTTCTTTTTTGTTTTTTCCCTTGAAGGTGATTTGTTATTTTAGCCCAGTATTCATCTAGAACAGTACAATTTCTAATTTATTAAAGGTATAATGCATATTGTTTAATTTCTTTCATATCTATCCCAAACTGCCATACACATATATAAAACAAACTGAATTAAAATCATTTAAATTTGAGACCATATAACAATTTTTGTAGTAAATGGAATACTTCCTAGTAATCAGTAGTTAAGGAAATTTTTGTCCTAATGATATTAAATTCAAGATGTCCTGAATTTAGTAAAACAAATAATTAATGATACACTCAGAAAATGAAACACATGAAAAACACAGAACCAGACCTGTTATCAGCAGCTCCAGTTTATAATGAAGGGGTAAAGAAACTCTGGTCGACTTTATATGCCAAAACATTTTAGTTATTTATGGTTTACAAGACAAACTGTAGTTTTCTTAGATTCAAGGTGATTCTCTCCCTTAGAATAGCAATTGGGGAAACAATAGGAAAGAAGCCATGTAGATGGAATAGTAGTTGGTTGGGGGATTGAATTTACTAGTTGACACCAAAAGAACAGGCATTGGTTGCTGAAATTTGCAAAATTTAATATGGTAACATATGTCTTTCTTGGCTCCTTAATAAAAAAAAAAGGAGGGGAGAGTATACACTGAAATAAAAGCTTCCATTCGTAGGTGTTTTTTGTTTGTTTTTATTGTAATCTTACTGACTGCAGAGGTGGAAAGCAACAGAAAGAGAAATTTTATCAATATCTAAAATTTTACTCCAATTTATAGGACGAAAATTTCCAACGGTGGCCAACTGTTGCAGCAGTCATAATGAAACTTCACTGTGGCACAAGCATTTAAACATAAAGTTGCTTTACATTATAATAACCTAAGATTTCTGGTGTTCAAAAACACCATGAGCCATGACCCACACCAGACCAATCTAAACCAAGGAGACTCAATGATGCAACTTTTGTTTGAGCTTTCAGTGATTGCTAGTCTCTCTCTTCAAATGCTGGACTAGATGTTGTGATGACGTGAGCTTGAAGCCATTGAGGTCATTAACTGGCTCTTAAGTACAGAGCCAACCCAGATGAATCTGAGCCAAAAGACTGACTCTGAGAACTTTTTTGAGTCCAAAATCAAGTTATGCCTAAAGCTACATCATCCTTACGCTTTTAGTAACACAGCCACAAGTTCCTTTTAGTCACTTTGGGTTGGGTGTTCTATCCCTCCTAAACTAAAGAAATGAAACGAATACAATTCCAATTTTTAGACTCCCAAAAAACGTATATGAGTTCTTCAGCAATAGAGAATGTCATATTTGGTTATTTCTCATCTTTGAATGTTTGTAGCTAGATGCAGAATTTATCTATATTCTGTATGAATTCTATCTTAGCACTCTGGAACTATCACCACTTACCATTTTCTTATCTTCAATGCCAACACTAGAGCTCAGTAACTGCATGTTAAAAAAAGCCAAAATGCCCAACAATTTGGGTTGTAAATAATCAGCCTAAGAAATAAAAACAGATAATATGTAAGCTTTATACAGATTGAATTTCTTAAGTTGACATTTTAATTATTTAATTAATGTCATTTATATTTTACCTAACTAGATTAGCATATTAGAAATAAACACTTGGTTAATTAAGTTTCTCCAAAAGCATATATCTTCACATGTAGTATTTAAAGAAACATGTAGTATTTAAAGGAATGATTTATAGTCACCACGAAAAAATATGATTAAACAGTACAGTACAATGAGAAAATGATGAGTTTTTTAATCATGGAGTGAACTGGGGTGGGATCCTCAGGATCTAATTCATGTCGGGATGTGGGGTGGAGAGGAAAAGAAGAAAGAAAAGAATAGAGAAAGACAAGGGACTGCCCTTATTCTATGACATTTAGAGCTATGGTAGAAAAGTACGATTAAGGAAAAGGTATTCTACCAGAATAATGATCTGACATAGGGGATAATATCCCTGGAAGTAACAGGGGAAAAGAGGCACAAGACCATGGGCATCAAAAGTTGCAGACTAGATATCATCATCCATGACGCTTTAGGTTTCCTGAAGTAAACAGAGTTCCTTCCTTAGTTCCTTCCTTCCTTCCTTCCTCCCTCCGTCCCTCTTTTCCTCCCTCCCTCCGTCCATCCCTTCTTCCTCCCTCCTTTCCTCCCTCCCTCCGTCCGTCCTTTCTTCCTCCCTCCTTTCCTCCCTCCCTCCTTCCCTTCCATTCCTCCCTCCTTTGCTTCCTTCCTCCCTCTTTCTCTTTCTTTCTTCCTCTTTTACTTAAACAGGGTTCCTTCCTTCCTTCCTCCCTCCCTCCCTCTTTCTTTTTCTTTCTTTCCTCCTCTTTTTTCTTAGAGTTCCTTCCTTCCTTTCTATTTCTTTCTTTCCTCCTTTCTCTCTCTTTTTTCTTTTCTCTCCTCTTCTTTTCTTCCTCTCTCGACAGGGTCTCTGTCACCTAGGCTGAAGTGTAGTGGCACAATCACGACTCACTGCAGCCTCAACCTCCTAGACTCAAGCAATCCTCCCAGCTCAGCCTCCTGAGTACCTGTGACTACAGGCACGCACCACCTCGCCCAGCTAATTTTTTGTATTTTTTGTAGAGATGGAGTTTCGCCATGTTGCCCAGGCTGGTCTCAAACTCCTGGGCTCAAGCAATCCTCCTGCTTTGGCCTCTCAGAGTGCTGGGATTTCAGGTGTAAGCCACTGTGCTCGGCCAAGTTAATACTTTCTTAAGAGAAGGTCCTGGAGGAGAGGGCATGGGCTTTAAGTCAGCCAAATCTAGGTTTGAATCTTAATTTTGACACTTCCTAATGTGTGATCTTCTATAAGTTACTTAATTCTTCCAAGTTTGTAAAATGTGAATAATAAAACCACCTACTGCATAGAGTTGTTGTAAAGGCTAAATAAGATACCATTTATTGGCTAGGTGTGGTGGCTCACGCCTATAATCCCAGCAATTTGGGAGGCTGAGGCAGGTGGATTACATGAGCTCAGAAGTTTGAGACCAGCCTGGGTAACATGGCAAAACCCCATCTCTACAAAAAAAATTAGCCAAGCATGGTGGCATGCACCTGTGGTCCCAGCTACTCAGGAGGCTGAGGTGGGAAGATTGCTTAAGCGCTGGAGGCAGAGGTTGCAGTGGGCTGAGATTGCACCACTGCAGTCCAGCCTGGGTGACAGAGCAAAATCCTGCCTCCAAAAAAAAAAAAAAAAAAAAAAAAAAAAGATACCATTCACTAAGAACTTAGTATATAGCTAAGTATTAAATCAATTTGTTCATATTACTACAAACTGAGAATGTGACCAGTCTGTAAAGAAGAATATTCTTTTGTTTCATGTCTTTATGTACAGGCAGAAGAAAGGAGCAAAAAAAAAAAAAAAAAAAAATGAGCTGGGAATGAGTAGCAACTAAAGCATTTTGAACTCCATAAGAAAGTTGCACTGCTTGATGTTGAGGCATCTGATTTAGGTATCTTCAGGTTCCATGCATTACCAAGAAAAGGGTAGGAGGGTGTGTGCTACCATATAATAGAGAGGAGTGAGGTATCCTACAAGTCTCTCCAGATTAGATGTCAGGATAAATCTTTATCTTGCCTAGCACAGGAAATCATCTGGTTTTTAAAATCTAAAATTGCATTTTGTTCTGCAAACTTCTGATTTAGGTTGAGACTCAACTTTGGCATGGTAAGCCACAATTCACTAATTGTATGGTTCTAGCCTATGTTGCTTAAATAAAAAGCAGATAAGGATCACACAATCTCTGTCAACATTCCAATATTAAAGTTCTTGCACTCAGACAAACAATTATTTGACTTTATCTACCTACCAATATATTATCTATCACCAAATACTTATTATGTATGCCTAGAATCCTATACTGGGTACAGGTGTACAAGATAAGCAGAGTCATTCTCTCTCATTAGCTTACAAGGTAGACTAGCATGAATGGAAGACACTAAATAAGTAGTAAGTATGTAAACAAAGTTGTGATAATGCTATAAGAAAATAAACACAATCCTGTGATAGACAAGAAATGTGGTAAGGGAGTCGAGACAGGGTACTCAGGAAACTCTTGAAATCTAAAGAATGAGAAAGATCCAGGAGATTATTCCAAGCAGAGAGACCATCCAGGGCCTAGGTCTCGAAGCAGGAAAAAGTTTGGCATGTTTAAGAAACACAAAGGAAACCATGTTGAAATATAGGGAGAAAGGAAGAAAAGAGTTGTACCATGTGAGAGTAGAAAGGTAGGCAGATCATGTATGCCTTACAGATTTTATTTTATGTTAAGGGCAATGAAAACCATTGAAGGAATTTAATCAGGGGAACGATATGAGTTTGTAAAAAGAGCACTCCAAAGGCTGTGTAAATAATTAATTGTAGAGAGGGAAGAATGAAAGGACAGAACCATTAGGAGATGTTCACAGCTGTCCCAAGAAAGATGATCATTATTTGTGTAAGGGTGGTGGTGGCAGAAATGAAAAGATATATTTTGGAGAGACTTGATAGGATTTGCTCATTAATTATAAAAGGATAAAGGAAATGGAGGGCTCACGAATGCTTCTCAGGTTTTGTCTCATGCAACTGGTAGATAGCGGTACCATTACTGAGATGGGAAAGACTGGGAGAAAAACAGATTAGAAAGGGAAAATAAAGATTTCTAATGAACATATTATATTTGGAATTGTTTGAGATGCTTATAAGACATGAGAGTAGAGATGATGAAAAGGTGAATATCTGTTTGCCATCTTCTGTCATCCTCAGGTCCATTCTCTGCCGCCTTCTGCCCTGCTCCGTACCTGGGACACTGACCGGACTGCATTACTTAGGATCCCTTACCCTCTGGCTTTCCACTGAATTCAGTCAGCAGGAAATACCACTAGAACAGAGGGTAGGAGGAGAGAGTATGGTATTCATATTTCCTGCTCTGTCTGTGTTTTGAGGTAGTTCTGGCAGTGGCTATGTTCCTCTACAATGAGAGGACCCCCCTCATGGTTCTGGCTCTCAATCAGGTTCTAGTAACACTATTTCTTCCCCTTTCCCAGAACTAAGGGGGGCATTAAGTTTTCTGTGGTTTGTAGTACCTGGGTTCCTTAACATTCCTTGCTGGTTCCCTTAACCTTGCCATGTCACTAAAAGTAGCCCCTTTGTTAAACTATTTCTGTGTAAATGTTTGTGTGTATGCCATCTGTTTCCTCCCAGGACCTAACCTATAAAACCAAGCTCAGAGGCAGTCTGGACTGAAATTTCAACTAAAAATTATCAAAATGTAACTCATATTAAAGAAAAAGATCAAAGAAGATCATTAAAGGAGAGAATGATGACTGAGAAAAAAGAGCCAGTTACATAGTCCTGAGTTATTCTAACATTTAGAGGATAAAGTAGATAATTTACAGGGAAAAAGCCAGTAAAGAAGCCTAAATATGAGTGAACAGTGAAGCAAAAAAGAAAATCAAGACAATGTGGTATCACAGATGCCACGCAGGAAAGAATGGCCAATTGTATTGAATGATACTGAAAGGTTGAATAAGATAGGACAGAGAAGTGACTATGAGATTTAATAGCCCAGAAGACTGTTGGTGATCCTGACAAAAGGAATTTCATGGAATAGTGAGAAAAGAGCCAGACTAGAATGGGAAATGAGAAACCAGAGATAAAAATCTCTCTTAATGAACTTATGTCTAGTATTCCATTATTGGAATGGTAAGCTTGTAGAAGTTATTTATATCCTACTGCTCAAGGTCATCACCAAAGTCTGATTTTTCACAAAAAAAATTTGCAACCTCTGGCATAAATGGGTTAAAATATTTTGCCAACAGTCCTTTAAGTCTGTTACAAGAATAAGGGCAGTTGAAAGAAAAAATAATAATTTAATTCTGTGGATTTACATATTTTTTTAAGATAGATAAACAGTAAAGTGATTTCAAATACAAATTTATGGTAGGGAAAGATTTAAAATAGAGAACATATTTCCAAACTTCCCTTCTATCCAATAATGGATTAAACTACAGTTAGAATTGAAAAGTTTCATTTGTTGACCTAAGGAAAGAGTAGTCGGAGGGGCAGGGTGAGAGGAGAGCTACAAACATATTCTAATATACATGTAATTTAAAAGTAGTAGAGAAAAATAAACTTCAACATTTTTATTCAGTGAAAAAATAAAATCTACTAAAAACACTTAAAAGTCCACATTTTTCAATGCTAATATATGTTGTTAATGCCCTAAATATGTAAATATGTAAACAAAGTTGTGATAATGCTATAAGAAAATAAACGTGATCTCGTGTTCATGATCTTGTGCATGTGACCACGTGATTTAAATCAGCCTTTTCAAAATAAAAATACCAACTTAAAATTTAAACAAATGGCTAGCAGCCAGAAAATGACCAAAAATATGATTTCTTCAATTTTATAATTAAGCTGCAAAAGGAAGAAAAACAAACAAAAAAACCTCATAGAACATATTCCTTACCATCAGTTCAGGTGATATGATATCTCTCGGGCCCTGATATGGATCATCACTGGATGCAAATGAGGCAAGTATTGACAAACCATTAAAAACCTGTTGATAGTGTTCTCCAATACGCAGCAATAATTCATTATGCAATCCTTGGAAATCTTGTCTCAACAGGCTCCCCAGTTCAATTTCTGTTTCATTCTAACCCAAAGACATGTTAAAAAAAATTTTTTTCTTCATACTAATATCCTGGAAATAAGTATACTGATTTTAACATGCTATTAGTACATCAGGAGCTCTAGCCCAGATGACAGGATTTATTAAAGGTATTAAGAAAAGGCATTGGAAAAGATTCTAATCTTATTCTATCCTGGTAGGTCTCCCATGGATTATATGTAATGAAGAGAAGTGATCCAACTTTATTTAGAAATAAAATATTAAAAAGCAAGTCCTAGTTTTCTCTAAGGTCTTATAATATCATCAACTCATTATTGGGGACACACAACCCTGGGAGGAAATGTAGTATAGTGGCTTATAGCAGTCTTTCTGTTCAGATTGCTTTAGTTTAAATTCTAGCTGTCATTTATCAGATATGCTGACTTGGACAAGTTACCTAATCTAACCTCACTCTGCCTTAGTTCCTTATCTATGAAACAAAACAAAAAAATAGTACCTTTGGCTGGGCGTGTTGGTTCACACCTGTAATTCCAGCACTTTGGGAGGCCAAGGCAGGTGGATCACTTGCAGCCAGGAGTTGGACACCAGCCTGGCCAACATGGTGAAACCCCACCTCTACTAAAAATACAAAAATTAGCCAGGCCTGGTGGCAGACACCTGTAATCCCAGCTACTCAGGAGGCTAAGGCAGGAGAATCGCTTGAACCCAGGAGGTGGAGGTTGCAGTGAGCCGAGATCGTGCCACTGCACTCCAGCCTGGGCTACAGAGCAAAACTCCCATCACAAAAAAAAAAAAAAAAAATTAAGAGTACCTTTATCTCATTGGGTAACTGTGAGGATTGCATGAAATGATCCATATCAATTGTTTAGCTCAATTTCTGACATGTATTAAATACTCCATAAATACTTATTACTATCATTCTATCTCCACAATATACAGTCGAATAATACTTTCTCAAGATGAATAAATACATTTGATATTCACTAACTCTCGTGGAAAGAGATGTGCTGCTGGCATATATTATGAAACAAATTAAGTAAATTAACATCAGAGAAAACAGTAAAGTTATATGCATATTTCTCATAGTTTTCCTGTTCCCATGTAGTTTCATATTCCTCAGAGATATTTTGTTAATATGACACCAAAAAAAAGAAGCACAGGTTATAATTTTAAATGTAAAAACTACCAAAAACCTGGACCAAATTGTAATCAGAACACCAAGTAACTAAAATATAGACATTATACTACATTTGAAGGTGATTGCCTCTTCCTATGGATATAATTAAGTGTGTATCATCAGTCAACTTATAACTCCAATCAACTGAAAAGTACTATAATGAAATAGGCTGAGAACCTCTCCCATGAAAGGATGCCTATCATATCCCATTATGGTGAAATGATCAAAGAAAACAAAAGGAGAATTCTATTTAATATGCTCTCAGGACAAAGATTATTTAACATAACAACATTTAAACTTACATTCTTCTAGGATAGGCTATAATTTACTCACCCTCTTTCCTAGAAGAATGTTACATCTTTCCTATAATGCTAATTTATATAAAAAAGTAAAATATATAGAAATATTCAATTACCTTCAGATAATGAAGGGCACGTTCTAATTCATCTTTGGAACAAGAACAGACCAAATGAGAAAAAATATATTTGAAGTTGTTTATTAAAATCTCTCTACGATTGACATTTAATTGTTTTCCTAAAGTTCGAATGAGAGCAGAAGCTGCAGGGCTTGCTTTGGCAGCAAGATCAGGTAGTAGAACTTGTAATGTCCTCTGAAAAAGAATGCAACAATTACCAAAAAGTACATTTGTCTGGGTGAAAAAAATATTCACATAAGCTATGTGCAAAAATATTTTTAAATGCCACACATATTTGGAGTCCACTCCATACTATAAAATATGTAATAGTAGATCATTTATACCACTATAATTTTATACTTTATTATTCCAACACCTTAGAAGCAGAAATGATCATATTAGACTTTGAATTGCCAACGGAACAAATCATAGCACCAAAGACATAAGGGCTCAAATAGCTAACTGAATTGATTAGCATTATTCAATTAGTATTAACTTTTCAGGACAGCTAACCATAAAGAACAATGACTCAAATCCACTTAAACTTAAGTTTTACAGCATAAGCAATAATCTCATATCAAAGTCAAAATCTAGAATGGAATGAACAAAATACTGAATTGCAAACCTCAAGTGAACTATATGTTGCAACTTACAGTAAGAAAACGATTAAGATCAGGAAAGTCGAAAACGTTGGCAATTTCAGACAACGTATTTAAAGCCATTTCTCTCTGGTGAGCCACATCTTGTTTTCGCACGTCAGCATTCTGGCATGGAGTATTCGGAAGTGCTGTCATCTGACTAGAGTGAAGGGATTCTACCAAAAACTAGAGCAAAAACCATTTTATTGTGAGTTTTCACACAAAGAAGAAATTTTAACTAATACTTTTTAAGCCACCATAGAGGGCAGTATCAAATAGTATTCTACATTATCTGAATTGGTCCATTCAATTTTTATAACAACCTTAATGAGGTAGACTATGTCATAATCTGCCTTTCACAGATGACATAATCAGACTTAGTTAAAAAACTTGAATATCATGCTAAGGATTATACCACAAATAAATTCAGTATTTTAGCATAACCTAACTTTTCAGCCATTAATTGAATATATTTAAAACAAAGTGTCATATAACATAATATCAAGGTGTAAAACAGTTTACTATCACTAAAAAGTCTATACACCATTATAAGATGATTTCCTTCCTCCCTCATTTATAACCTGTATCTTCAGACCAATATCCTAAAATATAAAAATGGCAAGATTTCAGTTATAGTAAATAAACTATAAACAAAATACATCGTTTTTGACAATAATTTTTTTTTTTTAAAGACAGAGTCTTGCTCTGTCACTCAGGCTGGAATGCAGAGGTGCGATCTTGGCTCACTGCAACCGCCACCTCCTGGGTTCAGGCGATTCTTCTGCCTCAGCCTCCTGAGTAGCTGGGATTACAGATGCCCGCCCCATGCCCGGTTAATTTTTGTATTTTTAGTAGACATGGGGTTTCACCATGCTAGCAAGGCTGGTCTCAAACTCCTGACCTCAGGTGATGCGCCCACCTTGGCCTCCCAAAGTGCTGAGATTACAGGTGTGAGTCACCACGCCCAGCCTTAACAATAATTTTTTAAAGCAAGCACAATGCTTTCTTTTTAAAACCAGGCACAGTGGCTCATGACAGTAATCCCAGCACTTTCAGAGGCAGAAGTGGGAGGATCATTTGGGGCCAGGAGTTAGAGAGCAGCCTGGGCAAAATAGGGCTGCTCTCTCTAAAACCCCATCTCTACAGATAAATAAATAAAAATTAGCTAGGTGTGGTGGTGCACACCTGTAGTCCCAGCTACTCAAGAGGCTAAAGTGGGAGGATCTCTAAGCCCAGGAGTTAGAGGTTTCAGTGAGTTATGATCACACCATTCCATGTCACTGTATGCTGCCTGGACAACAGAGTGAAATTTGGTCTCTAAGAAATGTTTAAAATAAAAAAGAAAATAAAACTTTTAAAAAGCAAGCAAATGGAACAGATTAGAGAACTCAGAAATAAGATGACACACCTACAACCATCCGATCTTTAACAAACCTGACAAAAACAAGCAACAGGGAAAGGACTCTCTATTTAATAAATGGTGCTGGGAGAACTGACTAGCCATATGCAGAAAATTAAAACTGGACCCCTTCCTCACACCATATACAAAAATTAACTCAAGATGGATTAAAGACTTAAATGTAAAACTCAAAACTATAAAAACTCTAGAAGAAAATCTAGGCAATACCTCAGGCTATAGGCACAGGCAAAGATTTCATCACAAAAACACCAAAAGCAATTTCAACAAAGCAAAAATTGACAAATAGGATCTATTTAAACTCAAGAGCTTCTGCACAGCAAAATAAACTATCATCACAGTGGACAGACAACCTACAGAATAGGAGAAAATGTTTGCAATCTATTCATCTGACAGAGGTCTAATATCCAGAGTCTACAAAGAACTTAAACAAATTTACAAGAAAAAAACAAAAGTGGGCAAAGGACATAAACAGACTCTTCTCCAAAGAAGACATACATGCAGCCAGCCAACGAACATGAAAAAAAGCTCAACATCACTGATCAAAACTACAATGAGATACCATCTCACGCCAGCAGAATGGCTATTATTAAAAAGTCAAAAAACAGATACTGGCAAGGTTTCCGAGAAAAGGGAATGCTTTTATACCGTTGGTGGGAGTCTAAATTAGTTAAACCATTGTGGAAGACAGTGTGGCAACTCCTCAAAGACCTAGAGGCAGAAATACCATTTGACCCAGCAATCCCACTACTGGGTATATACCCAAAGGAATATAAAAAGGAATATAAATCATTCTATAGTAAAGATACATGCACATGTAGGTTCACTGCAGCACCATTTACAATAGCAAAGTTGGCCAGGTGCAGTGGCTCATGCCTGTAATCCTAGCACTTTGGGAGGCTGAGACGGGTGGATTGCTTGAGATCAGGAGTTCAAGACCAACTTGGCCAACATGGTGAAACCTCATCTCTACTAAAAATACAAAAATTAGCCAGGCATGGTGGCAGGCACCTATAATACCAGTTACTTGGGAGGCTGAGGCAGGAGAATCACGTGAACCTGGGAGGTGAAGGTTGCAGTGAACTGAGATTGCACCATTGCACTCCAGCCTGGACAACAGAGCAATACTCCATCTCAAAAAAAAAAAAAAAAAAGCAAAGTCATGGAGTTAACCTAAATGCCCATCAATGACAGACTGGATGAAGAAAATATGGTACATATACACCATGGAATACTATACAGCCATAAAAAGGAACAAGATCATGTCCTTTGCAGGGACATGAATGGAATTGGAAGCCATTATCCTCAGCAAACTAACACAGGAACAGAAAACCAAACACCACAAGTTCTCACTTATAAGTAGGAGCTGAATGATGAGAACACATGGACACATGGGGGGAACAACACACACTGGGGCCTGTAAGGGGGGTGGGGGAAGGGAGAGTATCAGAAATAATAGTTAATGCATGCTGGGCTTATACCTAGGTGATGAGATGACCTGTGCAGCAAACCACCACGACACGTTTACCTATGTAGCAAACCTCTACATGCTGCAATATACCCCTGAACTTAAAATATAAATTGAAGAAAAAAGAAAAGCAAGCAAAATAAAACATGTATAAATATTCTTCTTTTTTGTAACTCTTAAAAAGTACTGCTGTTGCCTATAGTCCAGACAAACGCTGACTCTTACCTGACAGATGGGTTTCTTATACTGGCTGAAAAAACTTTGCAGTTTAACACTTTTAGCTGCAACCAGAGCTCTAATTTCTGTGTATGCTGCTCCAGAGACAGATGCTGACTTGGATAACAAACAATGCAATAAGTGTAAGAGTGCAAATGGTACCAAATCTCCTTTTGCGGCCCTAAAATTAAAAACAACATACATATGAATACACAAACACACACACACACACACACACACATACACACACATATGTATCTCCAATATCCCAGAAACAAACGGAAATCTACAAATAAATTCATGTTGACTCACATTTTGTCTATAATATCACAAATATCATATCACCATTTTTAACAGCAAGCAAATAAAAATGGAGAATGGCCAAAATAAATAAGGAAGAACACAAATGCTGCCAAGTATACCTTCCAATATCCCCTGTTGTAAGAATCAAGGTATCCTTCAGCTCATTATTTCTTGATATTTGGGCATGTGTATATGCTTCCTTCATTCTTAAGACAAAAAGCTAGAACAATAAAATTAACTGGTTAAAGAAATTTTTAGAGCTAGGTTGACGTAAACTCAAATGTTAAAAACAAAAATTATCAACCTCCTTTATAAATCCATCTTCAGAGTCCAAGGATTCCAATATGTGCTTGATATTTCCACTAAAAGCCACTCTAACATCTTTGTCTGGATCTTCCATTAAATTTAATAAAGTTCCAAGAACTGCTTTTACATCTGTTTCATCTTCTCTAAAATCAAGATGCTTACAAAGATGATGTAGATTATCTATGAAAGCTGAAGGACAAGAGTATACAATACCTAATTTAACATATTAAATGTCAAGGTTGTACTGTAAAAATATTGTCAACAAATAATATGCCATGAAGAATCCTAAGTTCTCTTATAATGTCAATGTTTCATATTTAAGTATGTATAGCACACAGAATTTTAGGAAATTAAAATGGATACTTATAAATTAAAATTACTTTATATTTAATAAATGTCACTTTTTTTTTTTGATATAGGGTCTTGCTCTGTCACCCAGGCTGGAGTGCAGTGGCATGATCACGGCTCACTGCAGCATGCAGCCCTGACCTCCCAGGTTCAAGTGATCCTCCCACCTCAGCCTCCCAAGTAGCTGGGACCACAGGCATGCACCACCATGCCTGGCTAATTTTTGTATTTTTTGTAGAGATGGGGCTTCACCATGTTGCCCAGACTGGTCTCGAACACCTGAGCTCAGGCAATCCGCCTGTCTCGGCCTCCCGAAGTGCTGGTGTTAAAGGAGCGAACCACTGCACTCAGCCTATAAATAATTTAAATCTAAAATAATTTCCAGAATTGTTATAAAATAACAAGTCTCTTTCAGATTTTGTAGACCATTATATGTTACCAAGATAAACTTAAAAACACATTGCAGGCCAGGAGTGGTGACTCATACCTGTAATCCCAACACTCTGGGAGGCCAAGGTGGGAGGATCACTTGAAGCTAGGAGTTCAAAGACCAGCCTGGGCAACAAAGTGAGATCCCTCTCTACAAAAAATTTAAAAATTAGCTGGGTGTAGTGGCACATACTATGGTTCCAGCTACTCAAGAGGCTGAGGTGGGAGGATCACTTGAGCCTGGGAGATCAAGGATGCAGACTGCAGTGAGCCATGATTGCGCCACTGCACTCTAGCCTGGGTGACAGAGCAAGACCCTGTCTCTTAAAAAAAAAAAAAGAAAGAAGAAAGGCCGGGCATGGTGGCTCATGCCTGTAACCCCAGCACTTTGGGGGGACAGAGTGGGTAGATTACCTGAGGTCAGGAGTTGGAGACTAGCCTGACCAACATGGTGAAACCCTGTCTCTACTAAAAATGCAAAAATTTGCCAGGCCTGGTGGCACACGCCTGTAATCCCAGCTACTCCGGAGGCTGGGGCAGGAGAATCGTCTGAACCCAGGAGGCAGAGGTTGCAGTGAGCCAAGATGGCGCCATTGTACTTCAGCCTGGGCAACAAGAGCAAAACTCCGTCTCGGGGAAAAAAAAAAAAAGAAAAAAAGAAAAGCACATTTCTCAAGGGGATCTTAGCTTTATTGTTAACCTTACATTACAAGATTTAGGGAGTACTTTCTATTGCTTTCAATAGAAAGTTTCTATTGAAACTTCAGAACAAGTTTCAACTTACTACCTAAACAAATGGATCTTCTAAGTATTTGTATAAATCTCATACTTCATAAAAATTTATACTCCATTACCACTGGAAAGTGGCCAAGAAGATACACTCTATAGTCCTCAGTTGGGCAAAGTAATTTAACTATTTGAAGTTCTCAAGGTCCAAGGTTGTAACAGGGGGCACATTAAGACGATCTCTGGTATCACTAAAGAAGATAATCTAATATTGAATCTTACAATATTGAAACAACCATCAGGTATGCCCCATTTAGGCTGTCAAATCACAAGAGTATTCGAAAAATCCCAAAATCACCTCTCCTACCAGTTTTGTGATGCGATCTAATACCAGTTATCCCATTTATAACTAATCAATACTGAGCACTGAATCTATAAAGCATGTAACTTCCTGTAATTTTTCAAGGCTTCAGTCTAATTCTTTTACTGATTTGAAAAGCAGAGCTTAAATAGGTTTTAAAGTATTAAATAAGTCATAATCACTCACCAAGTTTTACTGGACTAGGTATTTTTTTTTTCAGTAGGAAAAGGAATGGCTTGCAGACAGAAGCTTTTAGTTGAGAAGATGAACATTCATGTTGAGAAGTGGCTTTCAAGTTCCTACAGAAGAGGTCCACATGTCCGTGTTCAGAGAAAGGTTCTGTTAAAGAACTTGTCAGATAAAACATGCCGTGAAGAGTACAGACAAGTTGACCAAGTATAGAAGCAAATTCTTTCTTGACAATGTCAGAATCATCTTTGACTTTATCTCTGGGGAAAAAAAAGAAAAAGTACTAAACTTTCTTGCCTAATTTTGTGGTCTAAATAGTCTTGCTTAATTTGGGACAAAAGTACTGGTAAAACAAAGCCTAGAAGGAAAAAATGTTAAATTCTAAAACTAAAAGCAACATTTGCTTTACATATTCAACAATAAACACAACCCTGCATACATAGCCAGACAATTATGATCTTTCCAATAGAGTGATATATTCAAATTAAAATCTTAGTACATACATAAGAATCTTGGGAACTCTGTTACAAGAATTCTGCTGCTGCAATAAGATAAAAAATCCACTAACACAACTAGCCCGGATTACTTCATGGGAGCTCTGCAGGGCCCAGTTGTAAACTGCTGTTCTCCACTCAAGGAATATTCTTCTTGGAAACAGAGTCAGAAGAAACACACATCGTGATTGTGCCTGTGGTGCTGAAAAAATTAAGTCTATTAAACAAGATTTCTACTAATGTTAATTTTATGTATACACATATACATATATATAAGTAAAGTAACATTTGTGTATACATATATATAAATAAAAGTCAAGTAACACTTAAAATACATTTAATACCTAATTTAATTAAAAGCTCCTTTTCAGAAAATAAAGCAAGTGCACTGAAAAAGGTCTATACACAACCTTACTAAATAATCAAGGAAATGCAAATTGAAAATCATACCTACCAGATAGGAAAAAGAAAAAATTTAAGATACTTAACTCCATGACATTTTTTATTTTCTAGATAGCAAAAATTTTAAAGTCAGCTAAGTGTCAGTGAGGATGTGGAACTCATACTCTGCTAACAGGAGTGTAAACTGGTGTATCTTTGGAGAACAATACAGCAGAATAGAGGTGAAGATGTGCAAACTCTATAACCCAACAATACTACTCCTAGGTAGGTAAAAACGTTAAAATAATGCTTCTCAAACTTTAATATGGATATGAATCACCTATCTTGTTAAAATGCAGATTCTGATCAGTAGGTCTGGGTGGAGCATAAGATTCCCCATTTCTTTCTTTCTCTCTCTTTTTTTTTAATGTGCTCTTTCAGCAGAATCAAAGACGCTCCATTTCTAACAAGTCCCTAAATGGTGGCGATGCTACTGGTCTGTGGAGCATACTTTTCAAACAGCAAGGACTTAGAATGACTAAAGAATCATTTATAAAAATATTCATTTAAATGTTGCTTGTAATTGTGAAAAGTTGGAAACAACTTGATTGTCCACCAATAGGAGGTCTGATAGTGTCCATCCAAATTTGGCTACTATTTGGAAGTTTAAATAAAAACTAGAGTTACCCATATCACCATGGATAAGTCTCATAAAGATAGTGTTGATCAACAAAATGTAAGCTGTAAGAAGCAAAACAATTTCTTATATTATTTATAAATAAATACATATATAGTAAAAGTAATAGAACATTCAACAGAACAATCAACACCAAATTCAGAACAGTAGTAATCTCTGGGGAAAAAAATGAGGGGAATGAAATCATAGAGGGACAAAGGCTTCCATCATATCTCTAATAGCCCAGGCTGGAGTGCAGGGGTGCAATCTTGGCTCACTGAAACCTCTGCCTCCTGGGTTCAAGAGATTCTTGTATCTCAGCCTCCCTAGTAGCTGGGACTACAGGCGTGAGCCACCATGCCTGGCTAATTTTTGTATTTTTAGAAGAGATGAGGTTTTGCCATGTTGGCCAGGCTGGTCTCAAGCTCCTGACCTCAAGAGATCCGCATGCCTTGGCCTCCCAAAGTGCTGGGATTACAGGCGTGAGCCACCGTGCCTGGCCTAATGTTTCTATTTCTTAAACTGAGAAGTTGGTATAAGAATTTTTGGTATATTGTTCTTCTTTTTAAAATATTTCTCAAATACTTCCTAATTTTATTAAATGAAGATAATGATATGTAAGGACACATTGCAAATGTTTTACAAAAAGAAAGGAAATGGGATATGTGGGGCAGGCTTTTATGTGTTACTTTTTATGTATCTAACCCCCTTCTGAACTATTAAAAATGTACCTGCTCTTTTAATTATTGAAAAAAATATAAATAAGTCTTAGAAGTCCTATATAGAGATGAGTTAAAACAAACCACACAAGGCCAGGCATGGTGGCTCACGCCTGTAATCCTAGCACTTTAGAAGGCTGGGGCAGGTGGATCACTTGAGGTCAGGAGTTCGAGACCAGCCTGGCTAACATGGTGAAACCCCGCCTCTACTAAAAATATAAGAATTAGCTGGGTATGGTGGTGCGCACCTGTAATCCTAGCTACTCAGGAGGCTGAGGCAGGAAAATTGCTTGAACCTGAAGACGGAGGTTGCAGCAAGCCGAGATTGCGCCACTGCACTCCAGCATGGGCGACAGAGTAAGACTCCGTCTCAAAAATAAATAAATAAATAAATAAATAAATAAATAAATAGATAGATAGATAGATAGATAGATAAATAAAACAAACCACACACACATTCTTGTGAGCACTTACAATAGCTATCTGAAATCCTACAGCTTAATGTTAGAAGATTAGCGGCAAATGTGGTCAACTTTAAACAGCCATCATCAGAATGGGAATAAATCCATGGAAGTGAGAGCATACCACATAAATCTTCCAGGATATGATCTTCAAATGAACTGTTTACTACAGAAGCACAAAATAAGTCATTAATTATAACTTTTCCTTAATCATAT
Source organism: Homo sapiens (assembly GCF_000001405.40). Lineage (NCBI taxonomy): Eukaryota > Metazoa > Chordata > Mammalia > Primates > Hominidae > Homo > Homo sapiens. The sequence continues at coordinate 142,558,827 of NC_000003.12, forward strand.
CTCTTTTAAATAAAAATAAAGACATTTGAAATACTATCATAATGATCATTGGATAAGCAGAAATTCTTAACACAGAGATCTATAAACGATGGTCTGAGGTCTGTGAACCCAAAGAAATTAAATGTGACTTTATAAAAACATGTTATCTATGCCTGTTTTAAAGAAGAATCACGGCATTCCTCAAACTCCCAAATTAAAAAACTTTGAAGTTATAAATAATTTCTATTGACTAAAGAATCAAAATATTATGCACATAAATTGGCAACTCAGAACTTCTATTATTGACAAATTTAATAGAACTGAAATCAGGAAAAAACTTCTGAGTATTCCAAACACGCACTTAGGCTTCAGGCAAAAAAGAAAGCATATTTCTATACTGATTATCTTTAAAGGTTATTCTGATCTGTTGCTAATTTGTACTCACCTTGCATATAAATCAAAGCATCATAAATTTTCACCACCTTATCAATGGTTGCCTCCAGGTCCAGTTTCTGAACAGATTCTAACAAACTTCTACAGCTCTTAAGCACTTTTGTGTAAAAATCCAATGACATCCAAGTTATCACTACAGAAGGTTTCTTCTTGGATTTATGTTGACAGTCCTTGAAAGTACGGCTGCAGTAAGTACATTTTGTTAAAAACATTGGAATTAAGATGAATTTTGTTATAGTCAAACATAAAATTGTAGTAAAGCCAAAAGAAATTGTGAGTACGAAATTTATCTATAACAATTTAAAGTAAACATGCAAATCAAGTAATATGTTATTACTATTTTAAGTTGAATCTATTTATGTCAGCTTAAATCACCCTTAGGATTTGGGAACCAAATGACTTTGGGAGCCTGAGGTGGGAGGATCACTTGAGCCCAGGAGTTTGAGACCAGCCGGGCCAATATAGGGAAACCCATCTCTACAAAAAAAATTTTTTCTAAATTAGGGTGTGGCGGCACATGCCTATAGTTCCAGCTACATGGGAGGCTCACTTGAGCCCCGGATAGAGATCAAGGCTGTAGTGAGCCATGATCATGCCACTGTGCACCAGCCTGGGAGACAAAGCGAGACCCTGTCTTCAACAGCCAAACACTGGGTTTTGAGTTGTACACAAATGTGTTCTGGTACTTTCTAATCATGTGTCCCCAGGAAAGTCAGTTTTGGCTTCAGACAAAAAAGAGCCTCAGTTTCTCTGAGTGTCAGTTTCTAATTTTTAAAATAGGCATAATAGCCTTTACCTTACAGGACTATTGTAAATATTAACTAAGATATATACAGTGCTTAGCACCGTACCTAGCATTTGACTCAATAGAAAATAAATTTATTAACTACTTCAGTGAAAAGTTTGTGTTCTAAGGTTACATGAGTCAAGTGAATAATGAGTAAACAGTAAATCCAAGTTCATTACAGGAAACCCAACCCCAAGAAACAAGAAGTTTGTTTTACCAGTTCATGTTTTGATGAGAACAATGAACAGTACACAGAGCAGTCAGTTGTAAGACAACAGCAATTCCTTCTAACATCTCAATAACAGGATTCTTTAGGCCACTGTATTCAAGGGAAATCTGAAGGGATTCAGCTTTCTGTTTCAGTGCACTCCATAATATGCTCTTTTGGTTCATGTCCACATGTTTAATTCTATAATTATGAATATAGTAGAGAGATATTCATATGCAATATAAATTTGGTTAAAACATGAAACATATTTAGAATAAAACATACTATGTAATATCAACTATTCAAAAAAATTTTTTTTTTTTGTGAGACAGAGTCTCACTCTGTCTCCCAGGCTGGAGTGCAGTGGCGCCATCTCGGCTCACTGCAAGCTCCGCCTCCCGGGTTCACGCCATTCTCCTGCCTCAGCCTCCCGAGTAGCTGGGACTACAGGCGCCAACCACCACGCTTGGCTAATTTTTTGTATTTTTAGTAGAGACAGGGTTTCACCGTGTTAGCCAGGATGATCTCGATCTTCTGACCTCGTGATCTGCCCGCCTCGGCCTCCCAAAGTGCTGGGATTACAGGCGTGAGCCACCGCGCCCAGCCTGAAATTTATACTAAGATTTAAAACAATTAAAACAATGTTCAGAAGTAACTGAAATATGGCAACTTAGCCACTTTATAAAAAATAGTTGGTTAATGTTTTAAAAATTGCTAATAGATGCACAGTCTCAAAGATTTTTCACATATTAAAAAGTTAAATTAGATAAGCATATAAAAACATGCAAAGTAACTATATTTAACCATGAAATGTTTTATACTACTAACCGTCTACAATAATTATAAAAATATTTTAAGCACTCCCTTGGCTACATTTAGAAAGATGTTCTTTGTGTATTTAAATCAAAGCACTTAACTAAAGCTGATTTTTAAAAGTGAACAAAGTTTTATTTAATGGCTAAATACAAACTGAATGAAGGTCATCATACTCCTCAGTCTGTTTTGGTGCTCTTTTAGAAGGGTTTAGAGACGAGCTGAGACGACGCCTTTTGGGTGATATTCCATCACTATTACTGCTGAGGTTTTCCTGTTGAGTTTGGCATTGAATCTCCTCAATGATTTCCATACTTTCCATTTTCAAAGCTGCATAAAGTGGGCCCAACAAGTACTGAGAAAATAAAAAATAATTTCCAGAAATATTCCTTAGAAAATATATTTATATTATTCATAGGCAGCAAGAATGTATTAGATGTTAGGTGTTTTCTAGTGAAACTACTTTTAGAGTCTCATAAAGCAAAATAAACATCTAAATTGATCTATATTATTTAAGTCTATATATAGACTATGGTTCTATAGTCTTAGAAGGTTTAAACAAATCCTTCTCTCTACATCCTGTTTTTCCTCTTACCAAAATGCTATAAATTTTAATTCCCTTATAAAAAATTCTGTAAGGGAATTACCAACTTTCTTCATGTAACTTTAATCCAGCAAGATTAATAAACTAAAATATTTAATCAAGTTACTGCATCTCTGATGATTTTATTGTATTACCTGACTCCCACAGTCCAAATAGAAAAAAGCGCATAATTTGGCATGATTAATCATTCATAGGTTTTCTAAAAGTGATTGATTATAACTTGTCAGACACATAATCTGATTGACCAAAGCTTCTGCAATTAAGTTGGTAACTGCCCCCTTTTAATTAATAATGCAACAAATACATTTACACTTCACAGATTCTACTTAGAAACATTCTACTCCATTGGCAGTTCATTACCAACTTAATGAACAAATCCTTCTGAAATCAAAGTAAAAGTCCATAATAGTGAGCCAGACTACACTATGAAAATCATTATGTTCCAAATATAAATTACTATTAAAGATATTCTATTTTCTTATTATTACATTTTGCACATATGTATACAATTAAATGATGAACAAAATACATACTTAACTAGTAACCTGAAAAATTACTTACCTCTGCATCTACCTCAATTCCAAGCACATCCAAAAGAGCTTTACAAATATTTCTCACATAGACCTTCCTGACTTGTAAAGCAGATTCATACCCAGCTGGCACAAATTTAAGGAAATACTGCAGTAAATGGCACAAAGCTGCTTTTAGCAAATCAGACTTAAGCCGCATGAGCACACCGTCTTCAAACATGACACAGAGTTTTTCCAGCAGCATATTTAAATAGACAGGTTCAATATTTCTATAAGCTTCTGCTTCAAAGGGAAATAGTGTCTTTATCAGCTTTGATAATGGCTCTTCATAGAGTTTCAATTGGTCAGTATCCATTTCTACAAGGTGTTTTAATAATTCCAAAAATGAGCTGAAAAAAGTGCTAGCTGGTTGTGCTGGTAGTCCTCCAAGCTGAAAAAGTTCTGTTAAAAAGCTAATTGCTAGGGATTTAATTTTTGGACTACCATACTCTAGCAGAACACAACCTATCTGCCAAAGTAAGAGTTCTTGCCTTCTAAAAAACACAATTGCAATAATACGAGTAAGAACCATTAATAAAGTGACTTCAATAAATTCTAAATTTTGCATACTCATCAACTGCAAAGGAGCTGATTGTAAATATCCCATGTGTTCATCTAATTGACTTAAAAATCGGCTCATGACCACTGGCCATTCCACAGCATGACCCATCACATTTCTTCTATGGAGGTAAACCAAGTCTTCAAAAAGTTGTAATAATTCTTTTGTGAGTACCCCAAAAATAGCAGGACTCTTGCTTTTAAAAAGAAATAATAATGAACAGATGACTTCACAGATTTTCTTGTGTAACAAATGACAGGAGGGAGTTGCTGCAATCCGCAGAAGTCTCGTTATGATCCAATTACTGAATTCTTTGAAATAAACAAAAAAGATATTAAATAAACAAGTATATCCGAAGTGCTAATTCATTTGCTAAATCCTTGACGATTGACTTTTAAAGAATAAACTTCACTAACAAGAGTGTAAAACATTCTCTTCACAATGGAAACATAATAGTTTAGAACACAGGCATACCCAGTTTTATTGCACGTTGCAGATACTGCATTTGTCACAAATTGAAGGTTGTGGTAACTCTGCATCAAGCAAGTGTATCAGTGCCATTTTTCCAATAGCATGTGGTCACTTCATGTCTCTGTATCACATTTTGGTAATTCTCAAAATATTTCAAACATTTTCATTATTATCGTATCTGTTATGGTGATCTGTGATCAGTGACGTTTGATGTTACTATTGTAATTGTTTGGAGCTGTCATGAACCACACCGATATAAGGTGGCAAACTTAATGGATAAATGTATGTGTTCTGACCCACCGACCAGCAGTTCCCCATCTCTCTCCCTCTCCTTGTGTCTCCCTATTCCCTGAGACACAGTATTGAAATTAGGTTAATTAATAACCCTTACAATGGCCTCTATGTGTTCAAATGAAAGGAAGAGTCACACATCTCTCACTTCAAATCAAAAGCTAGAAATGATTAAGCCTACTGAGGAAGGCATGTTGAAAGCCAAGACAAGTTGAAAGCTAGGCCTCTTTCACCAAACAACCAACTTGTTAAAACAAAGAAAAAGTTTTTGGAGGAAATTAAAAGTACTACTCCACTGAACGCACCATTGATGAGAAAGTGAAACAGCCTTATTGCTGGTATGGAGAAAGTTTTTGTACTCTGAATAGAAGATCAAATCGTTAAAAGATGAGGAAATTTCCAGTAGGAAAAAAAGAAGATCAAACCAGCCACAACATTCCCTTAAGCCAAAGCCTAATCCAGAGAAAGGCCCTCAACATCAAGGCAAGACACTCCACCAGCACAAATATTACAACTTGTTGAAGGATGATATAATCGTTAGCATTTTTTAGTAATAAAGTATTTTTAATTAGGGTACATACATTGTTTTTTAGACATAATGCTATTCCACACTTAAGGTACAACGTAAACATAACTTTTATATGCACTGGGAAACCAAAAAATTCATGTGACTTACTTTATTGCAATATTCACTTTATTGTAGTGGTCTGGAACTGAACCCACAATATTTCTGAGGTATGCCTGTAACAACTTTGGAGTCAGACAGGCAAGGTCCTAGCTTTCCACTTACTAGTTGTATAAACTTTTCATTTCTCTGAACCTCTGTAATTTCATGTATAAGGAGAATAATGCTATCTATGTTATGGGTTACTGTGAGGACCAAATAAGAAAATGCACATGAAATACTCAGCACAGTTCCAAAGTAAAATAAATGTTCAATAAAGGGTAGCTATTGTCATTCTTTCAACTAAAATTTGAGTGGTGACTCTGTCTCAGGTACACAAGAATAAATCAGTCATAGTCCTGTCCTCATGAATCTCACAGTACAGTTTCTTGAGCTTTTTGACTGCAACAAAGAAATAACATTTTATATCATGACCCAGTACATATACATGCATTTTATTTAAATATTTAAAACAAAAGGTTCATTAAATAGTACTTACTCTTATTACATACAATGTACTATAATATTTTCTTTTTTTTTTTCTTGAGACAGGTTCTCACTCTGTTACCCAGGCTGGAGTGCAACGGCATGGTCTTAGCTCACTGCAATCTCTGCCTCCCAGGCTAAAGCAATTAGTGTGCCTCAGCCTTCCAAGTAGCTTGTACCACAGGCATGTGCCACCATGTTCAGCTAATGTTTTTCTGTTTTGTTTTGGTTTGGTTTGGTTTGGTTTTGGTAGAGACAGGATTTTGCCATGTTGCCTAGGCTGGTCTCGAACTCCCAAAGTGCTGGGATTACAGGCGTGAGACATCGTGCCCAGCCTATGATATTTTCTAGTTTATTTCATCTTGTTTTAAATGCTGATAATTGCCTAATTTCATAACCCACTAGTGGGTTATGACCTGTAGTTTAAAAACTACTGTAGGAAAGAATATAGACAAACCAATGATTAGAGCACAGTTTAATAGCCTCTATGATAGATGAAATGCAGAACACTTAGTACTAAGAGAGAATAAAGGAATAACCAAGCCAGTTCTAAGCAGTTAGAAGTAGTGCTCAGAAAAAAACTTCTTGGAGGACATGCTATCAAAGTTGAGTTAAAGTTTGAACAAAAAATTTTAAAATACTTTATCCATTATACAAAAAAAATGTTTATTTTGCATCTCTTTATGAAGACACCAATGAAGGGACAAAAGTAGTAGGTGCAATAAAGAATAAGCCTAGAGAAAAGCTTCAATATATAGAATAGCGGTCAGCAAACTTTTTTTAAAGGACCAGATAGTAATATTTTTGGCTTGAGTGCCCAAGTTGCCTTTGTAGTAGTCACAGACAATAAGTAAAAGAATGAGCATGGCTGTGTTCTAATAAAACTTTGTTTACAAAAACTGAAGCCAGGCACAGTAGCATGTGCCTATGGTCCCAGGTATGCAGGAGGCTGAGGCAGGAGGATCCCTTGAGTCTACCAGTTCAAGACCAGCCTGGGCAACATAGCGAGACCCTGTCTTATTTAAAAAAAAAAAAAAAAAAAAAAAAAGGAAACAAAACAAAACACCAAAACTTTGTTCACAAAAACAGGCAGCCACCCTGTGGACTACAGCTTGCCAAGCTCTGATCTAGAAGAAAGAGATTACCAAAAACAGAAAAAAGAAAACCATGCCAAAGTGTTCAATGGCAAATAAACAAATTTGATTATTTCTAAGTACCTAGTATACAATACTAAAAAGAAAACAATAAGGATATGTGAAGGAAAAATAACCATTACCATTTTGCTCCTTCAATTTATAGCAAAGCTGACCCAAAAAAGTATAATCCTGTACATGTAATATTTCAGAAGAGCAGTAAAAGGAGGATTTTATAGAACAGATGGCAAGTGAATGCATGAATAACAGCACTTACCAATACAACTGCCTTTGGCCTCATGGCTTCCACTCACATTTACAAACATAAGTGGGGAGGATTTCATGATATGCTGGATGAAATCAAGCAACATCACGGAGGTTGGCTGAGAGTCAGTTTTCTTTACAAGTTCTACAGCAACTAAAACAATAAGATTCATTTTAAAGAGTCATGACAAATTAAACAATGGTCCTTTTGTTAAGAAACCAGACTGTGGGCCAGGCAAGGTGCCTCACTCCTGTAACCCCTGTACTTTGGGAGGCTGAAGTGGGCGGATCACCTGAGCCCAGGAACTCAAGACCAGCCTGGATAAGATGTCAAGATCCCGTCTCTACAAAAAAAATTTTTCTTAAAATTAGCTGGGAGTGGTAGTGTGCCTATAGTCCCAGCTACTCAGGGGGCTGAGGCTGGAGGATTCCCTTGAGCCCAGAAGTTCAAGGCAGTAGTGAGCTACGATCACACTATTGCACTCCAGCCTGGAACAAAGCAAGACTCTGTCTCTTAAAATTAAAAAAAAAAAAACAAAAAGTGGGGTGGGGGTGGGGAACCAGACTTTGGTGACCAGAATTATATCCAGCACAGCACTCAACAACATTCAAGCTAAATTGATGGGGCTAAACACTACAGTCTTTTTTTTTTTTGAGACACAGTCTCACTCTGTTGCCCAGGCTGGAGTGTAGTGGTGTGATCTTGGCTCACTGCAACCTGTGCCTCCGGGGTACAAGTGATTCTTCTGCCTCAGCCTCCTGAGTAGCTAGGACTACAGGTGTGTGCCACCACACCCAGCTAATTTTGGTATTTTTAGTAGAGACAGGGTTTCGTCATGTTGGCCAGGCTGGTCTCAAACTCCTGACCTCAGGTGATCCACCCACCTCGGCCTCCCAAAGTGTTGGGATTACAGGCGTGAGCCACCGTGCCCAGCCAACACTACAGTCTTATCTAATTTTAAATGTTTAAAAATCACATGCATTCCTCTACCATACATCTATTTATCAAACATGTACTTCAGGAATAATATGCCAGGCAATGCTAAAATCTAAGGATTAAAAAAAAGTTCTCACAATCCAGTGGGGCGCCAAACAAACCAACTAATAATTATAATACAATATGGTAACAGCACTAATCCAGAATAAGGAGAAACAGGTATCTGGGAGGACACTGTGAAGGAAATGATTCCTAGATGAGGAGTTGGTCAGAGAGGGGAAGGGCAAGTAGTCTAAACGGAGGGAATATGAATACGATACAAAAACACATCTTGTAAGTATTCAGTAGTCCTTTGTTATTTTTCAGCAACCCATCATTTTACTGATTGAAAAAGAAAGGATTAATGGCTAGTCTAAGTCATAAAATCTGCGCCAAATTTGGAATCCAAATTATAAACCCTGAGCCTAATGCCATTTTATATTATCCCTCCCATGTAATTTCAACAGATATGACAAATGTGACACCATCTTGCCAGGTTGGTAATATTCTGTCTAGCAGATTGGCACAAACAGGCAATAATTGATTCAGTAACTCACATAATCCTATAATCTCCTATAGGCACAGGCATGAACCTACTTAAAGAGTAACTTACTTAAAGAGGTTTTTTTGGGTGGCATTTGCTATTAGTCTACCACTGGCATAACAGCTAACCAAAATAGGGTCCACATGATTGGTACTGGACAAATATTTTTACATATAATATCCAATATTAAAGAACTCATAGCAAGCAGTAGAAAATCTAGATAACAAACAGGAAAAGAGAATTATTTTAAAAGCCTAATTCAAATTTTGTAACAAGCAATAAGCAATACTGATTAACAAATAACTTGCTTGAAAATAGTAACTATCATAAATACTCCATATCTAAAACTACATGGAGAAAATGCTACTATAATTTATACATGGAAAAGAAAAGTCTAATTTATAAAGTTTATATAAGAAATAATTGGTTTCTTACCAACATTTACATCTGTAAGTATCCGGTCAATGAATTGACACAGAATTTGTCTTGGCTTCTGTACAACTGTATTATATTCCTCTGGTGTGGCACTAAAATACAAATTAAAAGCTTTTAATCCTTAAAGTGACTCAGTTTCATTTGCAAAAAAAATTTCTCTAAAGTAGAACTCATCAAATGTGTTCAGTGTCAATGTTGATATTCACAGTATTCTTCTGTTTAAAAATTGAAAAGAAAATCTGAATATGTTACCAACTTACAAGAAAAAAAAGAATATGCTAAGTAATACTAAAGAGATCCAATCAGCAAAGCCTAGACCTGAACTTCTCAATATGGTGGCCACTAGCTACAAGTAACTAGGGAGAACTTGAAATGTGATTAGTACAAATTGAAATGTGCTATTGATGGCAGTGGCAGCCCAGTTGGAGCGGTGAGGAAGGTGGTGCTAGGGCTGCTCTCTCCAGGGCGCTAGTGGGCAGAAGCCCCGCCCCCTTCTGAGGTGCAAGACAGGTGGAAGCCCCGCCCCCTTCCGAGTTGCAGGGTCGGGAGCCCAGCCATCCTGGGTGCAGCTGCAGCCGCCCAACCACGGCTGCAAACCCAGGCATCCCTGCTCTTTCCAGGGCCGGGAAGGCCCCCTGCCCTCACAGACTTGGAAATGCCTGCTCCCGCTGCCTGGCCTCTCCCCGCTCCCGGCACCCACACCAATTTCGGAGCAAAGTTGTGGGGGAGCCCAGGTGTTGTCAGGACCAGGCCGCGTGTGCATGTGCTCAGGACGGCACTGACACACCAGCCCCCTGCTGCCTCATCTCCCTCTGGACTTTGGGCAGGCCAAGCGGTAGGCTGAGGGCAGCTCAATATGGGCCTGCAGGCGCCCCTCGGCACGAACAGCCTCGGTGTAGTGGGTGGCAGGTTGATGGCAGCAGGAAGTAGGCTCCTGGGAGGAAAGGGGTGGGTCCCCAGTGAAGACCCACCTTCAAGCCAGGAACAGCTTGAAGCCTGGAAGCCTGGCTGCCAGTTACACGGACCACAGCGAGAACTTAGGGTGCTTTTTCCAGGCCCACCCATGACTGCCTATGGACCAATTAGCATTCACTTCCTCCCTTCTGAAGCACATAAAAACTAAATTTTTGGTGGAACGCTAATACCCTTTTCCACAGTGGCTGTACCATTGTACACTCCCACCTGCAGTGGACAAGGGTTCCAATTTCTCCACATCTTCACCAACACACGTTATTTTCTGGGTGTTTTTTTATTATTATTTTATTTTCCCCTTTTGGCGACAGGGTCTAACCCTGTTGCCCAGGTTACTGTGCAGTGGTGCACCCATAACTCACTGCAGCCTCAACCTCCCAGCCTCAGGAGATCCTCCCACCTCAGCCTCCTGAGTAGCTGGCACCACAGGTGCATGTCACCACACCCAGCTAATTTTTTGTATTTTTTGTAGAGACAGGGTTTCACCACGTTGCCCAGGCTGGTCTCAATCTCCTGGGCTCAAGCGATCTGCCTGCTTTGACCTCCCAAAGTGCTGGGATTGTAGGCATGAGTCACCATGCCCAACTGTGTTTTTTTTTTGTGGGATTTTTTTTGTTTTTTGGTTTTTTTTGAGACAGAGTCTTGCTCTGTCACCAGGCTGGAGTGCAGTGGCATGATCTCAACTCACTGCAACCTCTGTCTCCCGGGTTCAAGCAATTCTCCTGCCTCAGCCTCTCAAGTAGCTGGTACTACAGGCATGCACCACCATGCCTGGCTAATTTTTTGTATTTTAGTAGAGATGGGGTTTTACCATGTTGGCCAGGATGGTCTCAATCTCCTGACCTCGTGATCCGCCTGCCTCAGCCTCCCAAAGTGCTGGGATTACAGGCATCAGCCAACATGCCCAGCCCCAACTGTTTTTTTATTAATAGCTATCATAATGGGTGTGAAACAGTATCCTGTGGTTTTGATTTGCATCTCCCTAATGATTAGTAATTGTGAGCATCTTCTCATGTGCTTATTTGTCCATTTGTATATCTTCTTTGGAGAAATGTCTATTCAAGTTCTTTTTCTGTTTTTCATCAGGTTATATTTGTTGTTAAGCTGTAGGAGTTCTTAATATATTCTAGATATTAAACTCCTTATCAGACATATGATTTGCAAATATTTTCTCCAGTTCCATGGGTTGCCTTTTCACTCTATTGATACTGCCCTTTGATGCACAAAGTTTTTAATTTTGATGAATTCCAATTTATCTGTTTATTTTGCTGCCTGTGCTTTGTGTCATATCAAAGAAATCATTGCCAAATCCAGTGTCATAATGTTTTCCCTCTATGTTCCCTTATTTTTATTTATTTATTTACTTTTTGAGACAGAGTTTCACTCTTGTTGCCCAGGCTGGAGTGCAATGGCGCGATCTCAGCTCACCGCAACCTCCGCCTCCTGGGTTCAAGCGATTCTCCTGCCTCAGCCTCCTGAGTAGCTGCGATTACAAGCATGTACCACCACGCCTGGCTAATTTTGTATATTTTTAGTAGAGACAGGGTTTCTCCATGTTGGTCAGGCTAGTCTGGAACTCCTGACCTCAGGTGATCCACCCATCTTGGCCTCCCAAAGTGCTGGGATTATAGGTGTGAGCCACCATGCCCGGCCCCCTCTATGTTCACTTCTAAGAGTTTCATAGTTTTAGTTCTTATGTTTAGGTATTTGTATGCCTTTTGGACTTTTAAAATTTTCCTGTAGCAGTAAAGAGAGAAGCCAGATTGCAAGGGGCTGAAAATCTAATGAAATGTGAATACTGAGAATAGCGGGTTCTTTCCAAAGCTTGATCATGAAATGAAGAGAAGTAGAGTTGGTGATAACTAAAGAACTGTATGAGATCAAGAGGGCTTTGTTTTGTTTCTCCCTTATAATGGAAAGACCTAAGCAACCAATTCTTGAGATGTGACTCCTCTTCTTGGAACCAGATATAAGTAAAAAGACAATCCTTGGACAGGAGGGTAACTCTTTCATAAACATAGAAAGAATGGATGGGTACAGACGCAAATAATTTAATAAATTCAAAAGGCAAGTAAAACAAGATCCTCTGCTTCAAAGAACTCAGAATAGTTGCTGGGGAGAGGAGAGGAATGCACTTAAATAATCAAAAGCGGCCGGGCATGGTGGCTCACGCCTGTAATACGAGCATTTTGGGAGGCTAAGGCAGGCGGATCATGAGGTCAGTAGATCTAAACCATCCCGGCTAACATGGTGAAACCCCATCTCTGCTGAAAACACAAAAATCAGCTGGGTGTGGTGGCGGGCGCCTGTAGTCCCAGCTGCTCAGGAGGCTGAGGCAGGAGAATCGCTTGAATCTGGGAGGCGGAGATTGCAGTGAGTCGAGATCGCGCCACTGTACTCCAGCCTGGGCGACAGAGCGAGACTCAGTCTCAATAAATAAATAAATAAATAAATAAATAAATAAATAAATAAATAATCAAAAGCAAGTATCATGTACACCCAAAGCAGGGAATGATTAACTCTACCTAGAGGATTCACAGTGGGTTATGTGTGAGTGATTAGCAAAGTCCATCACTTCTGACAAAACAACTTAGGGTGTAGTAAGACAGTTACTTATAAATAATAGCATATATTTCATATATGTCACAATTTATTTCTATATAGCACTGTAAAATGTTCATACATTTTCCCCACTTATTATCTCAAATAGTGGTAAAAGAAAAAGAGTGAATTTTTTTCTTTTTCTGATACAGAGTCTCGCTCTGTCGGCCAGGGTGAAGTGCAGTTAGTGGCACGATCTTGGCTCACTGCAACCTCCGCCACCCGGGCTCAAGCAATTCTCCTGCCTCAGCCTCCCAAGTAGCTAGGATTACAGGCGTGTGCCACCACACCCAGCTAATTTTTGTATTTTTAGTAGAGACGGGGTTTCACCATGTTGGCCAGGCTGGCTCGAACTCCTGACCTCAGGTAATCCGCCCGCCTCAGCCTCCCAAAGTGCTGAGATTACAGGCGTGAGCCACCGCACCCGGCCCTTTTTCTTTTTTTTTTCTTTTGAGACGGAGTCTCGCTCTGTCGCCCAGGCTGGAGCGCAGTGGTGTGATCTCGGCTCACTGCAACCTCCGCCTCGCAGCTTCAAGTGATTCTCCTGCCTCAGCCTCCCGAGTAGCTGGGACTACAGGCACGTGCCACCACGCCCGGCTAATTTTTTGTATTTTTAGTAGAGACGGGGTTGCACCATGTTAGCCAGGATGGTTTCGATTTACTGACCTCATGATCCATCCGCCTCGGTCTCCCAAAGTGCTGGGATTATCGGCGTGAGCCACCACGCCCGGCCTGACTTTTTTTTTTTTTTTTTTTTTTTTTTTGATTATTCAAACCACAAAGTCCAATCCTAATTGATTACATATAGGATCAATAGCATTTACAGCTAATAAATGCCATAAAAGAACTGATACTGGTCGGGCATGGTAGCTCATGCCTGTAATCCCAGTGCTTTGGGAGTCCAAGGTGGGCAGACTGCTTGAGCTCAGGAGTTTGAGACCAGCCTGAGCAACATGATGAAACCCTGTCTCTACAAAAGAAATAGAAAAATGAGCAGGTATAGAGACACACACCTGTAGTCCCCAGCTACTCAGGAGGCTGAGGTGGGAGGATCGCTTGAGCCTGGGAGGCTACAGTGAGCCAAGATTGTGTCACTGCACTCCAGCCTCGGTGACAAAACCAGACCCCTGTCTCCAAAAAATAGAAAAGAAAAAAAAGAACTGTTCTCTGGTCCTGGTACATAGTAGACATTTAAAGAAAAAAAAACAACTCTTCAATGAATGAATGGTTCATAAGAACCTTCCTGAATTTTGTGGTTTCTTCATTCCTAATGTACAGCCTTCTGGACCTATGGAATATTTACCTATTCCCTGCCACTAGACTATAAGCTCCTACAGGTGGCAGACTGTGCTTTATTTCTCTCTGCATGTCCTAAAGTGCCATTAGACCGTAAGCTCTTATAGGAGAGAAAATGCATTTTATTTCTTTTTGCCTCTGCTACATCACCTAGAACTTGCTTAATAGAAAAACTTACTGAAATTAACAAATGTTTTTAAGTAACATAAACTCTAGACACAAAGAATCAAAGGGCCAGGCGTGGTGGCTCATGCCTGTAATCACAGCACTTTGGGAGGCTGAGACGGACTGATCACTTCAGGTCAGGAGTTCCAGATCAGGCTGCCCAACATGGTGAAACCCTTTCTCTACTAAAAGATAGAAAAATTAGCCAGGCGTGGTGGTGGGCGCCTATAATCCTAGTTACTTGGGAAGCTGTGGCACTGAGGCAGGAGAATCGCTGGGACATGGAGGTGGAGGTTGCAGTGAGCCAAGATCGCACCACTGCACTCCAGCCTGGATGACAGAGTGAGACTTCATCTCAAAAAAAAAAAAAAAAAAAAGCAAGTTTGTATATGCTACTAAATAAAGTCCTTAAAAAAAAAAAAGAATCAAAGAACAAGTAGTTACATTTGCATATGAAAGCAAAACAACTTAGTGCTATGTATCTTATTTAAATCAGCGCTGGCCAATAGAAATATAACGTAAGCCATAATTTTGTTATTTTCTGGTAGCCACATTAAGAAAAGAAACAGGAAAAAAACAATTGATCCTAACAATATATCTGAAATATTAGGTGAATGTGTAATCGATATAAAAATTATTCATGAGATCTTTTACATTCTTTTTTCTGGTACTAAGTCTTTGAAACCCACTGTGTATCTTATATTTACAGCACATCTCAATTTAGACTAGCCGCATGTGAGGTGGTCAATGGTCACATTTGGCTAGTGGCTACCATAGTATAGGGCATCACAAATTTAACAAAAAATTCAAAATCTGTAATTACAAGGTAACATGAATTGTTTTAGACAAAGTCAGGAGACATTATGATAAACCACAGTAATTTCACAAGTATCATTTAAAAATGTGAACAAAGAGGAACATGGGAAGAGGAGCCAGGATTGTGGGTAGTGGTCAGAGTTTCTTACAAAGTTTCATTTTGTAAAGATTATGTACTCATGTATTATTTGTGTAATTTTTAAAAATCAGTTTTAGAAAAATGTAAATTGATTACCATTCATTAGATCTACTATCAGAAGAAAGAAACTTGGCCGGGCGTGGTGGCTCATGTCTGTAATCCCAGCACTTTGGGAGGCTGAGGTGGGCGGATCACTTGAGCCCAGGAGTTTGAGACCAGCCTGGGCAACATGGTGAAACCCCGTCTACAAAAATACAAAAATTAGCCAGGCATGGTGGCACACACCTGTAGTCCCAGCTACTTGGGAGGCTGAGGTGGGAGGATCGCTTGACCCCAGGAGGCAGAGGTTGCAGTGAGACATGTTCATGCTATTGAACTCCAGCCTGAGCAACAGGTGAGCCAGTCTCAAAAAAAAAAAAAAAAAAAGAAAAAAGAAAGAAAACTCACAGGAGTGAGCACTTCTTATTTTGTGACTTCTACCCTGGAACTGAGCTAAGAGGGTATAACTTTTCAAAAGCATACTATAAAATTTGAGTATTAATGTAAGTATTATATAAAGCTTAGGCACCTCCTCTGAGGTAAGCATCAAATACCAGGATAACCAAGACAGAATGCACCTGCCCTAAAATAATTTGCAGATTAAAGGACAAACAAGAGGTAATTATGGTTAAGAACTGACAGGCCCAAGAAAGAACACAAAGGGACACTCAGCCCTGAGCAGGGCCCTGTCAGTCATGGCTTCCTTAACGAGGTGATACAAAACTGACTCCCTAAGGGACAAGGCAGTGAAATAAGGGTAAGAGGGAGGGTAGTCCAAGCACTGGAAACTGTAAGAGGCTCTATGTGGCTAAAGCCTTTAGAGATGCAGCTGAAGAGGGAAGATAAGGTTAAATTTCAAAGGACTGGCTAAGTAGTTTGGATTTTACACTGAAGGCAATGTGTAAGCACTGAAGGATTTTAAGGAAGTAAAAATTAAGCAAGTTTTAAAAAACTTGCTTATTTCCCTGTTTAAAAGATTCCAATGGTTTCCCATCACACAATAAAATCTCACTCCTTTTTCTAGCCTCCAAGGTGCTGAAGGATGTGGCCCTTGCCTACCCCTCCCTGTTTAACTCATACCACTCCCCTCTTTACTCCCTGTGCTCCAGCCTTCTTACTATCCTTTTAAAAGTAGGCTCATTCAGCCTTGGCATGGTGGCTGAGGTGGGTGCATCACTTGAGGTCAGGAGTTGGAGACAACCTGTGCAACATGGTAAAACCCCATCTTCACTAACAATATAAAAATTAGCTCGGTGGTGCAAGCCTGTAGTCCCAGCTACAGGAAAGGGAGGCTGAGACAGGAAAATCGCTTGAACCCGGGAGGCAGAGGTTGCAGTGAGCAGAGATCACGCCACTGGAGAGGGCGAGACTCCGTCTCAAAAAAAAAAAAAAAAAAGCAGGCTCATTCCCACTTATGGGCCTTTGTACTTCCTATTCCATCCCAGATTCACGTGACTAGCTTCTTTACACCATCAAATCTCCTCTAGTGGCTAATGCTGCTGCTCCTCAGAACCTCCTCCACATCCCACTGTTCCATTTAACATTTTAATAGCAACTATCACATTTGAAAATGTCTTACAACTACAAAGCAATCTCAAGTAGGAAAATCAGAGAAGGTGATTCTGAAATGACATCTAAATGAAACCATCCAGTGTTCAGATAGAAGGAACAGCAAACGATTAAAGGCAGGAACAGCCTTGGTATCCTGGAGAAACAAGGTCAGTATCACTAGAGTAAAGTAAGCAAAAGAGGGATAAAAGGTGATGAAGTCAGAGGCAGGCTGAGCCAGATTATGTAGAACCTTAGAGGCCTTGGTAAGGAGTTTGGATTTTATACTGATTTTAAGTGTGCTGGAATGTCAAAGGACGGTTTTGTGCAGGGGAACTTACAATATGACTAATAGATGAAAAATCACTTTACTGAGTGGAAAATCTATTATAAGTAGGTAAAAGTAGAAATGGAAAGATCAACTAAGGTTACTGTAATAGTTCAGGTAAGAAATTCTGGTGGTAGCAGTGGAGACAGTGAGAAGTGTTAGATTCTAGATGTATCTTAAACATATGGTTGTCAGAACTAACTTATGGATTATTAAGCGACAAGGGAAAAAAACCAAGGATGACTCCTAGGCTTTTGGTTGGCATATTTACGATAACACAGGAGAAGGAACAAATTCAAGGGCGCAGTAAATCAGGCGTTCTGCTTTGGATATGTTAATTTTCACTTCCCAGTGTGGATGTTGAGTAAGCAACCTAATATATATCTCCGATCTAGAAATATAAATTTGGGAGTTATCAGCATATGGATGACATTTAAAGCCATGAGATTAGGTAAGATTACTTGGGAAGACAGCACAGATTAAAAGAGGGCCAAGGACATAGACTGAAAGCACATGTGAAAATAGTTAAGAATGACTTCTAGATTTCCAGTTTGGAGAACTAAGTGAATATGGTGCCATGTACTGAGATATCTCTACTTCAATGAATAAGAGAAAAATAATTTTTTTAATTTAAAAAAAGAAAGCTTGTGAAAGCTAGGACATGTGGGGAATTTGTATTGGATATTCTGAACCTTAACTACACATAGGACACTCAGTGAAACTACCAGTATACAGTAAATATACAATTCTATAGAAGACATGATTTGGAGAAACATATTAGTAGTCATCAAATAGCAGATTATAGTTGAAGGCAGGAGAGTGGAAAGGTCATTTAGCAAGATTATGCAGAGCAGACTGCTAATAGCAAAAAAACAATAGGACAAAATTTATCTGAGGGACTGAGGAAGAGCAGCCCATAAATTAGAACACTAATATCTTTTTTTTTCAGTAGTCTAATTGCCATAGTCAATTAAGAGGAAACATTTTGGAAGAAAAGGCCTTGAAAGCTTGAATCTGAAACCTAGCTCTGTTATCTGCTAGCTGTGCCTTTGGTTCTTCAACTTCTCTGTCCCTTTTTCTTAAACAGTGGTAACACTTGTTTCATTCTATGTCATGGATATACTATGAAAATTGATTAGCTTTTTTGATTCAAGTAGTTGTAATGAAAAAGCCATGACAATTAAAAACTATTAGACAACTCTCTGTGGGTCAGTTTTTCTATTCTTTCTCTTGGAATAGCTACAAATAAATGAAAGGTAACATAAACTCTACTGATGAAACCGACTATATATAATCCAAGAACCAATTATTTTTATTAACAGGACTCACGGAGGAAGACAGAAGAGGGAAGAGAAGTATTAACCAGTTAATTCTACTTTAAAGCAAAGTGGCAAAAATATACTCAGCTTCACAATGAGCCTGAAAGATGAAATTTGTAAACCAACTTCCTACAATGATCACTTTTCTTCCTCTTCTTTTAGAGAGGTAGAGGTTATTTTATAAACTAAACACAAAGTATACTTGCCACAGATAAGTGGAAAAAATTCACACACTCAAAAATAGTGATGCAGTTACGACAAGAATGGTCCCTTCATTTATCCTTTTATTCATATATTGAGACTAGATTATTTGGATGGCCAACCAGTGGAAATGAACACAACTGCGCTGCAAAAAGAAAGAGAAGTAGCTATCCCATTGGCTTAATGTCAGCTTTGACTTTGTGTGGAAAGTTTTCAAACAGTTTAAGAAATTGGGAAGCAGTTATTCCAAATGATAATTTAACTGCGGTAGCAGCACAAGCTTATTTATTTCTTGTTCGCAGTAGTGTAGAATTAAAACAAACAAAGCAAAACAAGCTCTACCGAGTCTTTAGGCCTGGTTCAGGGAAGCCTGCCTGTGTATTGAAGAGGTGTGAGAGCCATCAACACCTCTCCCTCCTTGTGGTAAGATACTGGTTTTCATGAGGTTTACAGACAA
Source organism: Homo sapiens (assembly GCF_000001405.40). Classification (NCBI taxonomy): domain Eukaryota; kingdom Metazoa; phylum Chordata; class Mammalia; order Primates; family Hominidae; genus Homo; species Homo sapiens. The sequence goes on from NC_000003.12 coordinate 142,577,944, forward strand.
CATGCATTTGCAAATGAAATATTAAATTGTCTCCAAATTTTGGCAACACTCTGTGCACGCTGAGATTTTGTGGACCCAGGGGTCTATCTCTCCAATTTCTGACTAAAATAACGGATCGGGAACTGGACGATCAATACGAGGGAGGTCACATCTTCAGTATGTACTATGACTTCACTTCAAAGAAAAAAACTGCCTTTTCCAGCAAGTGATGTCACTTGCAGAAAATGAGAAGCGGTGATTTTCTTTCAAGGGCAGTTTGGGGACAAAATGTAAGGCTAAAAACCAATTCCTCCACGAGTGATCACAAAGAACAGAAACTGATGGGTCAAGTCCCTCGTCTAAGGAAAAAGATTTTCGAGAAGAAAATGAGTGTAGAAAAGTGACCAGAAAGCGATCAGCAGGGACTCTTCCTCCAGCTGCAGGAAGCAAACTCTCGATCGGGGTGAGTGGTAAACCAGGGCCGGCAGACGCCTCTCTCCCCCACGGACCGGCTTCCCGCAGGTTTGTGGCGACTGCCCCATGTGCTATCAACGGGCACTCTGAGGGAGAAGCGCCCAAATCAGCCACGGAGCATCTCCACAAGGGCCGCAGCGGGGGCTTAGGGGATCCCAGCCATAGCGCAGCAGGGGAGGGGAGAGCACGTGAAACCCAAGCCGGAATCAGCGGAGGAGGATGCAGGACCCAGGCTGGGCCTAGCCCTACCTGCCCAGCTCCCGCAGGGCGGGGATCATGGAAGCCAGCTCCAGGCCATGTTCCCCCATGCTGAGGCTGCGAGGCACTAGTCAACCACGCCAACGCGGGTTCCCGGCGTCTCCAAAGCTACCGCTGCCGGAAGAGCGCGGCGCCCGACGGAGCCGTGTGGAGGCCAAAACTCCTCCCGGAAGCCGCTACTGGCCCCGCTTGCCAGGCCCAGCGTCTTTTCTGCATAGGACCCGGGGGAAGCCGGGAAGCCGTTAGGGGGCGGGGCAAGCGGGCGGGCGTGCGTCGGTCAAGTTTCCCGGGTCGCGTCAGGCTTCTTTCTCAGCACCGAGCGAGCGACGTTCGTGAAGCTTTCGTTTTGAGCGGCCAGACTCTGCTGTTCTCAAGCCTGGGAGGCACAGAGAAGCAAGACTTCCGCATCGGGGGAGGATAGGGCTTGAGGGCCGCCAGCCCAGACTCGCTTCACAAATGTGAGAACTATGACAGTCCAGCGAGTAAAGGCCAAGAGTAAACTCCAGGTTTCCCCAGAGTAACGCTCTCACATTTTAAAAGTTCCTCACGTTCCCACCGCTCTTGTCCCTCTTTCTGAGAGATACAGGCCAAAAGGTGGGCTCTCCCTGTTTTTTTCCTTTTAAGCATTTTTTTTCAACTTGAAGTCACTGTTAGGTTTCGTTGAGGACCCTACCAACTTTTAATATTTGAAAATGGGGTTGGAATATATTTGTGTCTCATCAAATCAGCAACAGTACTGTGTGTGGAAATGCCACCATTACGGGCATCCGCAACCTGTGATTTAATTTTTAAAGTAAATCAATGGATTTTGGCAATACACATTTTCTAGCTCAACTCAATTTATTGGAAAGATGACCACCATAAGAGATTGTTGACATGTCAAAGTTATGTAGTTAATCACTCAAAGTCATGCAGTATGTTTACATTTGTTCTTTGGTACATGAGGATAGTTAACCGATACAGTATCTTAAAGAAAAAAGTGATGGAATGACAGCCAAATATGCTCTTGCCTCAAGAACTTTGCATTTGCTGTACTCTCTGCCTTGAACACCACTCTGTCATTGCCCTTTTTCCTTCAGGTGTTTGCCAAATTAACACCAAAGAGCCTCATATAGACTAACATATATACACATTCTGTCTCACCCTCTTTTTTTTGTTAGATACATTGTCTTACTCTGTTGTTCAGGTTCTAGTGCAATGAATGTTGCAATCATAGCTCACTGCAGCCTCAATCTCCCAGGCTCAAGCGATCCTCTCACCTCAGCCTGGGCTCAATTGATCCTCCTGCCTCAGCCTCCTGAGTAGCTGGGACTACAGACATGCCACCACGCCTGGCTAATTATTTTTTGTAGAGACAAGGTCTTGCTATGTTGCCCAGGCTGGTCTCAAACTCTTGGCCTCACACGCTCCTCCCACCTCAGCCTTCCAAAGTACTAGAATTAGAGGTGAGAGCCACCACACCCGGACATACTATATTATTGTCTCTCTCCAGTTAGAGTGTAAGCTCTTGGAGAGCAAGGTCTTGTCTATTTTGTTCACTCTCAGATACCCAGGACCTAAAACTGTGCCTGGCACATAGGTGGTGTTCAGTAAACATTTGTTGAATGAATCACTGAATGTTTTAGGAGAAAGGACATGGGATTGGGAGTTACAGGCCCTACACAAGTTCTCATTCCATCTGCTAGAAACTATATGACCTCAGTAAAGTTACTTAATCTCTTAATACTTCCATTTTTTCATTTATAAAATGGGATTAATAATGTCTACCTCACAAGATTACAGCAAAGATTAAATAAGAGGGGGTAAAGTCATAAAGTGGAATATAATTTCATAGTTAAAATGAATGAATTATACTACCTATACCAACGATGAATCCTGAAAACTACATTGATTGAAAAAGCAAATTCAAAGGTATACATAATAGTGTCATATCATTTATATACAATCTTAAAACCACAAAACAATGCGTTGTGTGAGTTATGTATACAAATATGTTTGATAAAAGTATGAAAACATGTTTGGCAAAGATAGATATCAACTCCAGGATAGTTGCACCTGTGGAAGGGAGAGAAGGGAATGAAATGATGAAGCTTCAATGTATCCCTAAGGGTTTTCTTTTAGTAGGATTTGAATTAATTATTATTTAATCAAAATTTAATGTTATATTTGGGTGGATGTTATATTACTATTTGTATCTGCATAGCCAGGATATTCCAACATGTATTAAAAAAAATAGCTCCTTCCCGTCTTGTAAGATGGTGGGGGAAAAAGTTGAGAAGCCAGACACCAAGGAGAAGAAACGTGAAGCCAAGAAGGCTGATGCTAGTGGCAAGGTTAAAACATAACTTCGGTTGGGCACGGTGGCTCACGCCTGTAATCCCAGCACTTTGGGAGGCTGAGGCAGGCGGATCACCTGAGGTCAGGAATTCAAGACCAGCCTGGCTAACATGGTGAAACTCCATTTCTACTAAAAATACAAAAAATTAGCTGGGTGTGCTGGTGGGCGCCCGTAATCTCAGCTATTCGGAAGGCTGAGGCAGGAGAATCGCTTGACCCCGAGAGGCGGAGGTTGCAGTGAGCCGAGATTGCATCATTGCATTCCAGCTTGGGCAACAAGAGCGAAACTCCGTCAAAAAACACAAACAAAAACACCTCAAGGCTAAAAAGCCAAAGAAAGGGAAGCCCCCCTGCAGCGGAAATCCTGTCCTTATCAGAGGAATTGGCAGATATTCTCAATCTGCTATGTCAAAAAGGCCAGGTACAAGAGGAAGTACTCGGGTACTAAATCCAGAATTAAAAAGAAGAAAGTCCAGACTTGAAAAAGGAAAAGGTTCTTGCCATTGCTACAAAACCAGTTGGTGGCAACAAGAATGGTGATACTTTTTGCAAAGTAAACCCTACAAAATGCCTAGATCCTTCCAAAGATGTGCCTGGAAAGCTGCTGTTGAGCCACAGAAAAAACAAACAGAAACACTTCAGTCAGCACAGAGAAAACTGCAAACTAGCTTCTCTCCTGGGATCATTCTGCTTATCCTCACTGGGCACCACAAAGGCAAGAGGGTGGTTTTACTGGAGCAGCTGAGGAGTGGCTTGTTAATTGTGACTGGACCTCTGGTCCTCATTCACATTCTGTGGGAAACACACCAGAGGTCATCACAAAATTGAAATCAGCAATGTGAAAATTCCAAAACATCTTACCAATGCTTGCTTAAGAAGATGATGCTATGGAAGCCCAAATACTGGGAAAGTGACATCGTCAACACAGAAAGAGAGTAATAGAAGATTATGGAGCAATGCAAGGTTGATCAGAAAGCTGTGGACTCGTGGCCAAGCACGCTAGCTCACTCCTGTTACCCCAGCACTTTGGGAGCCTGAGGCGGGTGGATCACTTGAGGTCAGGAGTTCGACACCAGCCTGCCAACATGGTGAAACCCCATCTCTACTAAAAATACAAAAATTAGCCTGGCGTGGTGGCGGGCATCTGTAATCCCAGCTGCTGGGGAGGCTGAGGCAGGAGAACCACTTGATCCCGGGAAGCAGAGTTTGCAGTGAGCAGAGATCGCACCACTGCACTCTAGCCTGGGTGACAGAGCAAGACTCCATCTCAAAAAAAAAAAAAAAAAATTAGAAAGTTGTGGACTCGTAAATGTTACCAAAAATCAAAGCTATTCCTTAGCTCCAGGGCTACCTGTAATCTGTGTTTGCTCTGATGAATGGAGTTTATCCTAGCAAATAGGTGTTCTAAATGTCTTACCAAGAACCTAATTAAATAACTGATGCATTTAAAAACTAAAATAAGTATACTTTTAAGCTTAAATAACACATCTGAAAAATAGTTTAAAAATACCAAATTTTAGCTATTTTTAGAACATATGAAGAAAGATTATAAAAATTAGAATGCTATCTGGAAGGCAATAGCTAAATAGCATGGTAATTCTAAAAAGCAGTATAAATTTGCAAGCCTTATAAATAATAGAGCCTCAGAAATCCCATTTAATTCAAAAAGTCATTTTGGGCAAGATATTGGGTTAGGTACTTCTGTGACAGACACAAAAATGAGGAAGATGAAGTTAGTTTCAGCGGGGCATAGTGGCTAACACTTGTAGTCCCAGCTACTTGAGAGGCTGAGGTAGGAGGATGGCTTGAGCCAAGGAAGCCAGGGTTACAGTAAGCCACAATCTCGCCACTACATTCCAGCCTGAGCAACAGAGCCAAATCCTGTCTCAGAGGAAAAAAAAAAAGTTAATTTCAGGTAATGTACAATTTGTGGATACAGAAAGGATATAATGAGAACATAGACAATTAAGAGCAAAGTGAAATCCAGTGAATGCCAGGACAGGGATATAAACAGCATGTATTGGAAAAATAGAGGACACAATCTACTCCAGTGGAAAGAAGAGGTGTATCAGGAAGGAGCTCAAGGAGAAGGTGTCACCATATCTGAGATTGGACTTGAAGGATGAGGAGGACTTCAAGAGACAGAAATTGGGGAAAAGGAATATATTCTAACTAGAGGCAGCAGTATGAACAAAAAGCATGCTGAGGGAGGGACACGGTCCCCTTTGGCTGGTACAAGGGAACATTTAGAGTAGTCTGAGACATTTGTACAGACTTCAGTAAGTATTGGAGAGGCTCTGGGAGATTTCATATAAGAGTGATGGTCAAAGCTACACTTGAATCTGGCAGGAGAGTGTAGAACAGAATAAAAGGAGAGTAGCAGGTCATTTAGAGAAATCAAACATCTATAGCAGTATTTTAACAAATGAGTTGATTCAAGAAGTCAGCATTCCAAGTAGACATCCTCCCTCTAGTAACTCATGTATTATCCAGGCTGGTTCCATTTCTACACCTTCTACTCAGCCCTAAACCTACGTATACTATACTCTCTGTCCTGTTTGCCCTCCCACCCCTTAAGTGCCTCTCACCAGAGTTACCAATGACTTTCATATGGCTGTTGACCAGTTCTTTCCTTTGACCTTTTAGCAGCATTTGACAATAGAGACCAGCTGTCCTCAACCTTTTTGGCACCAAGGACCAGTTTTGTGGAAGACAGTTTTTCCATGGACAGGGAGGTGGAGGGATGTTTTCGGGATGATTCAAGCACATTACATTTATTTTGCACTATTATTACATTGTAATATATAATAAGTCATTATACAACTCACCATAATGTAGAATCAGTGGGAGCCCTGAGTTTGTTTTTCTGCAACTAGACGGTCCCATCTGGGGTGATGGGAGACAATGAGAGATCATCAGGCATTAGATTCTCATAAAGAGCATGCAACCTACATCTGTCACATGTGCAGTTCACAATAGGGTTTGCACTCCTATGAGAATTTAATGCCCTGCTGATCTGACAGGAGGCGGAGCTCAGGCGGTAATGCCAGTGATGGGAAGCTGCTGTGAAAAGAGATGAAGCTTCACTTGCTTGCCCTCCACTCACCTCCTGCTGTGTGGCCCGGTTCCTAACAGGCCACTGGCCAGTACTGTGGCCCAGGGGTTGGAGACCCCTAATGTAGACCACTGCTGCTTTCTTGGAAAGCTTTCTTTGGACTCCATGACGCTTACTTGTTAACAACACTTCTTTGCCATTCCCGTTACTGTTGATATTCCTCAGGATTCTAACTTAGTTTCTTTTCTCTTTTTTATTATTTCATTCACACTCAAGGCTTCAATTAACTTTCCGTCTGCTGTTCACTCCAAAATTCATTGCTCTTCCCTTATCTCTCTCCAAGATTTATATTTCCTATGTCTATCTCCCTACTGAATATTTTCCCTTCAGCATTTCCCAGGCACTTTATTTTGTTTAACTTTTTGTTATGGGGACTTTCAAATATATATAAAAGTAGACACAATAAGGAACTCCTTTATGTCCATCACCCAATCAATGATTATCAGCATATGGTTAGTCTTTGTTTCATTTATAACCACCTTTCTCATTTTCTCTCTCCTCAGTTGGATTAAAGAAAAGTCTAGACCTCATATCAATTTATCTGCAGATACTTCAGTTTATATCTTTAAAACATAAGGACTAGATTCTATCTCCTAAATATCAAACCTATCCACTTTCCCCCAAATTCCCTTACCACCATTCTAGTTTTAGACCATCATCACCTCTTGCCTAAATTACTTCAACAGGCTTCTAGCTTGCCTATCTGCCTTTAGGCTTGTTTTTCTCTAACCCATTCTCCATACTTGAGGGGGAGAGAGTCTCCCAGACCTTTTATTTTTCCTGAAACGAGTCTCACTCTGTCGCCCAGGCTGGATTGCAATCATGTGATCTCGGCTCAGCTGCAACCTCTGCCTCCAGGATTCAAGCCATCCTCCCACCTCAGCTTCTCAAGTAGCTGGGATGACAGGTGCATGCCACTATGCCCAGCTGATTTTTGTATTTTTAGGAGAGATGGGGTTTTACCATATTGGCCAGGCTGGTCTTGAACACCTGACCTCAAGTGACCTGCCCACCTTGGCCTCCCAAAGTGCTGGGATGCTGGGATTTAATAGGAGTGAGCCACTGCGCGTGGCCATCTCCTAGCTTTTTTGTGTGTGTGTGTGTGTGTGTGTGTGTGTGTGTGTGTGATGGAGTCTCACTCGCTGGAGTGCCGTGGCACGATCTCGGCTCACTGCAACCTCCGTCTCCAGGATTCAAGCCATTCTCTTGCCTCAGCCTCCTGAGTAGCTGGGATTACAGCTACTGTAATCCCAGTGTGTGCCACCACGCCCGGTGAATTTTTGTATTTTTAGTAGAGATGGGCTTCGCCATGTTGGCCAAGCTGGTCTGGAGCTCCTGGCCTCAGGTGATCTGCTGCCTTGGCCTCCCAAAGTGCTGGGATTATAGGCAGGAGCCACCATATCCGGCCAATTTTTAATTTTTGTGGGTATATAGTAGGTGTATATACTTTATGGGGTACATAAGCTATTTTGATACAGGCACACAATGTGTAATAATCACATCAGGGTAAATGGGGTATCCATCACCTCAAGCATTTATCTTTTGTGTTACAAACAATCCAATTATATTCATTTAAAAATGTACAATAAATGTTTGACTGTAGTCACCCTGTTCTGCAATCAAATGCTAGATCTTTTTTCTTTTTTGAGACAAGGTCTCATCTGTTGTCCAGGCTGGACTACAGTGGCCTGATCTTGGTGTACTGCAGCCTTGGGCTTCCAGGCTGAAGTGATTTTCCCACCTCAGCCTCCTGAGTAGCTGAGACTACAAGTGCACACCACCTCAGCTGGCTAATTTTGGTGTTTTTTGTAGAGACGGGGGTTTTGCCATGTTGCCTAGGCTGGTGTTGAACTCCTGGGCTCAAGTGATCGGCCTGCTTCAGTCTCCTGAAGTGCTAGGATTACAGGCTCAAATACTTATTCTATCTAACTATATTTTGTACCCATTAACCATCCCTACCGCACACCCGTCACCCCCCCACTACCCTTCCCAGCCTCTGGTAACCATCATTTTACTCTGTATCTCCATGAGTTCAATTGTTTTTATTTTTAGCTCCCACAAATAAGTGAGAACATGTGAAGTTTGTCTTTCTGTGCCTGGCTTAATTCACTTAACATAATGACCTCCAGTTTCATCCATGTGGTTGCAAATAACAGGATCTCATTCTTTTTTATGGCTGAATACTACTCCGTTGTGTACATGTATCACATTTTCTTTATCCATTCATCTGTTGATGAACACTTAGGTTGCTTCTAAATCTTGGTTATTGTGAATAGTGCTGCAATAAACATGGGAGTGCAGTTATCTCTTTGATAAACCAATTTCCTTTCTTTTGGGTATATACTTAGCAGTGGGATTGCTGGATCATATGGTAGTTCTAGTTTTAGTTTTTTGAGGCACCTCCACACTGTTCTCCATAGTGGTTGTACTAATTGACATTCTCACCAACAGTGTACAAGGGTTCCCTTTTCTCCACATCCTTGCCAGCATTTGTTATCCAACTTTTTAAAAATTATTATTCAGTAGTACTCTTGAAATTTTAAAAATTTGTATCCTAATATGTGCACATTTTTATTAACCATATATAGTTCTACATCCTAATGTACATGAATTTCATGATAATGTAAATTTGAACATAATACAACTACTAATTGATTCCTGCATTCCTGTCAGCCCTCTTTTTATCATTTGGGGAGTAGGAGTTTGGAGGAGAGGGTGAGGCAGGAAGCAGAGTGGTTGGTGTGGATAGGTCCCAGTGTCCCTGGTATTTCCTAAGCCCAGTGTCACAGATCAAGTTGCCAAAGGGGCATCAGTCAGTGTTCTGGAATTCCAGTCAGCCATGTGTATAGAATTGTCCCCATTCATGATTAAACTAGAGTGGAAAATGACCACCAGGTGGTACTACAACCCAGTTGAGACTAAGATAGACTTGGTTCTCAGCCAGATGCCCAAACTCCTGGTTGGTTAGCTATGCAAGTTCCAACATAATGCAACAGTTTTACAAGTTCCTTTCTACATCCGAATGAACTTCAGTGGACACCTCTTGGTACACACACATTCAATAATATGCATTTTTAACAAGCTTCTAGATGATGCTGATGTTGTTTGGAGTTGTTCTACACAGCAGTCAGAGCAACCTTCTTAAAACCCAAAGACCACGACATTTCTCTTCTTTAATAGCTTGGCTATGTATGGAATATTGTCAGACATAGATAAAGGGTAAAAGGGGGCACATGTCTGTTAGTTTTCTTTGGGTAAAGCCTCAAATAATAGACAACATAACCACAAGCCAATATTCTGAAATTTAATAGTGCAGAATAGCCAAACTGCACCAATACACTTGTCCCATTTAGTGGAAACACTGCAAAAACCCATTACAAAAAAAAAGCCATCATAAAGTAACAAAATATTTAAGAAACTTAAAAGTAAGCCATTTGGCTTCCTATCCCTGTGGCAGTTTCACATCTACTAAGACTGTATTATAGAACTAACTAACACTCCACTGTATTTGGAGACAATTCAGAAATAAGGACATGGACTAATTCTTTATGTCTCCAAGAGATTTCTATTTCAGTAATGAATTATTGTCATTTTCATTGCTAGGTCCTGAGTATGACCCTAAGATTATGTAAAATATATCGGAATAGTATGATTATTTGTATTTGCGATTACTATTTTTACTTTTCTGAAAATACTTTCACCTGCTATTATCCTCCAAGTAGCTCTGTAAATAAAATGCAGAGAGGTTTCAGAGTTCTCAAAATTGAGCATGCATCAGAATCACCTGGAGAAATTCTGATTCAATCGGTCTGAAAGGAAACTCAGTAATTCGCATTTTTAACAAGCTGCTAGATGCTACTGCTGCTGGTCCACTGCCCACACTTTGAGTTAGCACTGTTTTAGGGTAGTGGTTCTTAACTTTGGCTACACATTGAATTTATGTGGATGAGAAGATTTTTAAAAAGTATCTGGGGACTCCCAGAGATTCTGATTTGATTAGGTTACGGCACTTACATGTATGTATATGCATTTCTCTACTTACCAGCAAGTTCAAGCATCTACTCATGTCTATTAATCATTTGGATTACCTTTTTTTAGTAAATTACCTGTTTAGAATTTTATCAGTTTTAATTTGGTTGTGTCTTTTTTATTGATTTATACAAACATTTTAACATATTATGAATTAAACCTTTTCTGATTTATATCTGAGAATATTATATCTTAGTCTGTCACTTGGCTCTTATGTAGGAATTTTAATTTTTATTATATCAAATCTACCCATCATTTCCTTTGTGTCTTCTGGATTTTAGTCTTGCTTAGAAAGGCTAACCACAAGATTTAAAATGTTCTTTTATACTTTTCCCTAACATTTTTGTACTTCAGTTTGCTAGTATTTGTTTTCCCATTTATCTACAGATCATTTTTGAAACAAGATCAGACAACTCATTTCCCAGACAGATAGTTCATATGTTGGTATTGAAGTCCCTTCTGCCACTTTCAAAATAAAGAGTTTAAGGGATCTAGATGATATACAAAATCTTTGAGAGAAACAGGCTTCATCATGAGTCTTCAAGAACTCCCCAAATTACCTGTCAAGGCAGCTGCTAACTCTGAAAGGATCAGGACGCTGCAGAATTAGGAATCTGCCCAAAGGGGTTCATGCCTTTCCTCTCTCTTCATGTAATACAAATTTGAATCAGTCTAACTTGGCTTGGTAAAACCTAAATCATTTTTGGAATCCTAGCTACAAGTGAATGTGGGAAATATTGGTTTTGGCTTTCCAGGAAGGCATCCAAGAAGACAGTTGGTCAATCCATGCATGGTATCTGTTACTATGTCACTGACTAGTCAATCATTCTCCTGTATTTTGAAATGCCCTTATTTTCATAAATACATCATAGATATATTTAATGAAAAGATATTTGAGGACAATCAGCAGCCTTTGCCACACCCCATAGCTCTTTCATAATTTGCCATCTGTTTCAGTTAATGTGGTATATGATCTTATTTTTTTCCAAATAAGTAAGGGCAAGGTATGGGGGGAGGGTGGAGAATGTAGAAAATTGCCTCAGGGCACCCTTATAGGCCCTAAAGCCATTTTTTTCTGCCACTGCTAATTGGGGTGACATCATTCTGGGATAATAGGCCAGCTTGATTTTCCAGTTATTAATCTATGTCTATTCTGAAACCCAGACCATTCATTTCATTTTTTAATTTCAGCTATCATATCATATATATAACATATATCATATATATCTCATATATATATATATATATATATTTTTTTTTTTTTTTTTTTTTTTTCTAACAGGGTCTCTGTCACCCAGGCTGGAGTGCAGTGGTGCAATTATGGCTCACTGTAGCCTCAACCTCCTGGGCTCAAGTGATCGTCCCACCTCAGCTTCCCAAGTAGCTGGCTGGGACTACAGATGTGTGTCACCATGCCTAGGTAATTTTTTTCTTTTTGAGATTGAGTCTCGCTCTGTTGCCCAAGCTGGAGTGCAATGGCGTGATCTCGGCTCACTGCAATCTCCACCTCCCGGTTCAAGTGATTCTCCTGCCTCAGCCTCCTGAGTAGCTGGGATCACAGGCACTCACCACCATGACTGGCTAATTTTTGTATTTTTAGTAGAGACAGGTTTCACCATGTTGGCCAGGCTGGTCTCAAATGCCTGACTCAAGCAATCCAGCTGCCTCAGCCTCCCAAAGTGCTGGGATTATAGGCATTAGCCACCGTGCCTGACTTCCTAGCTAATTTTTGTATTTTTGTATTTTTGTGGTGATGAGGGTTTAGCCATGTTGCCCAGGCTGGTCTCAAGCTCCTAAACTCAAGCGATCTGCCTGCCTCGGCCTCCCAAAGTGCTGGATTTATAGGAGTGAGCCACCACACCCAGCCTCAGTTATCAAAATTTTAAATTTCCAAATATATACTCAAAGTTTTTGTACATATGACATCTTCTCATGTTTCTCTGAAGATATTATACATTTCAAATGTCTTCTTCTGATTGTTCTGTAGCTTTGTTTTGTCTAATAATAATTGTAAAAATGGTGCCTCTTTCATGGTAACTTTTTTCAAATGTATGATAATGTGTTAGCTATCTGTTCAATTTTGTATTTTAGAATCTCTCTTCCTTTTGCCTATTTATTTATGGTAGCTGTTCTCTGCCAATTTTGTATAGGGAACAGCACTTATAAGACAAGGGTGTGTGGTTGCTCATCTTTAAAGTGTGGAAGACTGGTGTTCTTCCTGGTGGTCTATTGCTTTCTGGGCCACAATTTAGAACCAGTTGGAGAGAAGAAAGTGGTTGACCAGCCTAGCTACTCTAAATCTCTTATTCTAATTACTCCCCCTGACCAATGTCTCAGTACCCTCCTCCCTACTTCTTGATCTGTTAACTGTAAGTTTGTACACCCTCTCCCCAACTACTACTATTTTTGCCTTTAGCAGATTCCTCCATATGATTTGAGCCGAATTTTCCTTCCATTTGGTTTTTCTGAGATTTAATCTATCTGCATTCTGTCTTTTCTCAACATTTCTGGTTTGTCGATGGCAATTTTTTTTGTTTCTAGGATTTCACCATGTTGACCAGGCTGCTCTTGAACTCCTGAGCTTAGGTTGATCCACCCGCCTTGGCCTCCCAAAGTGCTGGGATTACAGGCATGAACTACCACACCCAGCCTTCTTTTACTTATTTTTATTTTTATTTTTTGGAGATGGAGTTTCGCTTTTGTTGCCCAGGCTGGAGTGCAATGGCACGATCTTGGCTCAATGCAACCTCCGCCTCCTGGGTTCAAGCAATTGTCCTGCCTCAGCCTCCTGAGTAGCTGGGATTACAGGCATGCGCCACCACGCCAGGCTAATTTTGTATTTTTAGTAGAGATGGGGTTTCTCCATTTTGCTCAGGTTGGCCTTGAACTCCCAACCTCAGGTGATCTGCCTGCCTCGGTCTCCCAAAGCGCTGGGATTATAGGTGTGAGCCACTGTACCCGGCCTTTACTTTTTAAAAGTATCTCCTGGCTGGGCCCTGTGGCTCATGCCTGTAATCCCAGCACTTTGGGAGGCCGAGGCAGGCGGATCGCTGGAGCTCAGGAGTTCCAGACCAGACAGGGCAACACGGTGAAACCCTGTCTGTACAAAAAATACAAAAATTAGCTGAGTGTGGTGGTGCATGCCTGTAGTTCCAGCTACTCAGGAGGCTGAGGCAGGAAGATCAATTGGGCCCCAGAGGTGGAGGCAGTGAACCATGTTCCTGCCACTGCACTCCAGCCTGGGTGACAAAGTGAGACCCTGTGTCTCAAAAATAAATAATGATTAAAATAAACAAATAAAATTATCCCCTTTATCATTTCATGAGATTTTAGGTGGTAGGTGGGTTTAGGTGTGTGTGCTTTGTTGGCTATTTTGATCTTATCTGTGTTAGATCAAAACGGTGTGTGTGTTAAATTTTGTGTGTGTGTGTGTGTGTGTGTGTGTGTGTGTGTGTATGCATGAGAGAGAGAGAAGTTTTGCCCTGTTTTTTTGGACTTATTTCTCATATTATTGTTTTCTCTTCTAAATGATTTATCATAAATTCAGAGTTGAAATGAATACTGAATCTCCCATCCAAGTACTAACCAGGTCTGACCCTGCTTGGCTTCCGAGATCACACGAGATCGAGAGTGTTCAGGGTGGTATGGCCACAGACTGAATATTGAATCTTAGTCTTTCTCACATATGTTTTTTTCTCTACTCTCTTTGTTCTGGAAAAAAAAAACCAGCCAAATGAAATAAATATGGTCACATCACACTTGCTGGTATCATTCAGAATGCACCTACTTTTCTAAAATTGATTGTAAAATTGGTGCCTATATAGTAGCTGATTTCGGGATGCTGATCAGGGCTGGGTTGCAGTGGGGTGTTGTGGTTATAAGCATGTTAGAAACCATCAGGCTCTGGGGAATGAACTAACATTAGCCACATTCACAGAGACTCGGTTATAATCCAGAATGCCAATATTTTTCCCTTAGAATACAGGGACCAGTATTGTAAATAGTAGAAAACTGGAGTTGAATCCTGGTTCTTCCATTAGCTTTTTTTTTTTTTTTTTTTTTGAGGCAAGGTCTCACTCCGTCACCCAGGCTGAAGTGCAGTGACGTGATCTCAGCTCACTGCAACCTCTGCCTCCCTGCATCAAGCAATTCTTCTGCCTCAGTCTCTCAAGTAGCTGGGACTACAGGCACATGCCACCACACCCAGCTAATTTTTGTATTTTTTGGTAGAGATGAGGTTTCACCATGTTGGCCAGGCTGTTCTTGAACTCCTGACCTCAAGTGATCCACCTGTCTCGGCCTCCCAAAGTGCTGGGATAAGCCACCGCGCCCGGCCCGCCATTCACTCTTGAGTTGGAATCCTGGTTCCGCCATTCGCTGTCTTTGTTACCTATTATTATTGAATCTGCACTTTTGTCTTCATGAATATTAAATGAAATAAACAATGTGAACTTCTTGGCACAGTAGCTAGTACATAGAAGACATGGAATAAATATTAGCAATGATAATGAAGATGATGATGGCAGTAATCACTAGAGCTCTGCTTTTTTGGTAGCCCTCTTAGTATCAATGAGCCTGGAAAAATAAATTAATAATTCAGATGGATCCTTGGAAACTGTGAAATTAGCAAAGATTGTCTTTATATAAAATATATTTTAAAAATGTAGTTGTAATTATTTAGTCTTTAGTTGTGTTATCATGGGAAAAATAACATTTTGTACTTCAGTTTTCTCATCTGTAAATTGAGGATAATTTCATAGGGTTGGCATGGATATTCAATGAGTAAATACGGTGAAGTGTTTAAAATGGTGACTACCCAGTAGCAGCTCAATTTTTTTTTTTCGGATAGGGTCTTGCTCTGTTGCCCAGGCTGGAGTCCAGTGTAGTGAACATGGCTCACTGTAGCCTCAGACTCCTGGACTCAAGAGATCCTCCCATCTCAAACTCCAGAGAAGCTGGAACCACAGGCACATGCCACCACACCTGGCTAATTTTGGTTTTGTTTTTTTTTTAGAGATGGGTTTTTTCCACGTTGTCTAGGCTGGTCTTGAACTCCTGAGCTCAAGTGCCCTTTCCACCTTGGCCTCCCAAAATGCTGGCATTACGTGTGTGTCACCATGCCCTGCTTTATCCTCGTTTTATTTTTAGTTCGTGATTTTTTATATTATTTTGAAAAACAACCCCCAGCTTAAAAGATGTTATTTTTTTCAACCAACAGTTGGAATACATGATTAGATATAATTTATGTAATAAACAAATATTTAAATGAAGACTATTCTACAAAAATTGGAACATATGGTTACTATAACTACAGTGTACATTTTTAACTAGTTTAAAAATCTTTGTATGTATTTTTTCTCATTGCTCTGCAAGCCAAAAAACAGGTCCACCAAATATACCATCTCTTTGTGAATTCTTACGACCTGATACTATTACTTCAATTGTTTTCAAACGATTGCTCTTTTAATTATCAATGATGGCCAGGTGCGGTGGCTCACACCTATAATCTCAGCACTGTGAGAGGCCGAGGAGGGTGGATCACCTGAGGTCAGGAGTTCGAGACCAGACTGGCCAACATGGAGAAACTCTGTCTCTACTAAAATTAAAAAAATTAACTAGGTGTGGTGGTGTGCACCTGTAATCCCAGCTACTCAGGAGGCTGAGGTAGGAGCATCTCTTGAACCTGGGAGGTGGAGGTTGCAGTGAGCTGAGGTCGTGCCACTGAACTCCAGCCGGGGCAACAGAGCGAGACTCAGTCTCAAAAAAACAAAATTATCAGTGAAACCCTTTTATCAAATAAGATTTCACAAGATACTACAATATGTAAGCAGTCTGGGTTAGGGTCCTTGATCCAGAGCCCTGCGTATTTTTCTCTCCATGAAACCCAGAGCTCCTGGAAACACAGTTTGAATACCTTATTTGTCATTGCTAGTGATACAATCAGTTAAGCAGGTAACAATTTTCTTTATATAATTATTACACGCTGGTTGTGCATTTCTTTTTTTTTTTTTTCTGAGACAGAGTCTCGCTCTGTCGCCCAGGTTAGAGTGTAGTGGCTTGATCTTGGCTCACTGCAACCTCTGCCTCCTGGGTTCAAGAGATTCTCCTGCCTCAACCACCTGAGTAGCTGGGATTACAGGCGCTTGCCACCACGACCGGCTAATTTTTGTATTTTTAGAAGAGACGGGGTTTCATCATGTTGCTCAGGCTGGTCTTGAACTCCTGACCTTAGGTGATCTGCCCACTTTGGCCTGCCAACGTGCTGGGATTACAGGCGTGAGCTACTGCACTGGGCCCTGGTTGTGCATTTCTAATGATATACTCTAGTTATTATTTTACACTTGGAAACAATTTTGGGAAACGGTTTTATCAATGGTATATTTACAAATCATATCTTAGGGTTGGCTGCTTTTACAGAGGGTTGTTACAGACATTTTATATGCATTATTTTTAGCTTCATTTACAGAGGATGACTTTTTATTTTACCTTTCCCAAATCAGGTTATACCATATTTAGAATCTACGTTTCCTCATGAACCTGCCCTGGTCAATATTACCACGAAAAAAAAACAGATCATAAGAGTATTTCATGAAAAAGTGTTCTCTTATCAAACTTATTGGTGAATAATTTACACACATTTTTCATGTTTAAAGTGTACAACTTAGCGATGACAGTTGTATACACCTGTGAACTTGTCACTACCATCAAAACAGAGAAAATTTCCATCGTCCCCCTCCAAAAATATTTTTTCTGCTCATTTGCAGTTTATCCTTCCCTCCACTCCTGGCTCCAGGCAATTACTAATCTGGGTTTTGTCATTATAGGTTAGTTTGTACTTCATATAAGTGGGATTATACAATATGTTTTGTCTCTAGCTTCTTCAACTCAGCATACCGATTTTGAGAGTTATCCATATTGAGTCCTGTGTGAGAGTATTTCTTCTTTTTTATTGTTGAGTAGTATTGCATTGTATAAATATACCACAATTTGTTTTTTCATTTACATGTTGTTGGACAGTTGGGTTCCTTCTGGTTTGGGGCTTTTGTGAAAAACAGCTGCTATGAGCATTCCTGTTCAAGTTTTTGTGTAAGCATATGTTTTAATTTCTCTTGGATAACATCTAGGAATGAAATGGCTGGGTCATATGTTAGATGTATGTTTACCTTTTAAGGAAATATTTTGCTTTATTTTGTGAGAACTTACTTAACTCCCCTTGCATATCTAGATAAATAAGTATCAGATAAGGATACTAAATTTACCAGATTCTCTAGGTGGCAGGTGGGAAAAATCAGATAAGAATACTAAATTCACCTGATTCTCTAGGTGGCAGGTGGGAAAAATTCCTTATCTTCCCTCTCCATGGCCCACCTACTTTCATAGTTCATTGCTCGTCCAATTTGTTTGAGTTCTTAAAATAATTTCAACTTCCCCCCTTTATTTTTTCTATTGTTACCATCTCAGGGTTGGTTGGGTGCCTATTCTGTATTGGATATTGTGTTAGGCGCAGAAGGGGCACGTGGGACTTTGAGTTAAAGGGGCAGCAAAACCTTGTTCTGTTCTCTGGACTGAGTTGGACAGACCACAACTACGGATTATGCTTCAGGCAAAGTATGTGAGAACTCTTGAGGCAGCATTCCATTTACCTGACTCACATGCGAGAGAAAATATCCCACTTTTGTTTGAGTGTGGGCTTTAGTTATATATTTATTTTAATCAGGTGTGGCTGTTAAAGGAAAAGGAAGCAATCCGTGAAACAAACGGAAAAAAAAAGAGTAGGGGAGAGAAACAAGTCTTCCTTTAATAACGTATACCTTTCCTTTTGACCAGCAGGTCCCAAAGTGTGGTACCCAGACTAGTAGCACCAGTTTTCGCTGAGAACATGTTAGAAATGGGAACTGTCGCGCTACGCTCCAGACCTAACTGAATCGGAAACTCAGTTTCCGGGTTTGGGATCTGTGATTTAAAAAGCTCTCCAGGTGATTCTGATCCACGCTCAAGTTTGAGAACTGCTGTGCTAAACTCATTCCCAGGGTGTAGGTGGTCATCTTTAGACTTGGGTAACTGTGGGCGGTAGAGATAACGTTGCCGCAGCGCCCGTCCACCTCTCCCCATCCACGCTCCCAGCGCCTGCAACTCCTCTTTCACCCTTAGCCTAAACCCAGGTTCTGGGCTTCCCTTTCCCTCCCCTGGGAGCCGCAGGCAAAACGCGGCAAGTGGATTCAGAGTTTGCGGGCCCGGGTGCCGGCCGAGCATGCGCAGTGGCGCGAGCGCAGCGGCTACGCGGGCGCGGAGAGGTAGCCGCAGAGTGGACCTGCAGGTACTTGGATCTCCAGTGGGAGCTGCCCTCTCGAAGGCAGGACAGCGGTGGCGGCAGGTACGCGGGGGTGGGGATAGGGCCCAAAAGGAAGGCTGGACAGACAGATGGAAAGCGAAGCGTTACTCCTTTGGGGGCGCGCGGCGGCTCGGGGGCAGTATCTCCGGGTCCCCTCGCTCGCGTCTCGTCTCCTGGCTGTGCAGTGTGGCGCCCGCCGTCCTCTGGGCACGCTTCTGCCCAGTCCCGGCAGGCAGTGCCCGCAGGTGTTAAATCGCGTATTTACACTGCTTAAACAATAAGCCTGTTAACTGAATTGTGATTCTATGCAATGAAATAAGGTATTTCATTAAGTTTTCTTCTTTCAACTTTGGGTGGCTGCCGGTGAGGCTTTCTGAACCAGCCTGTTTTGTTTTAATTCTGGGACTGGTTTATTTGCCTTTGGCCTTTTGGTGCATAGGATCAATAGGGCTGTAGTGAAATCCCATCCGTGCTGTTTTTGGTACCTTTCCTGGAGCATAGGGACCTCTGGATGCGGCATAAAAATGTCAGTTTTCAGCGAATTTCACTGCCAAAAAACTTTCCGTGTTTCAGCTGCATTTTCAAGTGGAGACTTAAAAAAATTTAAGATTTCTCCCTAACTTTTCAATTATTACTGTATTTCGGTCTTCATTTGGTACTATTAAAAGGAAGCGGTCGTTTAGATGAGTAACAGAATTCTCACTTTTCCTCCTTTACTTACTTACTATGTCACATTTTATGGCTTATACCGTGATATCTTTCCCTCCAGCCACGGTGTTGGATACACTTGTATGAGGCTTCAGCTGTGCTGCATAAATTTCTTGAAGAACCTGTGAGCCAGAAGCAAAATTTCAGGACAGGGGGCACACACTGAACTTGAAGCAAGTACTTTTACACCCCCCACCACCTTTGTAATCAGCTTTCCTTTAAGTTGAATTATGTAATGAAATTCTATAGTAAAGTGTTAATGTGTAATGTGGAGGCATATATATATATAGAGAGAGAGGTAGTAAGTTTAGGAAGAGGAAATTTTAAGTTCAGGAAGAGAAACCTATATGGAAAGGGAATACAGGTATCCTGCCCCCCTTCATTCCTCCCATGATAAATGTTTTAATGGCAGAAATAATATACAGCTGGTCTAGTTTTGGCTGTAGAGACCTTTGAGGTCAGCCAGTTCAGCTGCTTCAGTTTACAAATGAGAAAACTGAGACCAGCGAGGTTAGATGACTTGCTGTGGCCACCCAAGCCCCTCATTGGCAAAGCTAGGCCTGGGATCCAGGTTTTCTCATTTTCTGGGGTCTTTTTACCACTCCCTGCAGATACTCTTCTTTACCTCCATTATTAAACTTCCTTTTTCTCTTCTACTTATACCATGAAGTCTGGCTTAAGCAGAAAATTAGTTGTTTCTCTTACTAAGCTTCCTAGTACCTCATAAATTCCTTTCAAAAAGTGCCCTTTCACTGAAGCCCCACCTAACAATTTGCTGGTCCTGAAAACGCCCTCCTTCCTTCCCTCAGTCACCTGGGCCCTTTGCCCAAAATGCCTGTTTGCCTCCCTCTTTCCGTATTGAAGTCCTGCTCATGCTGCAAGGTGTAGCTCAGGTGTGACCTCTTTTTGGAAGCCTTCCTTGATTGCCTTAGCATGAAGTAGCTCTCCCTCTTCTGAACCCTATAGCACTTACTACTGTTGTTTGTGCTGTTAGTATCCCCATTGTATATAGTATCCTGAGTATTTTAGCACCTCCCAACTTCCCGACCAGGAAGTTGGCAGGTTGTGTAAGCTCTTGGAGGTTAAAGCCTATGACTTAAACATCCCACCCAGCACTAAGCACAAAGTATATTCTTAGCCCCTGTTTGTGGGAGGGAGTGGGGGAAGGAAGTGCAGTATGTATAGTTTTGTAAAGAGATTTCATGTGTGTTCTATAATATGGGGAAGGCCATGTTAGAGCTGTATCAAGACAGCAGCCAAGTCCATTTCTGATTCCTCATATTTTGATAACAGATCACAGATTAGTTAGGGGGATTACAGGAGACAGGCGTAAAAACACGGGTCAGTTGGTCCAGGCCCTGGATTAAGCCTGTGACTCAAAGTGGAGAAAAGAGGGCACAGAATTAAGAAATGTAAAGGAAGAAGCATGTGGTGAAAGACTAAATGCAGAGAAGGAAAGACATGTTGAAAATGAATTTCAGGGTTGGGGTGTTAGTAATGGGTTTATAATGTTCTTTTTATCTTAAAAGTACCTCCAATTGGCTGGGTGTGGTGGCTCACGCCTGTAATCCCAGCACTTTGGGAGGCCGAGGTGGGTGGATCACAAGGTCAGGAGATTGAGACCATCCTGGCTAACACGGTGAAACCCCATCTCTACTAAAAATACAAAAAATTAGCTGGGGGGGCATGGTGGTGGGCGCCTGTAGTCCCAGCTACTTGGGAGGCTGAGGCAGGAGAATCGCATGAACCCGGGAGGCGGAGCTTGCAGTGAGCCAAGATTGTGCCACTGCACTCCAGCATGGGCGACAGTGCAAGACTGCATCTGAAAAAAAAAAAAAGTACCTCGAATTGTGACATTGTCTCTGTTTCTTAGTTAGTGATGTAATTGTCTTATTTCCCGTTCTAGATGATAAGCTCTCTGAAGGATGACCTTTAACCCTTCACAATACCTGGCACATTGCTTTGCAGTATCAGACACTCAATAGTTATTACATGAATGAATGAATAAATAAATAAATAAATAAATAAATAAATAAATAAAAAGTGCATTTTGCCATGGGGAGGGTGGGCATTTAGGATCTTAGAGCTATATGGTAGCGCTTTATCCAGACTATCCCCTAATTGTATAGAGGAGGGACTCAGATATTCTTTTTTTTTTTTTTTTTTTTTTTTGAGATGGAGTCTCGCTCTGTCGCCCAGGCTGGAGTGCAGTGGCGCAATCTCGGCTCACTGCAAGCTCCGCTTCCCAGGTTCACGCCATTCTCCTGCCTCAGCCTCCCGAGTAGCTGGGACTACAGGCGCCCGCCACCGCGCCCGGCTAATTTTTTGTATTTTTAGTAGAGACGGGGTTTCACCTTGTTAGCCAGGATGGTCTCGATCTCCTGACCTCATGATCCACCCGCCTCGGCCTCCCAAAGTGCTGGGATTACAGGCGTGAGCCACCGCGCCCGGCCAGATATTCTTAACTAAGCTAGTTAGTGGGATAGCCAGAAGCTCTGTTCAAATTTCCTCATTACTAGACCCAAGCTCTTTTCATTAACTATTACTTTTTGAGGTTGTTGGCCCCACGATTATTTTTATTTATTTATTTATTTTTTGAGACAGGGTCCCACTCTGTCACCCAGGCTGGAGTGCAGTGGCACGATCACTGCTCACTGCAGCCTTGACCTCCCCGGGCTCAAGTGATCCTTCCCACCTCAGCCTCCCAAGTAGCTGTGGCCACAGGCACGTGCCACCATGCGTGGCTAATTTTGTATTTTTTTGTGTTTAGAGATGGGGTCTCACTATTTTTCCCAGGCTGGTCTTGAATTCTTTGGCCTGCCTCAGCCTCCCAATGTGTTAGGATTACAGGCCTGAGCCACCATGCTCAGCCTCCCAAGATTAATTTGAGTTGGTAGCAAGACACTCCAGTTCAAGATGTTCTGTGGACTGAAAGCCCTCAGAAACCAATCTAAGGGGGAAATTTGGTGGTCGATGAGAGAATGTGTGTGTCATCGGAAGAGGTGAAACACAAGGCTGCTGGCCAGTTCAAGGTTGAGTGTACACAGTGAGGAGGGAGTGAGGCTGGGGTCCTAGGAATCTTCACACTGGGGAGTTGAAGTCTGGAAAGGTCATGGTAGCTTAGCTTGTCAGAGGCAGACACAAATGGGTTGGCCCAAAGTCCTTGGGACTGAGAGTCTATTTCCTAGATATATTGTACACTACCAGGAGGTGGTGAGCAATGGCTTTGGAGAGGGTAGGCCAGGTGCAGTGAGGGTAGGCCAGGAGGGTGGCACCAAAGGGTGGTGTTTATGACCCAAGAACATGGGGGTGAGGTAAGGCTGAGAGAGAGACAATTGTGATCAGATTCTACCTGGAAAAACAAGACAGAAAGCAGTGCTGCTGAATCCAAACTTCCAGTTCAAGAGGTGGTTTGGAATATTTGTTTACTTGGAACAGATGTTGCATTTTGCAAATCATAGCCATTTTGCAAATCAAAACACAGCCTTTCCATTGAGCTGCACACAGCGATGAGGGAGCTGTTGGATGCCACATCCTTGCCATTGACTTGCACACTGTGGTTGACCACCATCTTCATATTTCCACAGGCAACGATGGTCCATTAAAAATGTCAAGGAGAGAGAGAGCAGTTGAGAGGAGAGACAGAACAAATGAGCTTGAGAAATGGCTAGCAGTGGGGAAGGGAAGGGTTGGCCTGGTTTCATATATATATATATATATATATATATATATATATATATATTTTTTTTTTTTTTTTTTTTTTTTTGAGACGGAGTCTCGCTCTGTGGCCCAGGCGGGAGTGCAGTGGCGCAATCTCGGCTCACTGCAAGCTCCGCCTCCCGGGTTCACGCCATTCTCCTGCCTCAGCCTCCCGAGTAGCTGGGACTACAGGCACCCGCCACCACGCCCGGCTAATTTTTTTTTTATTTTTAGTAGAGACGGGGTTTCACTGTGTTAGCCAGGATGGTCTCGATCTCCTGACCTCGTGATCCGCCCGCCTTGGCCTCCCAAAGTGCTGGGATTACAAGCATGAGCCACCGCGCCCGGCCTATATTTTTTATATATATATGTTTTTCATGATGACGTTAGTGAAAATTGATTAGGCAGATGCAAAATCAGGTAGTATGTTGAAGTTAATGTCTCATACACTTAAATGTCCAAATATTAAATCCTAGAATTTACCATGGCCCTTTGTAAAATGACAAATATCTTTCTTAAAATAATAATAGTAATATTAGTAACTAGTATTACAGAATATCTTCCATGAACCAGGCACTATACTAAATACAAGTAATATATCATTTCATCTTTATAAACCATCCTGTGAGATAGGTGCAACAATTACTCATTTATTTTTAATTTTTATTTTTTAAAAACAGGGTTTCAGTCTGTCACCCAATCTGGAGTGGAATGGCACAGTCATAACTCACTGTAACCTTGAACTCCTGGGCTCAAGCAGTCCTCCCGCCTCAGCCTCCCAGGTGTGGACCAACGTGCCCGGCTTATTAAAAAAAATTTTTTTATAGTGATAAGGTCTTGCTATGTTGTCTAGGCTGATCTCAAACTTTTAGCCTCAAGCAATCCTCCCACCTCAGCTTCCCGAAGCCCTGAGATTACAGGCATGAACCACTGCACCTGACCTACCCTCATTTTCTAGATGAGAAAATTGAGGCTTAGAGAGATAGATAAAAGCATTTATCTGAGGTCATATAGTTTACAAGTGGCTGAGCTGAGATTTGACCCCAGGCCTATCTGACTTTATACACTGAGCGCTCAAATAACTTAATCAAATATCTTAACAAAAATGCAAAGCTCTTTCTGAGGTAACTCTAACAGATGCTTAGAATAGCCACAGGTTTCAGCTGGTGGAACCACCAACATTCTTTGAGCCACATTTAAAAAAACCAAAACAACAGTGGTAAATCGTTCCGGTTTTTTTTTTTTTTCATTCCACTTAGTCTTTATCTCCTTTTCTCTTGAAGCATTCCTAGAGAAAGGGACAGCAGCTTTTTCTCTGGGTACACCATTAAAGCCACTTCTGATCTGCTCCCACCCTCTTTTGGGGTGGAGCTGTGATTGGGGAGTGAGTTGGTGGTCATCCAGGGCGTGTCTGTGGAGTTGGCAATGGGAAACTGGGAAGCTCACCTTGTGTAGGAGCCTAAGAACTCTGGAGTGACCAGGTATAAGGATTTCTTTCCCTGGGGTGTCAGGATCCACTGCTGGAAGCTCCTGGAATATCTATGGATCATGACTCTAATCTTAGGCCTTTGAACTATGGCCATAAACCCCCAGGAAGAATCCAGGTGTGAACACATTCTCCCCCAATTTTTAAGATTGGGGAGTTGTGAAGTCCCTGTGGACTAATTGGAGGTGGGTGTGGATACCTCAGGAAAGGCCCCAGGTCAAAGACAAATAATTTAAAGGCCCCCCCCACCCCATAGGCCCCAGCTTTGACCTGTGAGAAAATGTGCTCCTCTCCCTCCTCTTGATGAACCTAATTACATAGAGAACTTACTCTCCTGGGAGTCTCAAAATGGAACTCAGCTGAGAGCGTGCTTCCCTCCCTTGCTGCCTGAGCTCTCTTTCCATTTCCTGGTTCTGCTTTACCTTCCCCTGAGTGGTTCTGTGTTCCCAGGATATGAAAGGCAGGGCCGCAGCTTCTGGCTTCACCGGGCTAATTTTTGTATTTTTAGTAGAGTCGGGGTTTCACCATGTTGGCCAGGCTGGTCGCCAACTCCTGACCTCAAGTGACTCGCCCGCCTCAGCCTCCCAAAGTGTTGAGGCTGAGGCCACCTCTGGCCCTCATTCTCTCAACATTCAAAAGCTTGTCACTTCATCCAGTTCCGAATTAACATTTTACTCTGGCTGATGATGAACGTCGGGGAGAAAGAGACATTTGTGCTGCATACGGGTTTATTGGTTATAAAATGGTTATACAATTTTGATTGCTGGAAACTTTGCTGACATGTAAGGTCACATGAGATGTGAGGCTGTTCAACTTTGATCATCTGATTTCTTTTTAGCACTGTGTCTGAAAGTGCCTATGTGCCGTTTTTGGTGAGACATATGTAGCATGGCTTCTGTAAAGGCACGTTGCTTTTTATTATAGTAATATTGTGGGCACAGAAAGGGTGAGGAGTTAGATGATTGGGAGAGTTTTTTCTTACTTAAAACACTTGTTTCATCAGAAAATATTTCCTAGCAGAGTTAGACATAGCTTTGTTCATAAAGTCCAGTGGTGAAGGGACTTCAGACTTTACGATAAACTAAATTTTATGATTGACTTTTGTGAGCAATTCACAGCTATAAAACTACGAGACTGGCTGGGCATGGTGGCTCACGCCTATAATCCCAGCACTTTGGGAGGCTGAGGCAGGTGGATCGCTTGAGCTCAAGAGTTCAACACCAGCCTGGGCAACATGGCAAAACATCGTCTCTACAAAAAAATTATCTGGGCATGGTGGCGCGTGCCTGTAGTCCCAGTTACTTAGGCTGAGGTGGGAGGATCATTTTGAGCCCAGGAGATTGAGGCTGCAGTGACCTGAGATTGTGCCACTGCACTTTAGCCTGGGTGACAAAGTGAAACCCTGCCTCAAAAAAAAAAAAAAATACCTACAAGAACATCTGGGTGATAACTCACTGCACACAGACATGCCTCCTTCAAAAGATCCAAGCTGACCACAAAAAAAAAGGAGAAACTGTCTTTTCTTGATAGTAAATTGGATGGAGACATTAGTAAGGTAGAAGGTGTCTGAGGGGCTTCTTCATGATAAAAAGCAAAAGGTTTTGGGGTGTCACTGACCCAAAATATTAGCAGAAATCAGATTTACTCTATTATTGAGGAACACAATACATTAAATTGTTTATAGATCCAGTTTCAAGAAAGAAGATGTTTATATTAAAAAAATGACAAAAGCTCCTTCAATTTTTTTGAGAACTAAGAAATAAGAGATTTTAGCAGTACTGCCAAAATAGAATTTGGATTTGAATTTAAGACACTGGTAAATGTGTGTGGAAGGATCGGTCTTGTTAATTACACCTTGGACCAAGGGCTGCTTGGAATGAATAAAAGAGGGGGAAAGGTTTAGACAAGTAGAATCTCTAGGTTGATATCAAGTTAGTATTTATAATCTTTGTAAATAAACCAAAACCTCTCAAAGACTCCTGCTGTCTCTTCCTGGAGAGCACTCTGAATTCTTTCCTGGCGGTCTCCCTTTTCCTTCCCCTCTCCCCAGGTTTAAGATCATTGGGACATCCTTTTGGTCAAGGAAATGTTTCTAAGAGTGACCTAGTTATTGGAATTTTAAGTGTTAATCAGGTCAGTGAGGTGCCATCTGTGAAACACAGCTCACCAAAACCCAATGTTTTTCATCAGAAGTTGTCATGGAAGTGAGTTGATTTTGGAAAAACAACAATAATAGCAATTTGCTTGATCCCTTTCTTATCCTCAAATAGCCAAATTAAATTCAAGATTATTGGCCAGGTGCAGTGGCTCACGCCTGTAATCCCAGCACTTTGGGAGGCCGAGGCAGGCGGATCACGAGGTCAGGATATTGAGACCATCCTGGCTAACATGGTGAAACCCCGTCTCTACTAAAAAATACAAATAATTAGCCAGGCGTGGTGGTGGGTGCCTGTAGTCCCAGCTACTCAGGAGACTGAGGCAGGAGAATGGCGTGAACCCGGGAGGCAGAGCTTGCAGTGAGCTGAGATCACGGCACTGCATCTCCAGCCTGGGCAGCAGAGCAAGACTCCGTCTCAAAAAAAAAAAAAAATTCAAGATTATTATCAGTGGAAAAAGGAAATCTGAAAATCTCTGAATGTTTAGTGGTCAATTAAAATGAGTCTTAGGGCAATTTAAAGTTTAGATACCTGAAACCAGTTGGCCTATGATCAGAACCATGGATGAGAAGTCAAAGTCTGTGATTCTGTTTCTGACCCCATGAGAAGGAAGGCCTTCTCTTCAGCTGTAGGTTTGATAATTAAACAAGATAGTGGATGTGAAAGTAACTAGTCAACTACAAGATAGAGGAAAGGCATTTATTGATGTTTAAAAAAGCTTTCTGATTTTACTTCCTTTCACTGATAAGTGGCCAAGACTTAGAGAATGACTTGCCTGCTGGAGGTTGCCTGATTTGAAACTGCCAGAAATTAAACTCATAACTGTGTCTTATAATTTCAACATTTGAAAAAATGTCAGGGTTAATTTTTTTGAGACAGAGTCTTGCTCCGTTGCTCAGGCTGGAGTGAGGGGCACAATCTTGGCTCACTGCAACCTTTCGCCTCCCGGGTTCAAGTGATTCTCCTGCTTCATCCTCCCCAGTAGCTGGGGTTACAGGCATGTGCCACCATGCCCAGCTAATTTTTGTATTTCTAGTAGAGACATGGTTTCTCCATGTTGTCCAGGCTGATCTCGAACTCCTGACCTCATGGGACTTCAGTCTAGCTCCAAATCTAGTGCTCTTGCAGTCAATTCATATTTTCTTCTGTTACTGACCATATGAAATAATTCCTCTATGAAATTTATGTGCAATTTTTATAAAAGTCTAAATGTATTTTATGGCTAACCCTCAACTATGGAGCATATTAACATTAAAATGAGTTCTTGAAATAAGAGTTGATTAACATGGGAAAATATCCATCTCTTTCATCTTGAACAAAGTAGTTTTGTTTTAAAACTTATACTTCCTGCTAATGTACATCTGGAATGTGTAGGATAAAAGATTAAACTTTCTAAATATTTTACAAAGTTATATTCTCCCTATGTGATATATATTGTTCTGTGGGAGACTAAGCCTTAATTGAAGTATTTCTGCAAGGTTACTATAAGCATTTCTCATACCACTAGGACAATAAATAATGGGAGAACCCAAAACATTGTAATTTTCTAGTAATTCAGAGGAAATAACTGAATCCTGAAACATTGTACAAAAGGGTACACAATGATACCCATTTTTGCATGTTAATGTATTATTAAATATCAGTGGGAATAGTCTGCATGCTATTTCACATCTCAGGCACACTTAAGGAAGACCTTGTGATGTGCATGTTGCTCATTTAATCTAGAAAGGATACCAAGATTCATTTAGAACTTCTTTATGCACAGTTTTTTTTTGAGTATGTTATGTCCTGAGGCATTAAGGGTATTACTAAAGCAAGCAGCGGGACTTCTCAGAGAAATTAAAGGTTTCATATCAACCACACGTTGTCAAAATCTTCACTTTGAATAGGATTAAATGATGTTTCATCAGTATTCTTGGCACACATGACATTGTTTTTAAAATAACAGTTTTATTACTCTTGGCTGTGACAGTTTCTCAGACTTTCCTTAATATCATACAATTCTCCAATTTAAACTGTATAGTCAGTTTTACAATATTTTAATTACCCTGTATTCATTAGCACTTTCCTCATTTTCTACTACCTCCTCCCCAGCTGCCCCTACCCTAGGCAATGCCAAATCTACTTTCTGTCTATATATTTGCCTATTCTTGAAA
Source organism: Homo sapiens (assembly GCF_000001405.40). NCBI lineage: Eukaryota > Metazoa > Chordata > Mammalia > Primates > Hominidae > Homo > Homo sapiens. Next base: position 142,606,673 of record NC_000003.12, read on the forward strand.
TTTCAAATAAATGGAATCGTATAATATGTGGCCTTTTGCGTCTGGCTTATTTCACTTAGCACAATGATGTCAAGGTTCATTCATGTTGTAGCACATATCAAGACTTCTTTTCATAGGTGTGCATAATATGCCATTGTGTGGACATATCACATTTTATGTATTCATCCTTCAGTTCATAGACATTGGGGTTGTTTCTTCTTTTGGGCTATTATGAATATTGTTGCTGTGAACTTATGTGCACTGGTTTATTAGGGGCATTTATTTTCATTTCTCTGGGCATATACCTAGAAGTGGAATTGCTGGGTCATATCACTTAGCATTTCGAGGAACTGCCAAACCGTTTTCTGGAGCAGCTGCACCATTTTACATTCCTACCGGCAATGAATGGAAGTTCCTGTTTGTCCACATCCTCACCAGCACTTTATTATCTGTCTTTTAAATTATGGCCGTTTTAATACATGTGAAGTAAGTATCACATTGTAGTGACTTAAAAAAAAACCAATAGACTTTATCTTTTAGAACTGTTTCAAATTTACAAAGAAATGAAGCAGATGAAACAGTGCTCCCATATACTCCCACACTGACATACTGTTACCCTATTATTAACATATATATATATATTTTTTGAGACGGAGTCTCGCTTTGTCACCAGGCTGGAGTGCAGTGGTGCGATCTCGGCTCACTGCAACCTCTGCCTCCTGGGTTCAAGCGATTCTCCTGCCTCAGCCTCCTGAGTGGCTGGTACAGGCATGTGCCACCACGCCCAGCTAATTTTTGTATTTTTAGTAGAGACGGGTTTCACCATGTTGGCTAGGATGATCTTGATCTCTGGACCTCATGATCCACCCGCCTCGGCCTCCCAGAGTGCTGGGATTACAGGCGTGAGCCACTGCTCCCGGCCGTATTATTAACATCTTACATTAATTAGTATGACATGTTTGTTATAATTAATGAACTGATCTTGTTATATTATTATTAACTAAAGTCCTTAGCTTATTCATATTTCCTTTGTTTTTAGCCAAAATCCCTTTTCTGTTCCAGGATCCCATCCAGGATACCACATGACATTTAGTTACTGTGTCTCCTTAGGCTCCCCTTGGCTGTGACAGTTTCTCAGACTTTCCTTGTTTTTTGATGATCTTGAGAGTTTTGAGGAATAGCAATCAGGTACATTGTGGAATGCCTCTATGTTGGAATTTGTCTGAATTTTTTTTTTTTTATCATTAGCCTGTGGTGACATTGATTTTTAGTATTCAGGGCAACTTGATCAGAATTGGAAATCAGCAGAATGTGGTTGGTGGGAAATTATTTTAATTTATTTTTATTTTTAAAATTTATCCTATTTTATTTATTTTTAGAGACAGGGTCTGCCATGTTGCCCATGCTGGTCTCAAACTCCTGGGCTCAGGCAGTTCTCCTGCTTTGGCCTCCCAAACTGCTGGGATTATTATAGGCATGAGCCACCCACTATGCCTGGCTGGGAAACTCTTAGGAATTTTAAAAATTCAGTTGCCTCTGGAAGATGAGCAGACATTTAACTTAAGATATGTTTTCCTAACAAGAGCTTGATCACATTGGAAGATGATCAAATTCGGTAGTGGAGTTTATCTTCATGACTGTTATGAGACAGCATCTAACCTAAAGGTAAAGCCAAAGATACATTTTTCACTGCTTTAAGAGAATGTTGTTTTGCTTGTAATAAAACATAAAGTTAATAGAAATTCACATTAACTTTTAGAATTCCATAGTACTATGGCAGCAAGCATCCAATGTATATTGAGTACTTCCACCTACATCAATCCCAGTAATTCTCAAAATGCTTTGTGAAGGGAGTAGGAACTGAGGCTCAAAGAGGCTGTGTCATTTGGTCTGAGACTCACATAGCTTGTCAGTAGAAGAGATGAGATTTGAACTCAGGGCTGTGGAAGCCTATACTCTGCTGCCTGCCAGACTCCAGAGTTTCCAGTGGTTTTAAATCATGAATGTATCAAAGGACACAGGCTTGAGTCCTTATCTTACTGGATATTTTTACTGCCAGCCAAAGGAGATAGTATGTCTCTGTGTTTAAGGCCCCACTGAAATTGGTTGGTCCGGTTAACAGCATACCTGTTGACTGCTAACAAAGGGAAACTAAGCCAGCTTTGCCTGGGGCACTAATTCCTGCCACATGTCTTCTGAAAATGCAGCCTGAGGGTCATAAAGCAGGCAATGAGCTATGTGGGAGAACAACATTAGCTGAGTATGTTTGCCAGCAGTTACATTGCTCAATGTATGTCTTAGTTACTTCTCAAGTTTTTTCAATAAGTGAGTGTCAGAGAGGATTTAATTTTAAATATTTATCTTTAAATTGGAGTAGATGTGGTAATACTGTGTGAATGCACTTGAAATGGAATAATAAAGTTGCATAGATAGTTGTCTGAGGAAGGTTTGGAAAATTTCCCTGCTTATTCAGCTAATTTTTGTAAACTGCCCAAGATGATTGATCACAGATTAATACAAAGTTTCTTTCTATACTACCAAAATATCAGACTTTATGTATTAGTCAGGATAGAGTAGTCTGTGCTGCAGTAACAAATTAACTGTGACATCTCCATTACTGTCTTGCTCATGTAAATGTCAGTGTTTATTGGCTGTTCTCCAGGGCAGCTCACCTATATGCAATGACTCAGAAATCCAGGCTGCTGTGATTTTTGTGACTTTGCTTTCCTAACATGGGGCTTTCAAGTGGTCCCACCAGAGGAAGGGGAACTGGATGATCACGTACAGCTCTGAAATGCTTTGGCCTAGAGTGACAAATATCACTTTGACTCACAGCCTGTTGGCTAGAACTAAGCTCATCACCCTGCTTAATAGCAAGGGCCTAGAAATAAGAGGGAGCACATAGGTATTCAGTGAACAATAAATGTCTTTTGCATCCCTGGTTTTAGAGCAACAGAAGCAGTTAAATCGTTTGCCAAAGTCTCTTCTGTAGAGATAGAAAAGTGGACTGAATATTTAGTGATAATTACTTGATAAAAAATTGTAAGTGAATTTTGCCGTAAACTATTAACATTTGCAATAATTTATGTATAGCTGATTTAGCAACCTGATTTCCATTTGTGGATATGGTTATACCTTCTAAGGGTATAACAATAAAGTTAGCTTCTTTTACATTATAATACTTCAGCTGATGGTGCTGATGATCAAAGCTTGTATGTATGTATGTATTTATTTTGAGATGGAGTCTTGCTCTTTCGCGCAGGCTGGAGTGCAGTGGTGCCATCTTGTCTCACTGCAATCTCCACCTCCCTGGTTCAAACGATTCTCCTGCCTCAGCCTCGCGAGTAGCTGGGATTACAGGCACAGGCCACCATACCCAGCTAATTTTTGTATTTTTAGTAGAGCTGGGGTTTCACCATGTTGGCCAAGCTGATCTCGAATTCCTGACCTCAGTTGATCCATCCGCCTCGGCCTCCCACAAAGCTTGTATTTATTAAGTATCTCCTATGTGCCAGGTACTCTAAGTGTTTTATATGAATTACGTTAATTTAGATTGGGCAGTGCAGTTTCATCTCTATGGTAAATATTCTCCAGTTCCATCAACTTGCCTTGTTTGAATGGTGCCTAGATTAGACCCATCACCGTGCAGATAGCTCCCCTCTAGAAACCAGATTGTCACTAAATTACCTTAAAAATAATGCTCCGTAGGTTGAATGTGACACTGTGGATATTGTCTAACTAGCACAGAGTACAGTAAGATCTAACATTTACTGTGATTCGGATCATACTTAAATATAGCAGCTTAAGACTTTGTAAACCTTTTAAGCAGCCATATCTAAAAATAAGCTTAAGGTGAACTAAGCCCATAGGATGTTTTTTTAATATAATTTTTTCCCAAATGAATTTTCCTGTGTTTTTGTGATTCTAATATTGTCTTAAAATGGATATATTTGATGAATGTAGAATTCTCTTGTTAGTTTGTCCTTTTGATGTCCCCTTTCCCTACTCTCTTCAGTGTGGCCTCAAATTCCACCATTAGAATGATAGGATGACAAAGACTCTCGCTGGGCCACACAGACTGGGGCAGTCCTCTCTTACTCAGTTTTCAAAAAGGCTCTTGGTTGTTTGAGCACAACTATCTTTACCACATATGAGGAGCCCCATCTCAGGCTTTTCATGTTGATTCCACATTCATTCATCAAAAAGCTGAACACAATTTTGGGCCCAGGCACTGAGCTAGGCCTCATCTGTCTCTACCATTGTAGAGCTAACAGTCTAGACCAGAAGTTGGCAAACTTTTTCTGTAAGGGGCCAAGTAATAAATATTTTAGGCTTTGTGTTTCATGTGGTCTCTGTCTCTGCTACCTAACTCTGCCCTTGTAGCATGAAGGCTGCTATAGACAATATGTTCACGAATAAGCATAGCTGTCTTCCAATAAACTTTATTTGTGGGCACTGAAATGTTAATTTCTTGTAATTTTCCCTTGTCACAAACTATTATTCTTTTGATTTTTCTCTTAGCTGTTTAAGAATGTAAAAACTGTTTTTAGTTCACAGGTTATATGCAAGCAGGCAGTGGACCAGATTTGGCCTTCAGGCTGAGTTTGTCAACCCCTGGTCTAGAATGAGCTCTGTGTTATTTTATTCTCACAAATACATAGTGAACTGCCTTAATAATTACTTAAATTGGTCAAGCATGGTGGCTCATGTCTGTAATCCCAACACTTTGAGAGGCCGAGGTGGGAGGATCATCTGAGGCCAAGAATTCAAGACCAGCCTGGGCTACATAGTGAGATCTTGTCTCTACAAAAAATTTAAAAATTAGCCAGATATTGTGGCATGTGCCTGTAGTCTTAGCTACTCAGGAGGCTGAGACAGGAAGGCCACTTGAGCCCAGGAGTTTGAGGCTGCAGTTAGCCATGATTGTACCACTGTACTGCAACCTTGGCAACAGAGCAATACCTTGTCTCCCCAAAATTTTTTAAAAATAGTACGTATATAGTATTATATATAGTATGTATGTAGTGTTATATAGTATGTACATACTATATACATAAGCGCACACACATATTGCTTTTGAGGACCATTGATTTTATGATAATCATGAATCACCAATATTGAAAATAATACCTAATATCTATTGGGCATTTACTATTACATATATTAGGCCTTTTTCTAAGCCTTTTGCTATTTGTTTTAATTAAGCCTCCCTGAAACTGTATGAAGTTGGTATTATTATCTTCTTAACTTTTTAGCTGTGAAACCAAGACTCAGAAAGGTTAAATGACTTGTTTAAGGTGATATAGTTAGTAGAAGCAGACATTCTCAAGAATTCTAACTCTAAAACCAGCGCTCTCAATGACATATTATGCTTCTCTAGGTACTGAAATATATGTGCAAAAGTCATTAGGCCATTTTTTTATTACGATGTAAGAAAATAGAAGTAAAGATTAAAAAATTATTTTTCCTAAGAAACAAGTACATCATTGAAAGAGGAATTTAGCAAATAAGTGCTTTAATAGTTCTCACTGGTTTAACTTTAACTTGTTTCTGTCCATGAGAAAAGATGATCAACTCCAACTCTAACTCAGGATAAACAGCATGCTGGGATGTTTCCCTTTTCTGAACTTAATTAACACTGATAATCGGGGCAGGGCTGGATTTACAGTGTAATGATGTGTCCAGTGCCAAAATTGTAATACAGGTACATTGTATTTGTATATAAGGTTTAGAGAATGCTCTGTTATATGTGATAAGTGATGTGAAAGTGCTTTGTGACCTGCAAATCATATTCCAAAGGGATCATTGTTCATCATCCCGGTGGCTCATTCCACTGTAGATATAGCCTTAGTCCTACCTTCATGTTACTTTAGTTGGATCAGTAGAAAAGGTTAGATCTCAAGTAAACACAACTGAAAGATTCCTAGTGGACTATTTAAAATTTCCCTTCACCAGCCAGTTGTGGTGTTGTGCACCTATACTCCTAGCTACTGAAGAGGCTGAGGTGGGAGGATCAGTTGGAGCCCAGGAGCTGGAGTCTAGCCTGGTCAATACAGCAAGACCCTGTCTCAAAAAAAGAAAAAAAAAATCCCTTATTTAACTTTGAGCCTGTTTTATATTTAATTTTTATTTTTTTTTGAGACAGAGTATCAGTCTGTCACCCAGGCCGGAGTGTGGTGGCACAATCTTGGCTCACTCCAACTTCTGCCTCCTGGATGTTCTCCTGCCTCAGCCTCCTGAGTAGCCGGGATTACAGGCATGTACCACCACACCTAACTAATTTTTGTATTTTCAGTAGAGATGGGGTTTCACCCATGTTGACAAGGCTGGTCTCGAACTCCCAACCTCAGGTGATCTGCCTGCCTCCGCCTCCCAAAGTGCTGGGATTACAGGCGTGAGCCACCGTGCCCGGCCAATTTTCAGTCTGTTTTATGTTGAACCAGGAGAAAAGGACTAAAGAATCTATTCTCATCCTGGAAAGTCTGAGAAGAAAGAGAAGTAGGATCAGATACAGTTTACTTTCCCATTTAAGTTCTGGGCTTAGGGCTGGGCGCCGTGGTTCACGCCTGTAATCCCAGCACTTTGAGATGCCAAGGAGGGCAGATCACTTGTGGCCAGGAGTTGAAGACCAGCCTGGCCAACGTGGTGGAACCCTGCCTCTACCAAAAAAATACAAAAATTAGCCAGCTGTGGTGGCTCAAGCCTGTAACCCCAGCTACTCAGGAGGCTGAGGCAGGAAAACTTGAACCTGGGAGGTGGAGGTTGCAGTGAACTGAGATCATGCCATTGTACTCCAGCCTGGGTGACAGAGCAAGACTCTGTCTCAAAAGAAAAAAAAAGTTTTCAACTTAAAAAAAGAAAAGAAAAAAGCTAAGTTCTGGTCTTAGAAGGAAAGAGGTATGAAGGAGAAGGAAGGATTTTGAAAAGAAAATATTATTTACCTTGATGCTGACTCACTAATCTAATCTTGTGGGCAAAGACCAAGAATTCAAAAGATACCCACACTTGTGCCACCCTGGGGTGCGTCTCTTGCTGTAACACTGAGGTCATAGGATGGCATAGTAGTATCTTCAACCAGCTCATTGTACATGCAAATAACAGATGATTCAAGACAAGAAAAGATCTTTGTACACTTTTATTGCACTGTGATTGTTTCCTGTTACATAAAAATTCTCCTCTAAGCTACTCTGTAGTAGAGCTTATTGCTAAATGAAGAGGACTACCAGGTGACAGGGTCTTTCCAAAAACAACATACTTTTATTTGCTTTATGTATAATTAAAAATTAGTTGCACCATAAAATTCTATATTTGGTACCTTCTGATTATGGAATTGCTGTCCTGTAACAATACAGGATATGGCTACTTTTTCTTTCATTAGTCCAGATCTTTTAAGGAACTAGAAATGTTAAAAAGAGGATTGCCTTTTTATTTTGAGTCCCTTTACCATCTCTCTCCTCACCCTCTGTGAGTCAGGCCACTTTGGGATTTGCTATTCGTTCATGATCTGTACAATTACAGCTTCATGACTGAAGATGGAAGCAACCACCAGCTGAGGAGGAAAAAGAATACATATGTTCTTTCTCTCAACAGCACCATACCATATAATTTCAGCTCAGGGATAGCTCAGGAAATTAGCAGCGGCAGGCAGTAGAGCTTACACTTAACTACCAAGGATAGAAGGATGTGTAGAAGGGGGTGGTCATTCAGGTATGCTCTGTGGAAGAAGGCAGTGAAAGAATGAGGATGGCAGGGAATCACAAGGCCTGTGCCAGACTTCAAGGTTCACATGTTATCTAGAGGGTACAGCAACCCTGGCTTAGCCCAGTGTTACCATACAGGAATGTGGGTGCAGTATTGCCAGACATTCTGATTTTAAATGAAAAAACAGAAATCTGAATTTTATGCTAATCTCCTAATTTTTATATATTTGCTCCAAAATTAAAAAAAGAATCCAACACTCAATGAGCCACAGAGGACATGTGTCCAGGCAGTGTTTGGCCCATGGGTGCCATTTTGTCCCTTTGGCAGCCAGGAGAGGCTCTTAGTTTGGTGAAGGAGGAGTTATAAGAGCCTGTGATGGGTGCTTCAGGAGTATGGCGGCTATAGAGTGTGAGACCTGGCCTGGGCTCCATCTGCTGCTTTCTTTTTCTGTTTTATGGAGGAGGGTGTGTTTTAATTCTGCTTAAGGAAAATCTTTCGCTCTCTAGATTTCCTTCCTGGAGAAAGAGGGGCTGGAAGTGTTGAATGCTGTTGGGGACTTCAACAGCTGGGTGGGGCTGGGCAGTGGTGAGGCAAGCCTGGCTATACTACGGGTCTCAAGGCAGGGTGTCATTTGAAAATTGAGACAGAGAAGCATCCATCTGCAGGATCTGGGTAGGGTGGGCAGAACACGGAACAGAAACAGAGCTTCCAGACCCAAGGATGGAAAAGGAGGGTAGAGTGGGGGTAGTTAAGAGGTGCCCAAGGCACTGAAGAATAGCCCCAGGTCTTGGCTTAGTTGTGGGTGGGAAGGAAGCTGTTGAGGCAGCCAACATGGTCTGGACAATTGTTGATGATTGACCCAGAGAAGTGATGTAGGCTGAATTTCTTGAAGACCGTATATCTTCTCTCCATTTACATTACTTTGGTGGTAAAAGCATGTTCCACAGGAGCAAGAACATTATTCAGTGTATACAGATGATATCATCTGGCTTCAGCATTATGGCTGAGACAAGGCAGGGTGACTGTGCTTCCAGAGTGAGGTCACAGACTTTGGAATTCCTAGTTATATTCCCGATCATTCCACAATCATGATCATGATGGATGCTCTTGAGGGGCCTGTTAATTCAGACTCTTCTTCCTTTTATTTTTTGAACCAACTGAGAAATAGATACAGGTCTCTCAAATGGAGTTTGAAATGTCAACTTTATTCTTGGTGGAGGTGGACCAGGATTGCAGCCTGGGCCCGTGTCCAAATGGCCTTCCTAATATCCTTCTTCCCAGGAGCTTAATGTCTACTCACCACATCCCAGGGAAACCTAGTGAACAATTGCCTCTGGGTCTGTTATCATGTGAAGGAAGAGGAGAGCTTGTGTCCTGAGGGCAAGCAGATGTTGAAGAGGGAAGGGGCAAACCATGTAAGGACAGTGATGTTTAACACTTTACCCCACCCCACTCTGTAAAAACCACTTTAGCTCCATTGAGTATAGCAGTGGTTTTTCAAAAGTGTGGTCCCCAGACAAGCAGCATTAGCATTATGTTGAAGCTTACTAGACATGCAGACTTTTCGTCTCCATTCCAGACAAACTGAATCAAAGATTGTGGAGGATGGACCCAGGAGACTATGTTTTAACAAGCCCGTTTGGTGATTCTATTGCATTTAAAGTCTGAGAACTATTGCAGTAGAGGAATGAGGGTCAGTGGGCCCAAGACACTTACTGTCTCTCCAGTGAGGTAAATCATTTCCCATTTTATGGAGGAGAGTGAGAAAGAAGTGCAAAGAGGCCAAAGCTTCTGCTTTGACAATAGGTCCTCATGGAAACATAAAGATAAAGGTTTCCCTCAACAGATAATCCTGCCCTGTAGTCTGGAAGATGATAGTTTGAGGAAAAAATGCAAGAGCAAACATGAAGACTTTCTTCAGATGCTCCTTTTCTCATTTGTTAATGTTTTCTACCTTTTCTATAAAGGATAAGGTAGAGAAAAAAGAATGATGGAGGAAGGCACACTAGCAGGAAGAGAAAGAACACTAAATGATATAGAAAATAATAGGTATTGTATTTCTTCCTTTACAATTAATCACTTATTTTACTATATTATTGATTAGATTTTTAGTCTCTGATTTGTTTTTCTAGTTGTGACCCCAACAACAGGCCATTTGACTGTGATCATGTCAGCATGGACTGCAGTACTATTTGCTTTTTGTATCTATTCATTTTCATGTTGAATTGTGTGTGTTGTTTAGTGACACAATTATTATTATTATTATTATTGATGGAGTCTCACTCGGCCACCCAGGCTGAAGTACAGTGGCACGATCTCAGCTCACTGCAACCACTGTCTCCCGGGTTCTAGCGATTCTCCTGTCTCAGCCTCCCAAGTAGCTGGGATTACAGGCACCCGCCGTCATGCCTGGCCAATTTTTATATTTTAGTAGAGATGGGGTTTCACCATGTTGGCCAGGCTGTTCTTGAACTCCTGACCTCAGGTGATCCATCAGCCCAGGCCTCCCAAGGTGCTAGGATTACAGGTGTGAGCCACCGCACCCGGCCAGTGACACAATTATTTATGTCCTTCATATTCATCTGGAGTTCAGATTATTCAAATTGCTTTGTAACCTTGAGTAGGTCATTTAATTGCAGTTTCAACAGTCTTCAAATCACAATGGACCATTGCCCAGTTAGCCACTAAAATAGCCAGTGATGGCAGATGCTTGTCACAATAATCCATATAGTTGGCATTTCATATTTTAAGGTTAAAAAAGGGATACATTTCTAAAATGTTGTGATTAGGAAGATTTTTTTTTTTTTTTGCTTTAGCCAACCTTTTTAGAGGTTTGGAATAAAATTATGCCCCCTTGGGTACATACAGCCTTAACTAGACATGGATGCCAGCCTCTTGTAAACACGCTCAAGTCCTTGCAGTCCAGAATGGAAGCTTGTTTCCATTAAATGTTTAGTCTTTCCAGATACTGTTACAGGAATAAAAAATGCTAAAGAATTCAAGCTGCCTCTGATTTCATCTGAAAATGGAATTATGGTGATAGTGATCATCATAGTAACTGAATAGTTACTGTGTTGCAAGAACTGTGCTTAATCTGCACTTGGGGCCTTGATCAGCATAGCAGAGGTCTCAGGTAGTTGGTGGGAGAAATGGGGAGTGCTTCAGCTGTATTAATCGTTTGTTCAAGGAAAAAATTCAGAAATCCTTATTTTAGATCTCATTCAGATTCCTAGGCCCCATCCTAAAACTTCTGAATGAGACTCTTTGGGTTGAGACCCAGGAATCTGCATTCAAAATAAGATCCACATGTTGATTTTATGATTAATGAAAAACTACTACACCTGGCCGGGCATAATGGCTCAGTCCTATAATCCTAGCACTTTGGGAGGCTGAGGCAGGTGGATCACTTGAGGTCGGGAGTTTAAGACAAGCCGATTCAATATGGTGAAACCCCATCTCTACTAAAAATACAAAAATTAGCCCGGCTTGGTGGCATGTGTCTGTAATCCCAGCTACTCAGGAAGCTGAGGCAGGAGAATAGCTTGAACCCAGGAGGCAGACGTTGCAGTGAGCTGAGATCGTGCCACTGCACTCCAGCCTGGGCAACAGAGCGAGACTCTGTCTCAAAAAAGAAAAGACAACTACTGCACCTAATTGCTAGGCATCATTTCATGTCTATTTCAGTAATCTCTGGGGCCCAGTCTCTCAGGAAGGGTTAAGACAAAGGTATCCCTGCTCATCATTATTGGCAGAATCTTCAGTATTTTTATTTTTGTAGTGTTTTTCTTTTTAAGCTCCTACACTAAATATTTGACTAACATCTAATATGTATATGTTATTGGAGGGAAAATTTATTTAAGGAGAACTGTAAAATCAACATTGATCTCTCCCCTCAAACAAACTCTGCCTACCCCCCACCCTGCTGCATCTCCCAAGTGATAGCTGTTCTCTCGTGGACAATCCAAGGCCAAGGTGATAAGAACATCCCATTCTGAATAAAACTATCTGAGCCTGTATTAGCTTTCTGTTGCTCCCATAACAAACCACCACAAGTTTAGCAACTTAAACAATACAAATTTATTATCTTACAGTTCTGTAGGTCAGAAGTTTGATACAGGTCTTGCCAGGCTAAAGTCAACACAGCAGGACTGCGTTCCTTTCTGGAGGCTCTAGGGGAGAATCGTTTTCATGGCTCATTTGGGTTGCTGGCAGAATTCGGTTTCTTTTGATGGTAGACCTGAGATCTCTGTTTTCTTCTTGGATGTAAATGGAAGGCCATCCCCAGCTTCTAGAGGCCACCTGCATTCCTTGGCTCATGGTTCCTTTCCTTCATCTTCATAGCCAGCGACAGTCGGTAAAGCCCCTCTCATACTTTGAATCTTTCCTCCTCCTCCTTCTGTTTCATCTCTCTGAGCCAGCAGAGAAAGGTTCTCTGCTTTTAAAGACTCATGTGATTAGATTGGTCCTGCCCAAATAACCTAAGACAATCTGCCTCATCTCAAGGCCCATACCCTTAATGAACATCTGCAAAAATCTGTTTTGCCATGTAAGGTACCATACCATATTCACAGGTTCTGGGGATTAGGATGCAGACATCTTTGGGGGACAGGGTATTATCCTGCCTGCCACAGATGTGTTGTCTGCCTCTGTTGACAAATAAGATAGCGGTGGTTATCGCTACCAGCAGGGCTCCAAGCATTCATGTTGATGTACATGAGAAAATGTGACTTAACTGGATATCTTTCTAAATAGAAAACATTTCAGGGCCAGATTACAAAACAAATAGTTTTGAAAAGGATGTTTCAGGGCTTTTGTGTAGTCAAGCAGAGCTGCCACAACATTTATCTCTGTGAGTAGGAAAGGAAGGCAATTCACATTAAGCCTGCTTCTCTGGTAGCTTGGATTCAGAAAAAAATTCTGATATGAGAGAGGCACACCCATTCAGCCAGAATATTTGCTTTTTGTGACTCATTGCCTGCCATATGCTCCCCTGCTTCCGCACCTTTGTTCATGCACTTCCAGCTGCTTGGTGTGCCCTTATGTCTACCAATTTATCTATGATACATATTTATGACAAGTTTTGACACCTACTTATTCTAGGAAACATTTTCCAAGATGCTAAAAGTATGGCTTCTACTCATTTTTCCCAAAAACTGAAGTAAAATGCTAAAAAGAATCCATGTCATCTGCCAGATTTCCAAAGGCTGTTTTTGAGTTCTTCTCTAAGATGTTTTCCTCCATAAATGTGTACAGCATTAAAGAAGCCCCTGCAGCATCTTGGAGATAGTAAGTACTTTGTAACTACTTAGTGATTTGAAGTACTAAATCTAAGTAATTGATTGTATTATCTTTATACCAAAAGTCTGCAAGATGTGTGTATGTATTGTGTCCTTAGAATATTCTAAACAAAAGAACATTGCTAATAATGTCTCATATAAGCAAGTAAAACTGGGATTTTTAGAGGTGAGGTTTCCAATTCATCTTTTTCTAAATATGTTAATTCATATTCTGTCAGATTACTCAGAGGTATAATGGGCAAGGGAGTGGACTTTTTTCTTCTATTTTTTAATGTGATGTATATATGCAGAAAAACATAAAAATTATGTATATAGCTTGATGAATTTTCACAAATGGCTACTCCCACAATCAGCACCCTATCGAGAAACCAGAATTACTCCTGGCTGCCCAGAAACTCTCTGGTTGCTTTCCAGTTGCTGTCATTCTCAGGGGTCATCACTACCCTGATGCTTCAGAAGTTTGAGAAGTAGACTTTTTTTTTTTTTTCTTTTTGAGGCAGAGTCTTGCTCTGTCACCCAGGCTGAAGTGCAGTGGCACGATCTCGGCTCACTGCAATCTCCGCCTCCCAGGTTCAAGTGATTCTTCTGCCTCAGCCTTCCAAGTAGCTGGGATTACAGGCACCTGCCACCATGCCTGGCTAATTTTTTTGTATTTGTAGTACAGACGGGGTTTCACCATGTTGGCCAGGCTGGTCTCAAACTCCTGACCTCAGGTTATCCACCCGTCTCAGCCTCCCAAAGTGTTGGGGTTACAGGCGTGAGCCACCGTGCCAAGCCTGAGAAGTAGACTGTTTTTAAGATGCAGAAAGATATTCTCACAGATGATATGACAATCTTAGAAACAAATCTCTAAGCAAATGTTTATGGGTTTATAGAGATTTTTTTAAAAACGTGACTCTTGCCCCGAAGGTGCATTTAAACATGGAATAGTAAATTCTTTTCTAAATGTTCTTGCTTTATCAAATAGTTTGAGTTACAGATACAACTTTGATTCAGTTTATTATTTTCTAGTATTTATTGAGTACTTGTGATGGTTCAAAATACTTACGCCTCAAATATTCATAGGCTGTTAAAACTGCACCATACAGGCCATGTGCAGTGGCTCATGCCTGTAATCACAGCACTTTGGGAGGCCAAGGCGGGCAGATCACTTGAGGTCAGGAGTTCAAGACCAGCTGGCCAACATAGTGAAAATCTGTCTCTTCTAAAAATACAAAAATTAGCTGGGCGCGGTGGCAGGTGCCTGTAATCACAGCTACTAGAGAGGCTGAGGCAGAAGAATGCTTGTACTTGGGAGGGGCAGATGTTGCAGTGAGCTGAGATTGCACCCCTGCACTCCAGCCTGGGTGACAGAGTGAGACTCTGTCTCAAAAAAATAAAATAAAATAAAAGAGCAAACAAGAACTGCACCATACACTTGGCCCTGATCAGTGGCTTGGCACCATATCTTTTTCTACATAGTTGTTACTGAGATCAAATTAAAAATTTTTTCAGTATTTTTTTCCTGGAATTTTGGTTTAGGCTCATAGTAGATACTAAAGAAGAATATATTGTCAGCAAAAGTGACAGTCTCCATACTGTACATTTTAACTGTCTACTGTGACATTTCCCAACAAAGTGGAAATTGAAATTACTTGTAACAGAATGGAATGGGTAAACTCTTAGAGCAATTGGATTCACGGCTATAATGTCCCTCATAATACCACAGAGGGTAATGTCCCCATCTACCCTCTGTGTTCAAGGATGTTTGCTGAAGCATTATTTCTAAAAGTAAAACATAGGAAACCACCTTAGTTAGCAATATGAATGCTTAAATAAATCATGGTATAGTCATACATGGACTATTATGAAGCATGAAAGGCATACTTTCAAAAACTGAAAACTTTAAATAATATTAAGTAAAACTATATATAGCAAATATCAATTTTGTTTGGAAAATTGTATATTCATACACATGTGCATAGAAGAAAGATTGAAAATTTATAACATTTTGGCCTTGGTTATTTCTGAATGGTGTGCTTGAGAGCAATTTAGATTTTATTATTTTCCAAATACTTTTAATGCTGCATATTGCTTTTCAACAATCAGAAAATAACCACACAGGATCCATTTTTTAAAAGGACACATAGGGCAGATAATTGGTTTTTCCTGTGAAGTGAAGTCCTGGGGGAAATCAGAGCAAATATATGTTTTAGTCAAGAGGTTAGCAGAACTCCATGCAACAGCAGCAGGACTACAGCCATCCGTAAGTGGTCTCCTTGAAATAATGGAATTTTCAATGCAAAAAACATTAATGCCACCGCATCCAACTTTCTATGTAGGAATTCCCAAAGACAACAGCCTGTGTGCCTCCAAAATTGACTCTGAGCTTTTGGACACACAGGTCCAGTGTTCCAGGTGTAGAACCTCACTGTTGCAGTCCGGGTTGTCTCTGGACCACGTGGACAGAATATTTCCTTACATTCGTGCAGAATTTGTCTCCTGGTATTTCTTCTGCCAGTGGTCCTAATTCTACCAGCTTGTGGCCATAAAGAGCAAGAATAAGCCTTCTTCAATACAGATGTCCTTTAAAATATTTAAATGTGAGTGTGTATTTTTAACATTCATTGAGGTATAATTTAGATATGCTAGACTGTACCCATTTAAAGTGGACAGCCGGCAGTGTTTTGACAGGTATATACATCCACAAAATCACCACCACAATCAAGACGTAGAACACTTTTTTCCTCCAAAGCCTCCTCATGTATTTTGCTTTCCATCCCTCCTTTCACCCTGTTCCAAGCAACCTTTGTTCTGCTGTCACTATAGGTTAGTTTTTATTTTCTAGAATTTCCATAAATGGGATCATACAGTACTGTATGTACTTAAAAAAAAAACTGGCTTATAAAAGTCCTTAACTTTTTCTTTCACTTTATGAAGCAGTTTTATAACATCTATTCTTTACCTTTATGGAGCCATCATAAAAGATGTTTTAGACTTTCCCTTCAGATAATTAACCAGACAGTGAAAATGCATTATACATTTTATAAGTGAAACTGTTCTTGCCTCACTTAAATGGTAGTATTGGACTATAACCCGTGGGGCATCTTCTGGTTTTAACGCTGTATAATACTATAACATGTTTTCAGTTACTATTCAAAGATAATTTTGGATATTTGCTTGAAATTAGTCCAGTGACTCTAATTGAAATTCAGTAAGATGTTAGGGTTTGTTTGTTTGTTTTTGGTTTTACAATTTCCTAATTATTTCTGGGAATTAATTCTTCATGATTTTTTACATGATGAAAACAATATTGCCGTTTTCTTTTCTTTTTTAAGAGATAGGGTCTTGCTGTATTGCCCAGACTGGAGTGCAGTGGCTATTCACAGGAGTTATCATAGCACGCTACAGCCTTGTACTCCTGGGCTCAGGTGGTCCTCCTGCCTCAGCCTTCCAAGTAGCTGAGATTATAAGCACATACCACTGTGCCCAGCTCAACATTGCCATTTTAAAATTAAAGTGGCAAAGGAACATTTATGAAAAGAATATGGAAGCTCATAGGGTAGTCCCATTCCATAGGAAGAAAACCTGCTTGGGTAAAATCTAAGGGGTAAGGTGAATACCACAATGTATTTTAAGCTCCCCAGCTATAATCAAATAGAATGATGATGACATCCACATTTTTGCCTCTTGATTTTTTTATGGTTCTGAACCACACCCATGTTGCAGATTGGCCTTTCTACTGAGAGTAAGTTCCATCAAGATTAATATCTGTAGTAATAGGCAGAACACTTCAGTGTGGAATTGCTTCTTTTCTTTGGTCAAACACTAACTTTGGCAGAGGATAGACACAGCTTAGGAAGACTGAATTTTAAGTCTTCTGAATTGTTTTTCTGGACTTCCAAATCTCAAGTGATAAGACCAGCAGAAGCAGGTATACAAAAATTTATCTCTGTCAATAGCAGTAAGACAGCCTCGGATTCCAGGCTGCTTTTTCATATAATTGTTAAATTGAGATAAACACCCTCATAGTATTTCTTTTTTAAATGCATTCTTGCTTTGGGACTCTAGATGGCTTTGCATAATCAATGTAAATAGGAACCTTGGTGTGAAGATAATATAATTCTTAATTATCTCTTCATTTTTCTGTTTGAAAACTTTCTTCTGTAAGCACCACTGGTTAGAGAAGAAAGGACTGTTTTGGTTTATTCAGGGTTGGATAAAAATATTAGACTCATAATTCTTGATTGGGCTTTGATTTTCCTTTCAGAAATGGATATAAATTATTAGGAAAATGCTGAAGTGACTGAATGCACTCTTTCTGTGCCATCTAGAATGTGTGTGTATTATTGCTTGGAAACTTGATGCTTTCAGTCTGATGGAAACAGCTCTTCCAGTCTATAGTTTAATTGTGGATAAGCAAAACTCTGCTTTTTTTCTAGAGAAATTTCACAGATAAGACATAGTAATACAGAATATCTCCAGTACTAGGAATGTGTAAGATTCTGTTTAAGCATCTGGAGTCTGAAGAAAATATCTAAATGGAAATAAATTCTTTATCATTATATTTGTTCTTCAGCATTTCCAAGTACCAAAATGTACTTGGGGATAGCAGCTTTGCTTAAAAGCTTTTCACTGTTTCATTGAATTTGGGAAGGGCCTGAAAGCTTTCAGAAAGATAATTTTCTTATAAATAGTGTACAAGTGAGCAAGTTGCTCTTTAGTGAGCATTTTTAATGGTTTCTGAGGCTGGCCAAAAAACTCTATATCTTTACCCTATGCAGCCCTAGAAGCTGTAGCAGCCTTACCTTAAGTTCTTTTCTTAGTAAAGCAGAAAATGAGCAGTTCCCACCCTGTGTAAAGCTGAGAAGATCTTGAATGATGCATGTTGAGGAAACTTGGATACTGATACTGCTGGCAGTTTACATAGACCCCAGTGCCAAAGAATTAAAGAGTCTTGAGTTTTCTTAAAAGAGGCCAGCTTTTAAAAAGTTAAGTATGTTTTCTTTTTGCAGTGACCTGAGCTCTTAAACCTAAGTAGAGAATTAAGACTTGCTCAGCTTTGTGAAGCAGTCAACTTACTTGTACGCACCATAGAATACTCTTGTTAGAGAAGTGAACACATTATGACCAATTAACCATGGAAAGTGAGTGCCCTGGGAAAATTTTACATAGTTAAAACAAAACACATAGCTTTCTTAGGAACTGGAATTGCCTTTCCTCTATTATACCTGGAGTCCAACAAAGGCTATGCCTTTGTGCCAGTCCTTTTACAATGAATCAACCAATTGCTCAATTGTATTCTTGTGGAGGAGGAGGATAACATTCTTTTATGATCCCAGTTTAGATCAGTTTACCACCCAAAGCATGATATTTGATTACCCTTATTAGGTTTCTTTGCATAGCTACAAATGTTACTAATGGTTTGGCCTTGTCTAGCCATTAAAAAAAAGTCTGCCTCTGTGATGACTTAACAGTCAGTGCTGTAAAAGGCACTATTGCTTGGAACTCTGGAAATACGAGCTCAAAGAGAATAGAGCAGTACTTTGGGGTTAGGGATAAACTGCAGAAACAAACCTCTTAAACTCCCGAATATGTCACTGAGTGCCTGACTGCCTATTTTTTCTTCTAAGTGCTGATTTTAAGGCACTCCCTGGGTCTGGGCCTCAATTGCTTTAAGAATTATAAAAGTTTAGCTACCATTTCTGACTATGTTCTTCTATTAGAATTGAGGTTTCTAGGGTTCCCTCTTTCTCTTTCCTTCCAAATGTTTCCAACTCAGTTCTCGGTATTACAGGAAAAACAAGGTGCTGTCAGAAGCCGCTAAATTCTTATCCCTATACCTGCTCCAGCTGAGGTGGGAGGTCGAGATGCTTCTCCTTTTCAAATGTTGGAGCGGTGGTCCCCAGGCTCCTGAAATTTTTAGCTCATCAGTAACAACATGTTGTGCACATACTACTTGCAAGGTCTATATTTTTAATTTTTATATACTAAATGTATATGTTATACATGTTCTACTTAATGTGTAGGTTATATATACTAGGGTATATATGAAAATAAATGCTGCTGGATATGGTGGCTCATTCCTATAATCCCAGCACTTTGGGAGCTGAGGCGGGTGGATTGCTTGAGCCCAGGAGTTCAAAACCATCCTGGGCAACATGGCAAAACCCCGTCTCTACTGAAAATACAAAAATTAGCTGGGTGTTGTGGCATACGCCTGTAGTCCCAGCTACTTGGGAGGCTGAGGCAGGAGGATTGATTGAGCCCAGGAGTTCGAGGCAGCAGTGTGCTGTAATTGTGCCACTGCACTCCAGCCTGGATGACAGAACAAGACCCTGTCTCAAAAAATGAATGAATGAATGAATAAATGAATTCATGCATGCATGCTACTCAGGAGGCTGTGTCTTGCTATGTTGCCCAGGCTGGGATTACAGGCATGAGCCACTAAAACTAAACTTAAGAGGATAAGAAGGGGAGCTCATAGAGATTGTGGTGGACCCCTTTTGCTAGGAACTGCTACTTCCTCCCAAGTAGAGCACAGACAGATCAGGAGTAAATAAGGCATGGGACATAGTTTTAGCAACAAGAAGAGTGAGGACGATGGAAAATCAGGAAGCGAGCATCTTAGCAAACACAATATGTTAATAAGCAATGAGACATGGATTTGTTAGGGAGGATGGAGGGGCAGGAGTCTAGAGCAAACTCCCTCGCTGCTGCTGTTTGAGTGCTGTCTACATCACTAACATTGTGCTGGGTGCTTTTTGTACATTATCATTTCATCCTGGCAGCCAAACATAAAGTGGGGTTTAAGATGAGAAGACTAAGGCAGACAGGAGTTAAATGAAAAAAAGATAAAATAAGACGATTTTTTAAATCTATTGTTAACTGGAAAGACTTTATCATATCATTAACTAATATCTCATAGTACAATATGTATGCAAGATACTGTTTATTATTAATGAGTGAGTATAAAGTTGTATTTTATATAATCTCGATAATTGTGACTTTTTTGCCCAACATGTGATCACACTGCTCCTCTTTTGTTTTCTGATGTAGCTGGTAAAGACTCCTACTAAGATTAGAGGTGTGTGTTCTACTGTTTTCTTATGCTTATATGATTTGTATTTTTTACAGTCTCCAATTGCTTTGAAGACATATTTTTAAAGCTACTTGCTTATTTAGTGAGTGTAGCTTTGGTATCAACTGGGTTATATAATCTGTTAATCCACTCAACCAGGCATGTACAAACTGTAGAACATCACAAATGCTGGAAGTGAAAAAAGGAATGACAGTCACTGTCCAGGCTCTTCTTTGTAGAACGTCTACTCCTCTCTTGTGATATCCCTTGAACTGTTTGTGTCATGGGATCTTGTCATAAGGACCAAGTTAGGATTCTACTGAAAATATACACATTAAATATTTGTAAAGCTAATTTTGTTTCCTTTTAGTTTTAAAAATAAACATAGTTCTAATATTTACTTCCTACACTCTGGTAGAGATCATTGTTTTTGGTGACTCTTGTCTTCTGAGTAGACAAGGGTGTGACCTCAGTTTTCTTATCTGTTAAACAGGGAGTTGGACTAGATGACTTTTTAGGTGTTTGGGAAGGGGATTTTTTTTTTAACCACATTTAGTTTTGTACCTACTTTTTTGTACTGACATATGCCTGTTAACTCATCCTTCTAAGTAATACTCACTGGTTGGAAGTTTCTGTAAGGAATAATGTTCAGAAATAGGAGTGACATATTAAGGTTTGCTTTTTAAGTCAAGATTTTGGAAATATCTGTTACATCCAAAATGGAACTTGAAAAGCTTTCTTACTCTTCAAGGCCCATCCAGTTTAAACTCTACCCTCTCAGGAAAATTTTTGTCAGACCCATGTTTGAAGTATCTGCTATCTGTTTTTTTTCTTCTATAGAATTCTACTTCTACATTAATCAGTAGACTTGAATTATGGTTATATGTGTACATGTTTGCTTTTTATGAGGCACAGCTGTTTATTGTTTGTTTTGCTTTTGAGACAGTGTCTCGCTCTGTCACCCAGGCTGGAGTGCAGTGTTGCTATCAGGGCTCACTGCAGCCTCGACCTCCCAGGCTCAAGAGATCCTCCTGAGGAGCTGGGAACACAGGCATGTACCACCATGTCCAGTTATTTTTTTTCAGACTTTTTTTTTTTTTTAATAGAGACAGAGTCTCCCTGTGTTGCCCAGGCTGGTCTTGAACTCCTGGCCTCAAGCAATCCACCTGCCTTGGCCTCCCAAAGTGCTGCAATTACAGGTATGAGCCACCATGCTGGGCCAATCATATTTTAATTTTTAGAAAAAAATGAGGATTTGGAGTTGTTAGAATTGAGAAACTAAAAAGAACCATGTACAGAAAGAATTGTTTTGTAAACCTCTATACTGAGTCATCTAATTTCAATGTCTACATAAAAGAAGCTCAGAGCTCTTTCTTGAATATCATGTAGAAAGATGATACCTTGGTTCCCTTGAGAACCTGATTCATGACATCATTGCTTTTGGCCATTCAGGAGTCAGTTCGGTTTTTTGAAAGGAACATGGAACTGGGACTCGGGCACACTGAAAATACTACCAGCTTTGACACTTACTAGTGGATGATCTAGGCTGTTTAGCTTGATCTCTCTGAATCTGTTTCCTTATATGTGGAAATGGGAATAAAGATGGGTCCCAGAATATAGTGTGTGTGTGTGCGCGCACATGTGCATGCAGTGTGCATGTGTGCGCGCACATGTGCATGCAGTGTGCATGTGTGCATGCATATGTGTATGTGTATAAATTTATGTAGTGTAATAATATTATTTTTATTCTCATTTTACATATTAGGAAACAGCTAATAATTCTATAATATGTAATATTCAGTCCTGTTCCTTAGCTCACTGGGCTGATGTGAAAGTCAGATGTGATAATACATCTGAAAGTGCTTTATAAATTAGAAAACACTTAAATGTGAAATGTAATTTACCTTGATAATGGCACCTGTTACTTATAATATCATGGTGGTCTTCCTTAGTCTTTGGTTTTAGGCCACCATGAAGAATCACTTTCAAACTTATTTCTTTCTTTCACAACATTTGTCATTGTTATTAGCTGAGAATGAAATCTCTAGTGAATTTGTCCTGAGACATTCATACTACCTTATGACTTAATGAAAAAACCCATCACTTTGAAACAGACAAACAAAAAACACTGGGTCAGCCAATTAATGCTATTTTAAGTAATGAAGTTAACTGAAGTAAAATATTCTAAGGTTTCAAAAGCTGTATAGAGTCAGATTAACTCTGTAAGCAGAATGACGAAATTCTCTTATGGCAGGTCCAGAGGGGAAGCTTCCTGGACCCAGCCTTAGATTGAATAGTGATCATGTGGACTTGTTCCTCACACTTGTTTCAAGTTTGTTTCAATATGACTGTAGTTGTTTTGATACTAATATGTGCCTACTAGCTGAGTGCTACTGGGCAAGTTAGTTAACCTTAGTGAGCTTGATTTTATAAGTAAAAATAGAGATAACAACTGCTACTTTTGGTGGCTGTTTTAAGGATTGGAAATAATTTTTTTTTTTTTTTGAGACATAGTCTCACTCTGTCACCCAGGCTGGAGTGCAATGGCGCGATCTTGGCTTACTGCAACTTCTGCCTCCTAGGTTCAAGCAAGTCTTCTGCCTCAGCCTCCTAAGCCTGAGTAGCTGGGATTACAGGTGCACACCACCATGCCCGGCTAATTTTTGTATTTTTAGTAGAGACGGGGTTTCACCATGTTGGCCAGGCTGGTCTCGAACTCCTGACCTCATGATCCACCCGCCTCGGCCTCCCAAAGTGCTGGGTTTACAGGCGTGAGCCACTGTGCCTGGCCGGATTAGAAATAATTTATATAAAGTTCCTGGCACATATTCATCAGAATTCTGATTAGCACACATGGGTATGAGGAAACTAACTGGAGACCTGGGAAAGAACTGTCGGGAAGGATTAGAAGGAATAGTGCTTAGCACTCACACAGACCAGGAACAGTGCCAGTTCTTACCAGCCACACGGTAAAAAACCATGTAGTAATGTACAGCTTATTGGGTACTCAGAGGCCTCTTGCCTCAATAATGGGGAATAATTAGCCCACAGACAGTGTGGTTTCTCAACCTCAGCACTATAGGAATGTTAGACTTGATAATTCTTTGTTTTAAGGGGATCTCCTGTGTATTATATGATGTTTAGCAACGTCCCTGGCCTCAACACACTAGATGCCAGTGATGCCTCCTTTTGTGAAAGTAAAAAATGTCTCCAGACATTGCCAGATGTCCTCTGGGGATCATAGTCATCTCCTGTTGAGAATCAGAGCCCTAAACTCACTTCTGTGCTGGTCCTGCCTAATGAAGCTTAAAAGCAAGACCTAAGGGTCAAACTCTTTCCAAGTAATTTAACTGCATCCAAGAATAAAGATCAAGAATGGTTATAGGGTTTCCCCCCACCTACAGAAACAGAAAAAAAAATTTAAAATTTTGGCCTGGCAAGGTGGCTCACACCTGTAATCCCAGCACTTTGGGAGGCCGAGGCAGGTAGATCACTTGAGGCCAGGATTTTGAGACCATCCTGGTCTCATGGTGAAACCCCATCTCTACTAAAAAGACAAAAACTATCGGGGCGTGGTGGCAGGTGCCTGTAATACCAGCTGCTCAGGGGGCTGAGGCGGGAGGATTGCTTGAGCCCAGGAGGTGGAGGTTGTAGTAAGCTGAGATTGCACCAGTGCACTCCAGCCTGGGCAACACAGTGAGACCCTGCCTCAAAAAAAAAAAAAAAAAAAACAAACAAAACACTCTGAAATATAAAATCCTGGCTGGGTGCAGTGGCTCATGCCTGTAATCCCAGCACTTTGGGAGGCCGAGGTGGGCAGATCATGATGTCAGGAGTTCGAGACCAGCCTGGCCAACATGGTGAAACTCCATCTCTACTAAAATTACAAAAATTAGCCGGTCATGGTGGTGAGTGTCTGTAATCCCAGCTACTCAGGAGGCTGAGGTGGGAGAATTGCTTGAAACCAGAAGGTGGAGGTTGCAGTGAGCCAAGATCATGCCACTGCTCTCCAGTCTGGGCAACAACAGCAAAACTCTGTCTCAAAAAAGAAAAAAAAGAAAATCTCAAGCAACCTTGAATATCCAAAGCAATCTTGAAAAAAATAGAGAGTGTACAGTTCCTGCTTTCAAAATATACTACAAAGCAGCAGTCTGATATCAAGATGGTATAGTACTGGCATAAAGACATATATATAGACCAATGGAACAGAATAGAGAGCATGTAAATAAACACACACACACACACACACACACACACACACACATAGAGGGAGAGTCAAATGATTTTTGACAAGGGTCCCAAGACTTATACGATGGGGCAGAGACAGTCTGTTCAACAGATGGTGTTGGAAAATTGGATATCCATATGCAAAAGAATGAAATTGAGACTGGGCATGGTGGCTCATGTCTGTAATCCCAACACTTTGGGAAGCCGAGGCAGGTGGATCACCTGAGCTCAGTAGTTTGAGACCAGCCTTAGCAACATGGCAAAATCCTGTCTCTATAAAAAATACAAAAAAAAAAGGCCAGCATGGTGGCTCACGCCTGTAATCCCAGCACTTTGGGAGGCCACGGTGGGCGGATCACTGGAGGTCAGGAGTTGGAGATCAGTCTGGCCAACATGGTGAAACCCCGTTTCTACTAAAAATACAAAAATTAGCCAGCTACTTGGGAGGCTGAGGTAGGAAAATCGTTTGAACCTGGGAGGTGGAGGTTGCAGTGAGCCAAGATCATGCCACTGCACTCCAGCCTGGGTGACAGAGTGAGACTCCATCTCAAAAAAACAAAAACAACCAAAAATCCCAAAGCTGGCGTGGTGGTGTGTGCCTGTGGTCCCAGCTACTCGGGAGACTGAGGTGGAAGAATTACTTGAGCCTGGGAGGTCGAGGGTGCAGTGCGCCAAGATCATGCCACTGCAGTCCAGCCTAGACAACAGAGTTGAGACCCTGTCTCTAGAAAAAAAAAAAAAAAAAAAAAAAAAAGAAGTTGAACCTTATACCATATGCAAAAATTAACTCAAAATGAATTAAAGACCTAAATGTAAAACCTGAAACTCTTAGAAGAAAACATTGGGTGAAAGCTTCAGGACACTGAATTTGGCAATGATTTCTTGGATATGGCATCAAAAACACAAGCAACAAAAGCACATATAGACACATGGGACTTCATCAAACCAAAAAACTTCTGCACATCAAAGGAAATAATCGGTAGAGTGAAAAGGCAACCTTAGGTGTGGAAGAAGATATTAGTAAATCATATGACTGATAAGAGGATAATATCCAGAATATATAAAGAAGATCTGTAATTCAGTAACTAAAAACAACCTAATTAAAAAGTGGGCAAAAGATTGGAGTAGATGACATTCCAAAGATGACATACAAATGGTCCATAAGCATATAAAAAGATGTTCAATATCACTACAAATGGTCCTTGACTTACAGTGGTTCGACTTACAATTTTTTAACTTTATGATAATGCAAAAATTATACACATTCAGTACACTCCTCCACTTATGATGGGGTTATATACAAATAACCCCATCACAATTTGAAGTAAGTCAAAAGCGAGTTTTCTATGCACTTTCATCATCAGGATATAACATGACTGTAAGTTGAAGAACATCTGTATTCATAAGAGAAAACAAATATGCATCAAAATCATAATGACATATCACCTTATGCCCATTAGGATGACCAACAGCAAACAAATAGAAAATTTAAAAAGTGTTGCTGAGGGGATGCAGAGTGATTGGACCCCTTTTGAGAATGTAAAATAGTGCAGCCATTATAGAAAGCAGTATGGAGGGCCCTCAAAAAATTAAAAATAGAATTAACATATGATCCAGCAATTCCACCTCTAGGTATATATTTGAAAAAATTTAGAGCAGGATTTTTTTTTTTTTTCCCCTGAGACGGGGTCTTGTTCTGTCACCCAGGCTGGAGTGCTGTGGCATGATCCCAACTCAATATAACATCTACCTCCTGGGTTCCAGCGATTCTCCTGTCTTGGCTTCCTGAGTAGCTTGGATTACAGGTACATGCCACCATACCCGGCTAATTTTTATATTTTTAGTAGAAATGGGGTTTTACCATGTTGGCCGGGCTGGTCTCAAACTCCTGACCTCAGGTGATCCACTTGCCTTGGCCTTCCAAAGTGCTGGGATTACAGGCATGAGCCACCGTGCCCAGCCTAGAGCAGGATCTTAAACAGATATTTGCATATCCATGTTCATTGCATCATTAGTCACAACAGTAAGACGTGGAAGCAAACTACATGTCCACTTGCAAGTGACTATATGAAGGAAATGTGGTATAGAAATACAATGGAATATCAGGCAGCCTTTAAAAGAAGGAAATCTTGTCATATGCTACAACATGGACGAACCTCAAGGACGTTTTACTAAGCAAAATAAACCAGTGACAAAAGTACAAAGACTGTATGATTCCACTCATGTGAACCATGTAGAGTAGTCGAAATCACAGAAACAAATTAGAAGGGATTGCCAGAGGCTGGGAGAGGAGAGAGGGGAAATTAGTGTTTAATGGGTATAGAGTTTCAGATTGGCAAGATGACAAAGTTATAGAGAACTGTTGCATGACAATGCAATATAATCAACACTACTGAAATGTATACTTAAAAATGGTTAAGAAGGCTGGGAGCAGTAGTTCACACCTGTAATCTAGTTTCACAACTGTAAAGCACTTTGGGAGGCCGAGACAGATGGATCACCTGAGGTCAGGAGTTCGAGATCAGCCTGGCCAATATGGTGAAACTCTGTCTCTACTAAAAATACAAAAATTAGCTGGGAGTGGTGGCAGGCACCTGTAATCCCAGCTACTCGGGGGGCTGAGGCAAGAGAATCACTTGAACCTGGGAGGTGGAGGTTGCAGTGAGCTGAGATTGCGCCATTGCACTCCAGCCTGGGCGAGAAGAGCGAAACTCCATCTCAAACAAACAAACAAAACAAAACAAAACAAAAAACATGGTTAAGATGGTAAATTTAATGTTATGTGTTTTTTACCACAATAAAAAAAGTTATAGGAATATAAAACTGTTACCCAACAAAGTAAACTTTACAGTGTCTTTCATCCAGTAAAAAATTACCAGGCATGCAATGAAGCAGGAAAATATTACCCATAACTAGAAGAGAAAATCTGTCAATCAAAACTGACCCAGAACTAACACAGTTATTAGACTTTTCAGACAATGGCATTAAAATGTAATTAGAGCCATATTACATATGCTTAAGAGAGTTAAGTGGAGACATAGAAAATATTTTAAGAGACCGAATTCAAACGTCTAGAGATAAAACCTACAGCACTTGAGATGAAAATACAATGGACAGGATTAAGGGCAGATTAGACATTGCAGAAGAAAAGATTAGAGACCTCGGAGACATAACAATGGAAGCTGTCTAAAATGCAGCAAAAAGGAAAGAACTACAAAAATACTTAAAATAGCAGTAATTTGCATGATAACTTTAAGTGGTCTAATATTTGTGTACTTATGTTCCCTGAAGGAGGAGGGAGGAACAGAAGAAATATTTGAAGAGATCATGGCTGAAAAAATTTTCCAAATTTGATGAAACCTATAAACCCAAAGATCCAAGATGCTCAGTGAACCCCAAACAAAAGCTATATGAGGAAAACTACATCAAAGCATAATTGTTTTGTTTAAATCCACTGATAAGGATAAAATTCTAAAAGAACCCAAAGAAAAAATACACATTACATAGGAAGAAAGGTAAAAATGATGTAGATGTCTTTTGCTTGTATTCAATTGAAGTCTTCAACTGTACTTGTGGATTTGTCTATTTCTCACTGCAGTGCTGTTGAGTTTTGCCCGCGATGGTGTAGTATAGATAAGATAGTGGAGGAACATTATTAAGGTAGTAAAAGAAAAACAGTCAACCTAGAATTCTACACCCAACAAAAATATACTTCAAAAAAAAAGATGAAATTAAGGACTTTTTAGACATGTGAAAACTGAAAGAACTCACCAGCAGCCTTGCCTGACAAATGTTAAACGAAGTCCTCAAGGCAGAAGGAAATACAGGTCTGTACAAAGAAGAGCATCAGAAATGGTGCTACATGAGTAAACAGATAAGATTTCTTATTGTTTAAGTCATTTTAAAAGCCAGTTGTTTTAAATAAAAATAATAAAACATATGGGGTTTGAGCGGAAAAATGGAAGCATACCATTGTAACTTTTTTTTTTTTTTTGTCTTTTAGAGACAGTTTCTCACTCTGTCACCCAGGCTGGAGTGCAGTGGTGCAATCATGGCTCACTGTAGCCTCTGAACTCCTGGGCTCATGTGATCCTCCCAACCTTAGCCTCCCAAGTAGCTGGAACTTCAGGCACATACCACCACACTGTAATATTCTTATGCTATATTTGAAATTGTGTAATAGTGCTTGAAGATAAGCTGTAGTAAGTTAAAAATGTGTATGCTATAAATCCTAAAGCAATCGCTAAAAATGACAGAGAATTATAACAAGAGAAGAAAGGAGATAAAATGGAATTATAAATCATATTTGGGTAATCCAAAAGAAGAAAAAAGAGGAAAAAAGAAAACAAAGAACAAATGGGACAAATAGAAAACAAATAGCAGGAGAAAAAACTTAACCTTATCGATAATCACATTAAAGATTAATTGTCTACATATCTCAATTAAAAAGTAGAGATTCACTGGCTAACATGGTGAAGTCTTGTCTCTACTAAAAATACAAAAAAAAAAAAAAAAAATTAGCTGGGCATGGTGACGCGAGTCTGCAGTCCCAGCTACTCAGGAGGCTGAGGCAGAAGAATTGCTTGAACCTGGGAGGCGAAGGTTGCAGTGAGCTGAGTTCGTGCCACTACACGCCAGCCTGAGTGAGTGACAGAGTGAGACTTTGTCTCAAAAAAAATGTTTGAATAGAGATATAACATGGTGATGAACTCTCAGTATTGTTCAGACATCAGTTCCCCAAAATCAATCCTTAGGTTTACTGGAATTCCAGGCTAAATCACAGAAGGCTATTTTAGTAGAAATGGACACCCTGATTCTAAAATTCATATGGAAATGTGAATGACCTAGAATGGCCCAAACTATTTTGGACAAAAATAACAGAACTGGAGAACTAGTGCTACCTGATTTCTAGAGCTTTTTGTTTGTTTGTGTGTGTGCGTGTGTTTTGTTTGTTTCTTTGTTTGTTTTTAAGAGACAGGGTTTTGTTCTGGTGCCCAGGCTAAAGTGCAGTGGCATCATCATAGCTCACTGCAGCCTTGACCTCCTGGGCTCAAGAGAGCCTTTCACCTCAGCCTTTCAAGTAGCTAGGGTAACAAGAGCATGCCATCACACCTGCTAATTTTTTTTTTTTTCCTGTGGCAATAGGGTTCTCACTGTGTTGCCCAAGTTGGTCCCAAACTCCTGGCCTCAAGCTGTCCTCCCACTTCAGCTACCCAAAGTGTTGTGACTGTAGGTGTGAGCCACCACACCCAGCCCCTCTAGACATTTTATAAAGTTACAGTAATTAACAGTGTTGTATTTGCATAAAGATAGACATGTGAATGGAATAGAATAGAAAGTCCATAAATAGGCTCACACATATGGACAACTGAATTTCAACAAAGATGCAAATGCAATTCAGTGGAGAAACAATAATTGCCCACAAATGGTGCTGGAAAAATTGGATACCCAGATGCAAAAAAAAGAACATTGATTCATACCTTGTATTATAAACAAACCCAAAATAGATTGTAGACCTGAATATCACTCCCAGAAAATACAAAACTTCTGAAAGAAAAAATACTGTGACCTTGGGTTTGGTAAAAATTTCAAAGATACAACGCCAAAAGCATGGTCTATGATAGAAAGGGTGGATAAGTTGGACTTCATCAAAATGTAAAAGTTCTAGCATTTCAAATAAGCTATTAAGAGAATGAAATGACAATTCTCAGACTGGGAGAAAACATTTGCAAAGTATATATCTAATAAAGCACCTATATCCATAATATGCAAACAACCCTCAACTCACTAAGAAAACAAAATGCACAATAAAATAATGGGCAAAAGATTTGGACACTTAACCGAAGAAGATATATGGATGGGTAGATAAGCTCATGAAAAGATGCTCATCATCATTAGTCATCAGAGAAGTGTAAATATCATACCATAGTGAGATAGCACTATTTGAATGGCCAAAATTAGAAAGATCGATCATACCACGTGTTGGTGAATATGTGGAGGAACGCGAAATCTCATACACTATTGATGGGACTGCAAAATGGTATAATTATTTTGGAAAGTAACTTGATAGCATCTTAAAAAGTCAAATATACATTTACCACGATTTCCAGCCATTCTACTATAGGCATTTACTGAAGAAAAATGAATGTGTTTGTCCACACACAGACTTGCACACAATAGTTCATAGCAGCTTTTTTGTAATAACCAAAATCTGTGAACAACCTAAGTGTCTTCATGATTTATCCATTCAAAAGAACACTACTCAGAAATATAAAGGAATGAACTATTAAAATACACAACATAGATCTCAAAATATTTATGCTGACTGAAAGAAGCCAGAAGAAAAGAGTATGTACACATGATTCTGTTTATATAAAACTCTCAAAAATGCAAACTAATCTATAGTGACATTAAACACATCAGTGGTTGTCTAGGAACAGAGGAGGACGGGAAGGAGGGATTACCAAGGAGCATGAGGAATATTATAGGAATCATAGACATGTTCACTTTCTTAATAGTGACAGTTTCAAATATGTTCTAATATGTCAAAACTTCACATTTTATACATTAAATATGTGCAGCTTAGCGTATGTCAATTATACCTTAAAGCTATTAAAAATCAATTTATAGTTTAGAAAAATGATCATGAAAAGCTTTAACATCATGGGAAAATACTTACAATGTAATATTCAAAGGTGGATAGTTTTGTGTAAATTATGTTTTAAGAAAAAGCCTGTGAAAAGCCTGTGAAGGAACAGTCCAAAAAATTGAGTGTAGTTTTCTCCTGTGTATATGTGTATGTGTATTCAGGATATGTAATTAAATATGGAAAAGAAAGTAGAAAGTTAAAGGTTATCCCAGATTCCATCATCCTGATTAATACTTTTTATCTGTAGATAAACAACATGCCAGGCCCCCCCGCCCCCTCTCTCTCTCTATATATATATGAGATTTAGAGCTGCTTTAATGGCCAAGAACTCTTTCTCCATTCTTTATTCCTCTACTCATCCTCCTGCTGTCACTGCTCTCGAAGAAGCTAGCCAGCGCCATCGGAAAAGGTGATAGTTGCAATCCGTGTGTGAGATGTGAGTGTAGGGGCCCAGGGGATCCCTTTTCCCCAACATACCTGTCTATCTGCTCGCTTAACCTGAGATTCCAAAATTCCTAGAGAATAAAACTTTTTTATTCTATAATTAAGTCGTTTTAAGCATGCAATCTCCTGAAAGAGGCAATAAAATAGTGCCTGGCCTTTCACATGTGCTTTCTCATTTGATCCTGACAACGCTATGAGATAGGTATTATTTCTTCCACTCTAAAAAGTGAGATCCAGAGAGGTCAGATACCCCAGATTGCACAGCTGGTAAGATGTAAAGCCAGCATGGCATCCTGGATCTGCCACGTTTCAAAGCTCAGTTGAAGGCAAGAAAGGATAGGGTGTTGAGAAGGCAGAAGTGCTGTCATGAAGGGTTGACACCTGTAGTAACTGTGGCCCCCTTAATTGGTCTGTCTCTGAACACAGGGACAACAGTGACACTTCAGTGTTGGCGGAAACATGCCTGCTTTTGAGTGCTCTAAAAAGGATGCCTGGGAATGGTGTTTAGCATGTGTCTTTAAACTCTTTCTAGCCATACCATCTGTTTCTCTGAGGCACATTTTCTCAATATTCATTTTGGAATGTAATGATGTACTAGCTTGTATTATATTTGATTTATAACTCTGTAACAAGGATGAATTCCCAGGCCTCAAAATTTAGGTGTGTAAGAAACACTTATCTTCATTTTATTTTATTTTATTTTATTTTATTTTATTTTATTTTATTTTTGAGATGGAGTTTTGCTCTTGTTGCACAGGCTAGAGTGTAATGGTGCGATCTCAGCTCACTGCAACCTCTGCCACCCCGGTTCAAGTGATTCTCCTGCCTCAGCCTCCTGAGTAGGTGGGATTATAGGCATCCACCGCCACGCCTGGCTAATTTTGTATTTTTAGTAGAGACGGAGTTTCTCCATGTTGGTCAGGCTGGTCTCCAACTCCCGACCTCAGGTGATCTGCCCTCCTTGGCCTCCCAAAGTGCTGGGATTACAGGTGTGAGCCACCACAGCTGGCCTATCTTTATGTTTATTATAACGTAATTTCTATCATCAGTACTTATATAATAGAAGACTTCCTTAGGGTAAAACATACAAGTAAAACTCAGTCATTTAAGGCTGAGCTCAGTTGTCATCCCTGTGTGGTAGCAGTACGTTTTCAGAAACTTCGTCGTATCATAGCATGGATAGGAGGGTGAGGAGTTCAGGGCTGTCATTTCTCTTAAACCAGCTTCTGCTGAGACTTTGTGTAGTCCCTGGGTGTGGTTGTCCCTCCCTGCTGACATCTGAAGTGTCTGAATTTCCCCTTAGTCTGTAATAATGAGGTCCTTGTGGGGTCCCTTCATTAAGACCCTGAATCCCCTTCAAATCCACTTGGTTTTAGTAGTGGAATGGAAGAGGGAATGGGTTCGGATTGTCAAAGAGTAAGTTATAATTTAGCTGTTTTACCCCATTACACTTGAGATAACATTGCTTTTCTCCAATTCCTACTTCTCCTTTGAATACTTTCTGTATCATTTGAATATACGGACACCTCTTCTTCATCTCACCTCCTTAATTCTCTGTGTCTAGACTGTACCAGATGGTGAATTTTATTGATTACACTTATACTAACATTGCTGTTTAGCTTACTAATTTGTTTTTCTTACATCCCCCAACTAGTTTGAAAGCTCGTGGAATCTCTAGACCAGAAATTAAACTTCTTGATGCCCTTCGCAGTGCTTAGCATATGACTGAGTGCACAGGCAGTTCTTAGTAAGTGTTGGCTGGATGAATAAATGAATGAATTTAAACTTTCTAAGTGTAGAGAATAAATCTAATATTTTTTTCTATATCCCCTATGATGTTTGACATAGTGTTAAACACTAAGCAGTCATAAACTATTTACTTAATTGAATTGAATTGAGAGCCATTTTATATTACTAGTTCTACATGTATTTCAAGTGTCTAACGAAGCCTCGAAAAACCAAGTCTGCTGCAGACTGCTCATTGGAAAATATTTTAAGCTATTGATTAAAATTGACTGGGAGAATTTTATACAATAGAGGAAATAAGTGTGATTACATACATGGCATGTCAGAGACAGGAAACAATACAAGACCAGAAGAATTTAAAATCCTGCTAATATTATTTGAAATGTATATTGTTTAAGTGGATATAAGCAAACAGTAGGCAGATGAATCTACTTCACTTCTCTGAAGGTATGGGAGAAAAAATGAACTAAGAAGATGATTTTCTTGAATTTATCTTTTGGTAGGGTTTTAGTGACTTTCTGTACTTGGGTTCATACAACAAATTTTTATCAAGCAACAACTATGGATAAATAATGCTTTCGACAGTTTTCAGAGATAACTTGAAAAAAGATGTCTCTTATTTCCAAGAATGTGTAGTCCTTGATGAAGGCAGGATGAACAGAAAGTACTGTGTGCAAAATGGCATTAATCAGAAGGCTCAGTGAGTTCCTTTGACATCACTGAGTAATATGATTGCTTATTCAGGCTGAAGGATTTGAGGAAGACTACACAAGAGAAATGGTATTTCATTGGATCTGGAATGATTACCAAGACTTTAAAGGGTGAAGAAAGGATGAAGAGAATTTCAGGAAAAGGGCATGTATAGAGGGTTAATATTTAAAAATAACATGTATGGGATCTGCTGATGTGCTCAGTTTGATTGCAGCATGTGGTACGGAGTGTGTGGTTGGGTGGTGTCTGATGTGGATTTGGCTAGGTTGTAGGGGCATTCATTTAGAGGCCAGTTTGGATTTATTGTAGTAGTTTATCAAGGTTTATGCCCTTCATTTCTCAAAAATTCTTTTTAGCCATCATATGGGAATAGTTAAGTGTGAATCTTCACTTTTTTTCTTCCTCTCTTGTCTGTTATAAAAGTAATATTTGAGCTGGGCCTGGTGACAGCCCATGCCTACAGAGACCAGCCTGGTTAAAAGAGTGAGACCTGGTCTCTACAAAAAACAAAAACAAAACAAAACATTTAGCCAGGTATGGTAGTGCATGCCTGTAGTCCTAGCTTTGAGAGGCTGAGGTGGGAGAATGGCTTGAGCCCAGGTGTTTGAAGTTGCAATGAGCTAATGATTGTACCACTGTACTCCAGCCTGGGTGACAGAGACCCAGAGTGATTATATATATATATATATTATATATATATATAATCTGTCTATATTATATCTATATTATATATAGATATATATAATATCTATATATCTATATATCTCTCTATATATTATATGTATTATCTATATATCTATATTATATATAGATAAATAATATATATATTTATGTTAAGTAATATTTGGTCATTGTTGGAAATATACAAGTATATAGAAAAAAATTAAGGCATTCATAATCTCACCACCCTCATCCCCAAAATAGCTCCTATTATCATTTATATATATGTATGAATATATATATCCTGTTCTTTTTAAAAGATATGTAATTTTCTTTTTAAACATTTTCTGTTTTTATGAATTCCTTTTTGTTTTAATCTCTGAAGAATTTAGACATATTTATTACAAAGTCCTTTTTGTGATTCCCAGTTTGGAAGTCTCTTACTTTCATGCTGATGGATTCTTACAGTTCGTAATTTTTGTCTGTGTAAGTTTTGTCTTAAGAGCACTATCTTCAGCTGGAGTCCAGTGTGTACTCTGGGTGGTGGCGGTCTTCCTACAGAGCACTTCTGCTTTTGCCTTTGTGAGATCCTTATGGTTTCGTTGGTTTCTTGGGTTCTGGGTTTCTTTAGGGGAGATGGTGTGAATTCAGGCTCCCCCTGACACCTAGGGCAGCTTTGGGGTTCAGATTTCTCCTGGGTGCCTTTTTGTTTTTTTCTATCTGTAGTATGTGTTAAGTATACCACTTTACAGACAGGACTGCCTCTTCCCAGTTTTGGCCTTTCTTTTCTACTTCTAACTTTCTGCTGTGTTCAGGATCTGAGGGTCTCACTCCCTTGAGTTGTGAGTGTTGCCCTACTCTTATGCAGCTTCCCACTTCATATCTGGCTCTGGAGGTTTCTTTTGCTTGCTCTAGATCATGTATCTATTGAAAATATTTAAAGATTTGTATTTTATTAAACATTTCTACATGTTTCCCTTGTCACCTCTGTCTAACCTGTCTTTTTTTCTTTGCACAGGTGTATACTTTAAACAAAGTTGGGAATATACTATACTTACTGATAATCTCCTTTTTGGAAACCTGATAGTATATGGTGAATTTTTTTCCATATTCTTTGAGAACATGATTTTTAATTACTATCTGATATTCCTTTTATTGGGAGATTTACCATATATTATTAAATAAATTCTCTATTTTTTAGAAGTTTAGGTTGTTTTCATTTTCCATTATTTTAAGTAAAAATGAAGTAAAGATCTATACCAAAATTTCTCTGCTCATTTTGGAATACTTCTGTAGAATAATTCCTACAAATGGAATTGTTTCATCAACATTTTTGAAGAAAGCCTTGTTAATTTGAGGCTTTTGAATCCATTGCTGCTAAATTGTGCTACAAAGTTTGTTCCAGTTTTCACCCCATCAGTGTGGTCTGTCAGTCTGTGCCCCATATGGCAGGGTCTCTGTTTCCCAGAACATATTATCCGATTATTATCCCTTTAAAAGTATGGTTAATTTTCTGAGCAAAACAATGGTATTAATATTTCATTGTTATTTTAATTTTCATTTAGCTTAATGGCCATTTAAAAATATAGTTTGAATAGATCTGTGATATTTTCAGCTTTGCAGCCTCGACCTCCTGGGAGCTCAAGTGATCCTCCCACCTCACCCCTCCAAGTAGCTGAGACTACAGGGAAGCACCATCACACTGGGCTAATTTTAGTATTTTTTGTAGAGACAGGGTTTTGCCAGGTTGCCCAGGCTGGTCTTGAACTCCTGGGCTCAGGTGATCTGCCTACCCCACCACCATCCTTCACCCAGTCCATTTCCCACCCAGGATTATAGGCATGAGCCTGTTCCCAGCCTTCTTTTGTTATTTGCTGTCTTCCTATTGCCTCCCAAAAGAGTTGGATCTTTAGGTGGAAGTTGTATTTGTTAAGGGCAATGATGGGTGAGAGAGGTTGCAAATTGTAGAAGCTGAGGAAAGAATTAAATTCCTTAACATAAGAAAAGCTGTTGAGATGGAGGTTGAGGGAACAAGGCCTTGGAGAAGGGGAGACTGGAGCCCAGAAAGGAAGGGCCAGGAGTTGTGTCAGGGTAGAGAGTTTTAGAGTGATCAGAGAGGAGGTGGCTCTCTTGCAGAGAAGAGCTTTGGAGAAAGATAGAACAGTTAAAGGAAATTTTGCAGTTTTGCCCAGTGGTGTGTAAAGTAAATTTTTCTTCTTGATTTCTCCACAAAGTCTTAAGCAAGATATTTCTTGTTAAATGCATTGCCAGGTTGGCTGTATTTGATAGGAATGCATTGAAGCTGTGGTTATGGCCTATGATGGGCATCAGATAAGAGCCAAATACTGGATGGAGAAAGGTCGAGCAGAAATGTACCTCCTGAAGTAGCCCTGGTAAGACTGAAGCAAGGCTACGCTCACTGATGACAAAAGGAGTCCAGTTTTTCCTCTTATATAAGTTCTGGGGTCCTAGTATACATCAAAGAATGGAGAGGGATCTACATAACAACTAGCATTGGTCTTCTAATACTGAGTATGCGTAGAGCTAACTTTGATTTAGTTTAGGAAAATAAGGAACATAATCTGGGAGTTATAGAATATATTAGTTGAATTCTCTTTAAAACTATCAACAGCTAAGATCTCCTACAGTAGTTCTGCTCTTGTTAATTTCTTCATTTCATTTTTTTTTTTTTTTTTTTTTGAAATGGAGTTTCGCTCTTGTCACCCAGGCTGGAGTGCAGTGGCATGATTTTGGCTCACTGCAACCTCCACCTGCTGGGTTCAAGCGATTCTCCTGCCTCAGCCTCCCAAGTTGCTGGGATTACAGGTATGTACCACCACGCCCAGCTAATTTTGTATTCTAGTAGAGATGGGATTTCACCATGTTGGCCAGGCTGGTCTCGAACTCCTGACCTTAGGTGATCCTCCCGCCTCAGTCTCCCAAAGTGTTGGGATTACAGGTGTGAGCCACTGCATCTGACCTCTTCTTTTATTTCTAAAGTTATACAACCCATGGCATATAAACATTAATGCCTATTATGTCTTAATTTTGGCTTGAACCTCTTAGGCCTGTAAAATGACAGTGGTTTTCTTTGGTAGGTTTTTTGTTTTTTGTTTTTTTTTGAGACAGGGTCTCACTCTGTCGCCCAAGCTGGAGTGCAGTGATATGATCATGGCTCACTGCAGCCTCGACTTCCCAGGCTCAAGGGATTCTCCTACCTCAGCCTCCTGAGTAACTAAGACCACAGGTGCATGTCACCACGCCTGGCTAATTTATTTTTATTTTTCATAGAGATGGGGTCTCTCTGTGTTGTCCAGGCTCGTCTCAAACTCCTGGGCTCAAGCGATACTCCTGCCTTGGCCTCCCAAAGTGCTGGGATTATAGGCGTGAGCCACGGTGCCTGACTTCTTTAGTAGTTTTTTATTTAAAGTCCTCTTTTGATGCGCATACTCTTACTCAGCATTGTCAATGACTTGTTCTGGAATGTGAAGCATATAATTTTACCCCTCAATCTAAATGCTGTTTTTCTTAATTGTGGAGTGAGGAGTGTTGACGGGACTTTATAACTGTTAGAAATCATTAAACTTGAGTGTCGTGATTCATTTATGAGGGTAACGTCATCTAATAATGAGGTAATGGATGTGGAACTGCTTTGGAAAGTATAAAATGCTTGATGAAGTGCAGTTATCAATTTTTCTAATGCCAAGATACTAGTGAGAAACAATTTCCAGAGTTGGTAGTGGGCACCACTTTACTCCTCCAGAAGCAAAAGGTATAATTACTTCATAGTTCTCTGGCAAATATCTGGTTTCCCTAAGGGGCATTCATCTTTTGCGAGTAGGAAAAACTCTAACCTATTTGGTGGAATCCTTCCAAACTCTAACCCGTTTGATAGAATCATTCAGTGGTGGCATTCAGACTATTAAAATAATTATAAAACATAGATTTATTAATTAGTTGTATTCTTTAAGTAAATTGTGTTAATAATTTGATAGTTAATTATTTGTTATGGCATTCTTTGTGATTGATATTTTTCAGTACCTTTTCAAATCCATAAACTATCAAAACTTAGGATTTTAGGAAATACTTCTATGAATCCTTGAAAAAACATGCATGTATAAGACAATTCCTTCTTTTGTCTTTTAATAGGGAAGGCCAGCGTTGGATTGTGTAGGTTGCAAAATGCAGTACCTCAGACTTGCAACTCTGAAAAGCACTGTTTGAAATCTCTGTAAAGAGTGAAAAACTTCAAGTTTTAACCAATGAGTGTTTTAGAGGTTAAAGTTTAAACTCTGACTTGGAAGCACGCTGGGTAGGACTCCTCTGCTCACTCAGACTCAAGTTGGATCATCAGAATCTCTCTTGTGTTGCTGTGAATGATTTGCATTGAAATTCCCAGCTAGAACTGGAGGAAAGAGGATTACAAACCAGGAGGTAATACCTGGGTTATTCCAGAGCACTTGGAAATGACTCACAGCTTCCTGCTCTCTGACAGTTCTTTAGTGTTGGTCTTGAGGCATTCATTCTGAATGAGATATTTGTCATTATGGGGAGTTACAGTCTGAGCATAATCTCTAATGTATAATTTCCTGTTACTAAATAATACATAGAAAATAGGAACAAGGTACTTTTTCAGAGGAAAAAAATATGATTTAAAAATTTGTGTCATTTTCACAAAGCTTATTTAAATCTTTTAATCCATTCCCTGAGTATCATAAGACAGGTCACATTCTGCCCACACTTCACCCTGGCAGTTCTGTACCGACAAGTCAGGTTCTAGGGCAGCTTCTAACAGGAGAAGGTCTTAGGGGGTACAACATAAGATGTAGGCATGGAAGGGGCTTGATGGAGACCACCAATATGAAGGTATTATATAATTAAGGATCTGGACTTAGCAGACTCCTTGGGTTCAGAGCCCAGCTCTGCCACTTATGTGAAGCTTTTGGTCTCAATTTCTTTAATTCTAAAGTGCGAACTGTAATAATATCAACCACAGAGAGTTGCTGTGAAGATTCGATGAGTCAATACATGTAGTACTTAGAACAGTGCTTGGCCTATAGTGAACGCCCATGAATGCCTGTTATTAAAGGGGTAAGGGAAGTCTCACTTGCTGTGTGTGGACTGCCACTGTGTATGAGGCATGAGTGCTGTCTTTTGTGTTTTTTGGATAGGGAGCTAGGGGGAGATTTTATGAGCCATGTTTATAGAACCTTCATGTGTTTTTGATTGGATGCAATGAGTTCAGGTCAGGAGAAGATTCTTAGGACGGCATGCTTGCATTTGCTTAGGATTCAGATTTAAAACTTCATCTTTGCTTCATGCAAATAAAAAGACTACAGAAGGCAAATGAGTATAGGAAAAAGTTTCTCCATAGCTTTAGGTCTTGTCTTCCTGATATCCCTTTACTACAGGCATGGGCATGTTGCTGAAGCTCTGCCAATCACACAACATCCTGGGAACTAGACTGTCATCCTCAGATAGCAGCAGAGGCATCTGGAGACAGTGCTGCAAAGCAGCACATCATAGTTCTTACTGTGGAGCTCTGTGGAGCTGTCTGGCGCCTGTTCTTTGGGAGTCTATTTCTTCAGCTCTCTCTTGATTCTTTGAGTCAATGCCCTGAATCTAGTTCATTCCTTTTTTGATAAATGTTACCAGAATCAGGTTTGTTTGTTGCTTATAGTGAAAATACCTTAATTGGTACAAATAGCAAGTAGGAAGATTAAATCTTTCCACTGTCAGTAGGTAAGGCAACACAGATGAAGCTAAGAGTCCTGGAAGTCATAGAAAATTCCTTCTTAGAAAGCATGGCTTGGAGGGAGTGAGAATATCCCTTCTTTTCTAAGGTACATAAGAAGAAATGCATTTTTGACCTATTCGGGTGGAAAAAGGGAGAGTCCTTAAGTTGGCCAATGTTGGCCTGCTCTAAATACAAGGTGTAGCATGTAGGTGTGTTTGGAGATGGGAGTGGTGATTTTTCATGTGCCAGATATGCAAATTACCAATAGTCAAAAAGACTAACGGAAAATTAAAGGCTTTCAGAGAAGTGACATTTTTTGAATAGAATCATCACCATCATTGCCACTGAGAAATTAAAAGTGATGTTGTTAACTAAAATCTATATTGTATTGCATCAACTTATCACCTTAGGAGTTTCTTTAGGATAATGGTGTATCATATTTCTTCTATACTTAAAAATTACAAGGTGATAAGTTGCTATAATACAATATAAATAGTCAAGAACTCCATTTGTCAGATTATGAGTGGTCTGTTGGGAAGACCAGTAAGGTTTTTCTCCCTTAGCTGGGGTTTGCATCTTTTGTAGTCTGCCTGTTCATTTTTCTTTTTCTTTTTCTTTTCTTTTTTTTTTTTTTCTTGAGACGGAGTCTCGCACTGTTGC
This sequence comes from Homo sapiens, assembly GCF_000001405.40. Taxonomy (NCBI): domain Eukaryota; kingdom Metazoa; phylum Chordata; class Mammalia; order Primates; family Hominidae; genus Homo; species Homo sapiens. The sequence continues at coordinate 142,647,544 of NC_000003.12, forward strand.
CCTGGCTGGAGTGCAACGGCACAATGTTGGCTCACTGCAACCTCTGCCTCCCGGGTTCATGCGATTCTTCTGCCTCAGCCTCCCAAGTAGCTGGGATTACAGGTGCACACCACCATACCCGGCTAATTTTTTGTATTTTTAGTAGAGACGGGGTTTCGTTATGTTGACCAGACTGGTCTCGAACTCCTGACCTCATGCCTGTTCATTTTTCAATTCATTTTTTCAGCCAATTGGTACCTATTCTAGAAAGCCTTCCTTGAATCTTCTAGTCAGATGATTCTTTCTTTCCTACTTATTTCATTCTAGACTGTACAGGGGTTCTAGTTCATTTTGAGAGCTGACTCTCTAGTAGGGGCTGTGTGGAGGACTGTGTTGAAAAGGGATCCTGAACCACTCAAGGCTCAGTGAGAAAGAACTGCAATTGGTGAGGGATGTCTGCAGTGGATAAGGGAGTCATGTGTTTGCCATTGCTGTCATCTTTGGTTCATTGACTCCCTTACTAAGTTGTAAACTCTTTGAGTCAGGTCTGTGTGTGAGTCACCATTTGATTGCCTCCAACACTTGGCACAACACCTAGCACCTTAGATGTTCTCAATAAATCTGTTCTGAAATGAAATGAGGGCAATGAAGGAAAAAATTCATGGTGGAATTTGAGCTTTGCTTTGAGTGGGGGTAAAGAACGGCTGTGAGAGAATAGAGTTTCTAGGGACAGGAAATGGCATGAAGGAAAGTTGTAGAACAATACGGAAGAGGCCTCAGGAGAAAGAGGAGGCCTTTTTCAGGATGTAGTGGGAAATCAAGATTGTTGAAAGGTTTGGAGTCTATAGGTAAAGGTTTAACTAAAATTGTTGCGGCTGTGATCTCATGAAGGAAATTGAAGTATAGTTTAATGGAACAAACTAAAAAAGACGAGAAAATTCAGTTGCGGGAGGCATCAGTTTTTGGAATATTTTCCTCCTCCAGGATTTGAAAATAGAGAATTGGGCAGCTTGTGTGATTATGAGTAGCAATATAGTGACATTATTATGGTCAACTGGAACTTCAAAACAATAATAAAAGCAACAAATAGATTTGATAAAGAAGCTCTCATTTCTAATGTTCCTACATAAGGTTTATTTCAGGCCAATTTTTTTGAGAAGCTGTACCTATGTTAGATATCTGACCATATATAAAAATGCCTGTACAAAAATGAATGGAGAGTTTTTAATTTCTTCAGCTTCATTCACTCCTGAATTGTCTGCCATACATCCTTCTTGTTCCCTTTGTGCTTTGAAAGCACATTATCATGCCACACAGCAAACTATAGTGTGGGTCTTACTGAGACCTGGGTCAGGCACCACTTTGGAAATCTAACTAACTTAAAGGGACTTGCCACTCAGTGTACCTGTTTTTGGTAGGATGTTGGATAAATCTGCAAACATCTTGGACATATATATATTTTTTACTCTCAGATACTAAGTAAATTGCTTTTTTCTCTTTACATGCAATACTTTAGAAGTTTCCTGATTTTAACGATTTATTGACTTTGTATGTCATTGCAGCTAGATTGCCCTGCCTTGCCTCATGTCAGAAAGACCTGCCCATTTCTCATAATATATTACTACTCACTTTGTCAGCTTTAGCTGAAGGTGAATTAAAAGTTAATAGGTACACAGGCTTGGTGGTACACGCCTGTAGTCCCAGCTACTCGGGAGGCTGAGGTGGATCATCTGAGCCCTGGAGTTCCAGGCTGCAGTGAACCATGATCATGATACTGCACTCCAGTTTGGGTAACAGAGTGAGACCCTATGTCAAAAAAAAAAAAAAAAAAGGCCAGGCATGGTGGCTCACGCCTGTAATCCCAGCACTTTGGGAGGCTGAGAAGGATGGATCACCTGAGGTCAGGAGTTCGAGACCAGCCATGACCAACATGATGAAACCCCATCTCTACTAAAAATACAAAAAATTAGCCAGGCATGGTGGCTCATGCCTGAAATCTCAGCTACTAGGGAGGCTGTGGCAGGAGAATTGCTTGAGCCTGGGAGATGGAGCTTGCAGTGAGCTGAGATCGCACCACTGAACTCCAGTCTGGGCAACAGAGCGAGACTCTGTCTCAAAAAAAAAAAAAGTGAATAGGAAGAATTTTTCTGAATGAAGGGAAAGGGAAGAAAAGGTACAAAGCAGTCATAGGTCTAGGTCTAGAGACCCTTAGGCTATGAATATAATCTTTAATACTGCTGATCAATGTGGGAGCAACTATAAACTGACTTCTGTGGTTCACTGATGCACTGAGTTTCTGGGATTAGGTGAGGTGGTGGTAAAATACAAATTATGACCAAAGTAGTGCCTATTATCTAGATATAAACTTACTTGGAAAGTATAATTATAGTTAATTTTCTTTCCCAATTCAGAATGCCCAAATATTCTCCATCCTTTGAGGAAGTGACTTGCCTCCCATTTTCTTCATGTAGATTGTTTGTTTTTGTCTCTATATATTCGTTTAGACACTTGTTGCTCAAAGCAATAGAAACCCAGTTTAAATGGCTTTTAATAAATTGTTTTGAGTAACCACCAAAAGAAAGAAAAAAACCACAGTGGGATTCAGGACTCTGAATTCATGACTACCCTGCCAGAATGTGTCTTGTCTTTACTGTTTGTTTTCTGCAGTGTTGGTTTTGGCTTCTTCTTCTTTTTTTTTTTTTTTTTTTTTTTTTGAGACTGAGTCTCGCTCTGTCACCCAAGCTGGAGAGCAGTGGTGTGATCTCACCTCACTGCAACCTCTGCCTCTCAGGTTCAAATGATTCTTGTGCCTCAGCCTCCTGAGTTGCTGGGACTACAGGTGCCTACCCCCATGCCCGGCTAATCTTTGTCTGGTTTTGGCTTCTTCTTAGCCTTGTGTTCTCTCTTTGTTGGAGGCATGATGGCTGCAGCTGCTCTGACCTCTACTTCCTCTCTGATTCAGGGGATCATGTGGGGATTCTCATTATATAACGCTTTACAAAAGCCTTGTTACGTCTTGTTGGCTCCAGCTGGATTTTATGCCTATTCATAAAGCAAAATCACTGTGGCTGGGGAATATGATGTGCTGCGTGGCTTGGACCTGGAACCTCAGCCAAAAATGGCATGGATGTATCATTACAGGGGGAACATCAGAACTAAAGTTAGGACTGTTGCCAGAAGAAGGGAAATAGTTTCTGAAGGAGAAAATAAAACATGTTGAGGAAATTACACTCGAAGTGTTAATACAGACATTATAATGATGGGGACTTGGGTAATACTCATGTGTTGAATTTTCCCAGAGAGCCAGAGAAGGCCTAAAGTGGCAGTAGGGGTAGGGGACAGTAGATGGGATATAAATACTAAATGAGAAGAAAAAGATCCTGGGATGCTAGGCAGGCCCAGTTGCCTGAGCTGGGAAAGTCTCTGTGGTTAATAGGCTTGTGACCTGCTGGCCCCTCATCTTTCAGAGGAGGTGACAATTGGAAATGCCCCTTATTGGGTTCAGGAATATGATGAGTGGTATAAAACTGAGGTTGGGTTTTGACAAATTTAGAGAGCAAATGTTTTCTTCTGGCCCTCAGTGAGCTAATTTGACAGAAGCATTTCTTTTTCTTTTTTCTTTTCTCTTTTCTTTACTTTTAAGAGATGGAGACAGGGCCGGGCACAGTGGCTAACGCATGTAATCCCAGCATTTTGGGAGCCCGAGGCAGGTGGATCACCTGAAGTTAGGAGTTCGAGACCAGCCTGGCCAACATGATGAAACCCCGTCTCTACTAAAAATATACAAAAATTAGCTGGGCATGGTGATGTGCACCTGTAATCTCAGCTTCTTTGGAGACTGAGGCAGGAGAATCACATGAACCCAGGAGGCAGAGGTTGTAGTGAGCCAAAATTGTGCCATTGCACTCCGGCCTGGATGACAAGAAAGGAACTCTGTCTCAAAAAAAAAAAAAAAAAAAAAAAAACCCAAAAAACAAAGAGATGGAGACAAGGGGGGTCTCACTGTCTTGCTCAGGCTGGATTCGAACTCCTAGCTTCAAGCAATCCTCCCACCTCAGCCTTTTGAGTAGCTGGGACTCCAGGCACGTGCCACTGTGCCCAGCTGATGGGAGTGTTTCTAAAGAAACACACAGCATTTCCATCAAGGCTCCCTGGGAGGCCAATGAATGAACAGAATCAAGAATGTGAGGAACCAAACTTAATAGACTGAAGGACTCATCTGGCACACACAGTGCTTTATAATAATTCAAATTGTTTGCCAAAGCTTAAAAATCAAATTTCACATAAAAATATTGATCTCTGACTTTCTTTGAAAAATCAGAAGATCTGGCAACCCTGGGCCTCATTTCTCTTGGCAACAGTCCACAGGAGTTCAGCAGTGGCTGCTCCTTGTCAGAGCCCTTCCAATCCCCTACCAGGCCTGAATCACACTTCTGACTTCCTGCCTGGCCCTTGTAGGCTTAGAGACATGGATGGGATTTCCAGGGGGTAGGCATTATGGACACATTAAGGAAGGGGTAAAGGTTGGGGAGTCAAATGGGGAGGGGCCTCTGTCTTCATCCAGGACTTCAGGAACCAGCAAGAATGTTCATGGCTGTAGATTGGAAGTCTTGCTGAGCTTGGGGCCGTGGGGCATCATTGTTCAGCAGGTCCTCAGAAGAACTGATTCCCACTTCGTAGATTCTAATTTCCTCAGCTTACAGGTTATCTATATTCACCCAATGTTGGATTTAGAGAAGACTTAAGGCTTTAGGAAAGTACTGGGGACTAAGTCATTCCCTTTCTTTCACCCCTACAAATAGTTCCAGTCAGTCTTCTATTGCTACTTTTTATTGTGCATTGGTCAGTAAATCCTACTTTGCACCTTTTATATATACTTTTAATCTAGTTTCCTATTTTCCAGCTAAGAAAACTTACTAACCTTGGCTCTACCAACAAAGAGGCAAAGATTTTTGTGCCCCTTGGACAAGCTGCAGTGAGGGAGCAGTGCCTGTGTCCTCGGAGGCATGGCAAATCCATTAGCGCATCTATCTGAGTGGAGCCGAGGGCACAGAGTAGGAGGCGGGGGAACCAAGGTGAGGCACGTTTCACATTGTCCCTCTTTGCCTAGGCCATCCCTTCAATATGTACTTCCTCACTGATCACTTGAAGTGTTTGGGTTTCAAAACTGAATAGCACCTGTTTGGTGTTAGCCATGGATAATGGGGAGAACTCTGGGATAAAGGCCTTGTGAGAAGAGGCTACGTTGTTGTTGGTTTTTGTTTGTTTGCTTGTTTGTTTTTGGCATGCTGATTTAACCATTCAGTAAGCAAGTCTAACTCTGCACGCTCATTCATTCAGTTGCACAAGTCAAATAACATTTGAACCTCTGTGTTTGAGTGACCAAATCCCATGTGTTAAAAAGTAAAGTCAGAGCTGTGGTGCCAGCAGCTTTGATTTCAGTATGTTGTCTTTCCTTGGGAAAGTTATTTCTTCTAAGTCCTTCTGTACAGCCAATTTTTGGGTCCGCGTCCATATTTTTCTTCACCAAATACTTGCTGAGTCATTGCATGTTTTTACATTGTTATTCTGGTAACTGCCGCCCCTGACTTGCACTTAGGTTTAATGAAGAAAGGATAATTTTGCTGCAACGTGAATCTCTCTCATACCAAATGCTTTTCCAAGAGCTTGTTTCTGTTTTCTTCACGTCTTTGGTCTTTGTCTTTCTCTTATTCTTGTTTTCTTTTAAACGCATGCACGTGAGTATGTGTGTACATATGCATATTCTTACCCACCCCTTTTAGCCTTCTCACATCACCATTCTATATGATACAATTGTCTTGGTTACAATTAGGTCAGAAACTTTTTTTTTTTTTTTTGAGATGGTCTGGCTCTGTTGCCCAGGCTGGAGTGCAGTGGTGTGATCTCGGCTCACTGCAACCCACACCTCCCGTGCTCAAGCGATCCTCCCACCTCACCCTCCAGAATGGCTGGGACTACAGGCTCAAGCCACCACGGCCGGCTAATTTTTGTATTTTTTTTAGTAGAGATGGGGTTTCACCATGTTGCCCAAGCTGGTCTCCATCTCCTGAGCTCAAGCGATCTGCCCACCTTGACATCCCAAAGTGCTGGGATTACACGTGTGAGCCACCATGCCTGGCCCTAGCTCAGAAACTTCTAACCCAAAGCCATATATGATATATGCTGAATAACTCCTATAATACGTGTATATAGTATAAAAAGAGACCCCTTTATATCCAGATTTAAACAGAAAGTGAATTAGAAGATGATTCTAATTTGTTCATCAAAGAGCAATAATCATAAGATTGTACTATTTACAAAAAATCAGTTTAAATTAAACTTTTCAGGCATTAACAGTTGAACCTGATAAGCACTATATTGTATGAGTATAGTTTTAGGAGAAACTGATTCTTACCCATCTTTATATCTTCATTTAGCCCAGCCAAATAGGATTTATTTGTTGAATACATGAATGAATGAATTTAAACTCCCTTACTAGGGGCCACATGTTGGGGCTTTTAAGTAAATAGTAGAAAAGTCTTGGTGGCAAGTCTGACAGCCACTGAAGGCCATCCCAAATTGCAAATGCATGGGAATATAATGACCGTGGCTGGTCATGGAGATGACCATGGTGGCGGCCCGTGTGGTGAGGCAGTAGGGAGGGGATGTAGGTAAGCCCTGTCTGTTCTCTGCTTTGCTAGAAGATTTCTTTGTTTATATATCTAGTGTTTGCACAAGAGGATCAGAACTTAAAAGCTTCACCTAGGGAAGAATGAAGGCTATATCATTAACTCCTTTGTAAAATGATTAGGAAAAAGTTTACAAATACTATTATTTTTTTGAGACAGAATCTTGCTCTGTCGCCCAGGCTGGAATGCAATGGCACAATCATAGCTCACTATAGCCTCAAACTCCTAGGCTCAAGTGATGCTCCCATCTCAGCCTCCCAAGTAGTAGGACTATAGGTGCGTACCACCATGCCTGGCTAACTTAAAATTTTTTTTCTTTTTTTGTAGAGACAAAGTCTCACTATGTTGCCCAGGCTGGTCTTGAACTCCTGACCTCAAGCAATCCTCTGGCCTTGGCCTCCCAAAGTGTGGGGATTACAGCATGAACCACTGCCCCTGGCCCAACAAAAATTATTTTGATAGATTTAGAAGAAACACCATGTATAAACATGTGGATTAAAAAATTTGAATGCTGTCAAATTAGTCTTTGTGCTTCCAATACACAGCACAGTAAAGAGGTACAGCAAACAAGTGCTCAATAAGTTGTTGTTGAATAAATAAATGGGTAAGTGAATGAAGAGAACTGGTTATTGACGTATAGAAACTCTTCATCTCCTCTTGTCAGTTGGTGGCACATTTCCCATAAACTGTTGTTTTATTTGGCCCTTTGTTATCTAGTACTCCTTATGCTCTGTGAAGAGAAATATTAGAGAAATATTACCTTTAATGAATTTTACTAACCTTTCCCCACATATACAACACAAGGCCAGTGGGAATATAAAAATATAAAATATCCTTTACCTGCAAGGAGCAAACAATGATAGGAAGGTGGGATGAAAATAAAATAGCAAAATAAGACCATTACAACACAACACATAACCAAGAATAAATTAATGTACATGAACGGAATAATACATAAGAAATGAAGACACTGAGCAAAGGAAAAGACAGAGGTGATGAAGTCTTATGCCAATGGGAAGGCGTTAAGGATATGGGGGAATCGGCCTTCCAAGCTGTCAAGTTGAGAGTGGAGAACAGAGACCGCATTAATTTGGCAATGTGGGGTATAATGAAATGGTAAATACTTGGGAAGACTGAAGCAGAAAAAAGTCCCAATGTTAAAATAACAGTGTATTGTTATTTTTTGTTTTTGTAGGAGATTGTCAGGCCTCCCTTTAAGAGATCACAAGCCGGGCACCGTGGCTCATGCCTGTAATCCCAGCACTTTGGGAGGCTGAGGTGGGTGGATCGGCTGAGGTCAGGAGTTCGAGACCAGCCTGGCCAACATAGTGAAACTCCGTCTCTACTAAAAATACAAAAAATTAGCTGGGCGTGGTGGCGGGCGCCTGCAATCCCAGCTACCAGGGAGGCTGAGGCAGGAAAATCGCTTGAACCTGGGAGGTGGAGGTTGCAGTGAGCTGAGATCATGCCATTGCACTCCAGCCTGGGCAACAAGAACAAAATTCCGTCTCAAAAAAAAAAAAAAAAAAAAGATCACAAAAGAGTTAGTCAGTTTGGAACCAGTGTCACTTTACCCCCGGTGCGCTGTTCCTGGCTTAACACTTCATAATGGTGCATAATTGAAGTTCTCGAGGTCTCTAGGATTGTCTAAGCATGTGGGAAATTATTTTATGTGTTTGAAAATAAAATTGTCTTTTTAAAATAGCCCAGGATTTGGCAAATCCAGGCTGTTGGCAATCAAATTAATTACTTTTTTTTGTTTGTTTTTGAGATAGAGTCTCACTCCGTCACCCAGGCTGGAGTGCAGTGGTGCAATCTCAGTTCACTGCAACCTCCACCTCCCTGGTTCAAGCAATACTTGTGCCTCAACCCCCCAAGTAGCTGGGATTATAGGTGCATGCCATCAGGCCTGGCTAATTTTTGCATTTTTAGTAGAGACAGGATTTCACCATGTTGGCCAGGCTGGTCTCGAACTCCTGACCTCAAGTGATCTGCCTGCCTTGGCCTCCCAAAATGCTGGGATTACAGGCATGAGCCACTGCACTCGACCAATTTTTAAGAAAAGTTTTCTATCATAGCTGTCCCTTGTGAATGAATGAAAAAGTTGAGCTCAGTTATTTTAGTGCTGAAGGATGCTCAGGAAATCTTTGAATTATATTGCACCATTTTCATATATTTTACCCTTTGTCCAAAGGACAGTCAAGGCTGTTATGTAGAGTAGGAGACTAATATTTAACAAAATAAATGATATCCCAATTCATACTTATATTCAACAGTCAGTAGACATTCCAGTTAAAGAAAATCTGATAAAAAATGGACAGGTTGATATGGAATATGAATACTTACTTTTTCCAAAATGAATGATACAGCTCCCTGTTGTGAAATGTTGTTGAATAAGGAGATTGCTAGACATATAGATGAAAATATTTTCCAGGTTTTCCTTTAAACTAGAAGGAAAATTCTTCAACTATTTCATAGCTGTTTTTTTTCACATAGTGATTTATTTCAGTGACCTTGTGATCTGTAAACTTGTAATGGAGGGCTGAAAATGGGAAGTAACATAGGAAAAGGGAAGGGCTGTGGTGAGAGAGACAATAATTTGCAAAGAAGAAGAGGACATGGGGTACCAGTAGAACTTCTACTCACCAGAGATACTGAAATATTCTAGAACCTCTGATCTCAGTCAATTCTCCATAGGAACACTATCAAGTCTTTTTCCATAAAAGTCAGATAAAAGAAAGATCACATTTCTTGATATTCTTTGAAGCAACTTTATTTTTATTGTCATGCTTCATCCTGCCCGAATACTGCCAAGTCTTTCTCAGGCACCTGGAATCTGCTCCTCAGCCTCTGTTGTCCTGGGTCTAATGTAGAGCAAAAGGCTGAGAGGAAGCTCTTCTATTCTCCATCATCGGTCTTCAGTGGCTACCTGGGAAACACCCCTTGGCTTAGTCGGCAGATTCTCTCCGGTGAGGTTCTGTTGCACCTGCCACTCCTAGGGCAGCAAGCAGCAGTCTTACTTGCTGGCACCTAGAGATTTCCCTTCCTCCCTGTGGGGGCAATCTTTCCCTCTCACTGCCTTCCTCATCTAGTGGTTTCTCAGAGGTGGCCTCTTCCCCCTGATCCGATTGCCAGGACATCCAACCTAAGTAAGCCCTCTAGGAGGTTCATGCTTCTTCCCAAAGACTGAGGGAACCACAGATTCTAGCCTGGTTTTGCCTTCTGTGCTGCCAGAGTCCCTCAGATAAGAAAGTGTTATAGTGTTATTGCTGTTTTGTTTTGTTTTGTTTGTTTGAGACGGAGTCTCACATTGTCACCCGAGCTGGTGTACAGTGGCGCGATCTCTGCTTGCTGCAACCTCCCCACCTCCTGGGTTCAAGCAATTCTCCTGCCTCAACCTCCCAAGTAGCTGGGACTATAGGCGTGTGCCACCACACCTGGCTAATTTTTGTATTTTTAGTAGAGACGGGGTTTCACTGTGTTGGCCAGGCTGGTCTCAAACTCCTGACCTCATGATCCGCCCACCTCGCCCTCCCAAAGTGCTGGGATTTCAGGCGTGAGCCACCACGCCCAGTGTGTTATTGCTTTAATTGAGGAGGAAAAAGAATAAACACAATTTAACATTTCAATAAATTATTCTCCCACAATAATATTAATTATTTTAATTTCTCAAGATTGAAGTAGTTAAGTTTCCTAAAGCCTTGGTAAAATTTCCCCTGTTCAAAAACATATTCTTGGTCATCTTTATTTTTTATTATTTTTATGGCTTGATTTTCCTTTATTAGTGGCTTGTGGCTTTGGATTAAGAAGCATCCTTTTTTCTCTTTAAGAATAATTTTTTATAATATGAATTATTTAAAGCAAAAGACTAAAATACAGAATCAATATAACCTATGTCCATGTACTCACTTCCTAGATTGAGCAGACATTAGCATTTTGCCATAACTGCTTCAACTGTATCTTTAAAAAATATGTAACAGGCTGAGGACATTGGCTCATGCCTGTAATCTGAGCACTTTGAGAGGCTGAGGCAGGCAGATCACTTGAGGTCAGGAGTTAGAGACCAGCCTGGCCAACATGGTGAAACCCTGTCTCTGCTAAAAATACAAAAAAAATTAGCCAGATGTGGTGATGGGTGCCTGTAGTCCCAGCTACTCGGGAGGCTGAGGTAGGAAAATTGCTTAAACCTGGGAGGCAGAGGCTGCGGTGAGCTGAGATCATGCCACTGCACTCCAGCCTGGGCAACAAAGTGAGACTTTGTCTCCAAAAAAAAAAAAAAAAGATGTAACAGATTCAGCCCTACCCTGCAAGCCCTGCTCCTTGCCTCCCTCTACATAGACCACCACTATTCTGAATTTGTTGTGTTATTCTCATGTATGTTTAAGTTTTACTACATAGGTATGGGATCATAAGCAACATATATAGTATTTTGTGTTTTTATAATTTATAATAAATAGTATATTGTATGTATACTTCAGCAGTTTGCTTTTTTCATTTAGTATGATTTTGAGAAACAGATGTGATTCATTTGTTTTACTGATGTATACATATTGATTAAATAGTAATGTAAATATAGTTGGAAGAATTAACACTTTACAGGCTTGGTTTACTGGTTATTCACATTTTAGTGTTAAGTAGTCATCATTCCTTTCTTTAAAACTAGTTATGATGCTTGCCGTGAGAGAGTAGGAATGCTAATTGAACTACATGTAGAACTTAAGAACTTGGGCACTAGAAAAACATTTGCTTTTGAATCTCTTATTTTGTCTACCTTCCTTGGGCAGGTCACTTAATCTCTGTAGGCCTCAAATATACATTTTTAAGGGATGATGCTTGTACCATCAGTAGAGCAGATAAATGCGTAGTGAGCTCATGCATGTGAGGAGGTTAGCACAGTTCCAGACCCATTGAAAGCCCTCAATAAATATTTGCCATTATATTTCATATTTCTAGACGAGGAAGAATAAAGGAAAAAGGAAATTTTGGAGGATGGATAAGGGGAAAAGCTGGCTGACCCGAGTCAGGGGCTAGCTTGAGAAGTCAGAATTTCAAGTGACCTGTGACAGGGCCACTGTGGAAGATGGGAAAATAGAATAGCTGGGAAATGAAAAGGTGCCTTTGTGGAAAGCTATAAATTATTTCACTATTTTAATCATAGATTTTGCTTTGTAAAGAAACATAGGTGCTCTTATTTAAAATGGTCACTATAGGTACTGTATATATAATTTTATCATTATCAGTATTCAGTAATGTGTATCTTTAGACCACTAGTATTTGTTTCATTTTTTTTAAATGTTTTACCAAAATTGCCTTTGCTTTTCAGTTATTTGTTTGTTTTGGTAGGCTGATAGTCTAAAAAACTGAATACAAAAAGCATATAATGAAGAGTAAGCCTCTTCCTAGTCTGCCTCAGTCTCCATTTCTCCTAGAGGATCAGTTCCTCTTCCACTTTTCTTTTTTCTTTTTTTTTTTTTGTTGTTGTTTTGTTTTGTTTTGTTTTTTGAGATGGAGTTTTGCTCTTGTTGCCCAGACTGGAGTGCAATGGCGTGATCTTGGCTCACTGTAACCTCCGCCTCTTGGGTTGAAGCAATTTTCCTGCCTCAGCCTCCTGAATAGCTGGGATTACAGGTGTGTGCCACCACGCCTGGCTAATTTACTTCCACTTTAAGCACGAATCATTTTAAGTGGAACCTTCTTTCATCAATTAAAGCCTCTTTTTTCCTTGCCTAATCCTCAAGTATACCGTGACACAACCAAATATATATTTGGAAAGTTAAAGAAGCACATTCTAAAAGAGACTTTTGAAAATTTAGATAAAATTGGATTTGATCTTTTATCCTCCCTCAGATTTCTTCCTTGAGCCTTTTAAAAGTTTACCAAAGTTAGTCCGAGCAGTTGTTTATGATTGGCAGAATCTAAAACCCTTCTTAGAACAGTTTCAGGAAAAAAAAGGCAATAGAAACAACCCTGAATTGCCATGAGACTAACAACGTAAAAATCACAACTGTTACCATTTTTTTGTACCCTTCCAGAAAATGTTGTATAAACATACAGCTGATACCATCACTCTCCCTGCCACACTTACTTTTCTGTATCTTGTTTTGTTTTTTTGAGAGTACAGATGCTCCTTAACTTAGAGGAGTCCCATTCCAATAAACCCGTCCTAAGTAAAAAATATATTTTGTATACCTAATCTAGTGAACGTCATAGCTTAGCCTTGCATACCTTAAACATGCTTAGAATGCTTACAGTATCCTAAAGTTGGGCAAAACTTTCTGACAACGTGGTAAATGTAGAGTATTGGTTGTTCACCCTTGTAATCGTATGGCTGAACGTGGCTCACCACCTCTGCCCAGCATGGTGAGAGTATCATACCGCTCTCTGCTGACTGTGTGTAACTTCCACACCATTGTGAAGTTGAAAAATTCTAAGTCAAATCATCGTAAGTTAGGAGCTGTCTGTATACAATCTTGAAGATCCTTTTATATTTTTCTGTTTGTTTCATTTCAATGCCAAAGGATTCAAAGCAACATCTTTACACTTATTAGCTATAAAAACAAAGCTTTAAAGATAGGAAACAACGTTGTATGGGTAAATTGCTTTTTTGATAAGTTTACATGGTGCTTTTGCCTGGTTATAGGAGACTAAAAACATTTTATGTAATTAACAAATTATATAAATTTGAATAGGCATGAGCAAAGAATATAACCCCAGTTTTATTTTTATCATTTCAAATGCAAGGTCAACACAAACACTGTTAATTTGCAGCCTTTCTGTGGAGTGCAAATGCTAAAATTGGGCCCCTATTTTTAAAACTTGAGGCAAGGGATAGAAAGCATTTTGAATACAGGAAAGGATATGCAGGATGACTGAAACCACAGAGATTCAAAGCCAGCCACACCACAAGTAGCATTTTGCAGACCCAGGGAATTATGCTTAACAATCCTAAAAAAACTATTTAATCTCTTTGAACACAAAATAAGAATGTCTGTAAATAGTTTTAAATATAGTAAAGCTTTCTAAAGGTGAGAATCCAATGAAATGAGTATTTAATGCTAAGATGTAAGAAACTGCATCTGGGGAGTAAGATGACTTCTATTTACTCCTTTTTCTACTGACTTGAGCTCTTTAGAATTTTTTAAAAAACAATGTAGAATTAAATAGCGGACAATAGTATATTTAAAATAAGACCAAAAGATTAATTGCACATTTAATTAGAACCAGGCCCCAGAAAAATTGTAAGAGATAGAAATCTGTGATTTTGAAAGAACACCAAAATTCCTGAATAAATTTGTGTACAGATCACAAATGAGCCATACTCTTAGAGGGCTTCACACAATTTAATTTTTCAATGATCAATGAAATTTCAGTGAATAAATTATTTTGAAAATTGATGTGCTTCACTGAAAAATTAGGGATGATATTGAACCTTCTATATAAATACAAGTTTATAAAAGTGTATAAAAAAGAGGATTTTCCACTTAGCTTCAATTCCTATTGTTTTATAAAGCACTTGTTTTCACTTATTTTCTGAGGCACATATTAACTGTCTGATAGAACTAAGTGTTTATGAGAAATACAATATAATTCGTATTCATCTTTAGCTTTACACTGAATAGAAAAGCCACTAAGTCATTTTAAAAATAAGAGTTGTGGCTACTCTGTCTATGGAGTAGCCATTCTTTTATTCCTTTACTTTCTTAATAAACTTGCTTTCACTTAAAAAAAATAGGAACACTCTTACACTGTTGGTGGGAGTGTAAATTAGTTCAACCGTTGTGGAAGACAGTGTGGCAATTCCTTAAGGATCTAGAACCAGAAATACCATTTGACCCAGCAATCCAATTACTGGGTATATACCCAAAGGATTATAAATCATTCTACTATAAAGACACATGCACACGTATGTTTATTGCGGCACTGTTCACAATAGCAAAGACTTGGAACCAGCCCAAATGCCTATCAATGATAGACTGGGTAAAGAAAATGTGGCATATATACACCATGGAATACTATGCAGCCATAAAAAAGGATGAGTTCATGTCCTTGCAGGGACGTGGATGAAGCTGGAAACCATCATTCTCAGCAAACTAACACAAGAACGGAAAACCATTCTCACTCTGTATGTTCTCACTCATAAGTGGGAGTTGAACAATGAGAACACATGGACACAAGGAGGGGAACATCACACACCAGGGTCTATTGGGGGGTAGGGGCTAGGGGAGGGATAGCATTAGGAGAAATACCTAATGTAGATGGTGGGTTGATGGGTGCAGCAAACCACCATGGCACATGTATACTTATGTGACAAACCTGCATGTTCTCTGCACATGTATCCCAGAACTTAAAGTATAATAAAAATAAATAAGAGTTGCATTGCTAGATATCAGAAGTCTTAAAAATGTAAGTAATTCTACTTTTAGATATTTATCACACAGAATAAACATGGAGAAGAACAAAGATTTATCTGCAAGGATGTTCATTGAAGCATTATTTGTAATGAAAAATTAGAAGCAGTACAAATACTCTGAAAGAGGGGATTTACCAAATAAGTTATGATATAGTAATATGTAGCCATTAAGTATTATGTTGATGAACAACATGAAAACATAGTGACAATGTGTTAGTACCAACAAAAAGGTTATAATATTGTATGGTCACATTGTTCTCACCCCCAAAAAGGTACACATGTGTTTTGAAAGTAGGTCAGAAGGGGGCCGGGCTCAGTGGCTCAGCGTCTGTAATCCCAGCACGTTGGGCGGCTGAGGTGGGTAGATCACTTGAGGTCAGGAGTTCGAGACCAGCCTGGCCAACATGGTGAAACCACGTCTCTACTAAAAATACAAAAATTAGCTGGGCATAGTGGCACATGACATGACTGTAATTCCAGCTACTGGGGTGGCTGAGGCAGGAGAATCGCTTCAACCTGGGAGGCTGAGGTTGCAGTGAGCTGAGATCGTGCCATTGCACTCCAGCCTGGGTGAAGAAGTGAGACTCTGTCGCAGAAAAAATAAAAAAAGAAAGTAGGTCAGAAGGATAAAGACAACAAAATTATATTTGTTGATATTTCTGGATAGAAGGATTATGAGTAATGTTAATTTTCTGTTTGGGACATTCATTATCAATTATTTTCTGCAGTGAACACACACCACCTTGTGACTTTTCCTATAGCCCAGTTTTACATAATTTTTTCCTCTTTAGTTTGTCTTACTCAGAATACAAAAGCCCCCTTGCCCCCAACTTTCGAAGGCCAAGACAGGAGGACTGCTTAAGGCTAGGAGTTCAAGACCAGCCTGGACAACATAGTGAGATCCTGTCTCTACAAAAAACTTAAAAAATTAGCTGGGTACAGTGGCACATGCCTGTAGTCCTACCTATTCAGGAGGCTGAGGTGGGAGGATCACTTAAGCCTAGGAGTTCGGGACTGCAGTGAGCCACAATCATGCCATAAAAAAGAAGAGCCCCACAGACCCTCAGAGACTTCACATGGGGTAGGGGAAAGAATGTGGCAGTGGTTGGATATTGTAAAGCTGAATGTTAAAACCACAAATCCCATTATAAGATAAGCAGATGCTGAATTCACCTTTTTTGTAGACATTATTCGTGTCTTAAAAAATTTTACTTTCTGACCTTATGCTGTACATTTATAAATGCTATACTTTTCTCAAACTTGAAATGCAATGCTTATTTTCTTGAAATCGTGGGGTAAAATGCAAATAGAAATTATTAATTCATTAGGCTATTGAGAAATATCTGTGTAAAAGCACAAGGTGAGAAAAATAGGTGTTTCTTCCCCTTACTGAGTCTCAGTTATAGTTTGGCTGGCCTATGCTGAGAGATTGTTACCAGGGGACCTACTCATATTTGTTCTTTGTCAGCCAGATCTCATAGATAATTCCTCCTAGAGAATGTACTTCCTCTGTACCTTATATTGCTTAGTTAAATGTTTCCAAAGGCTTCATGCTTTTTTTATAATATTGCTTTTTCTAGATATAAAGACCTGAAGATAGTCTTTTCTGTCCAAAGATGGAAAACAGTACTACTACCATTTCTCGGGAGGAGCTTGAAGAACTACAAGAGGCATTTAATAAAATAGGTATGCTTGAGAAAAAGTAAATATGATATTACTGGTCTGCTTGATGTCAGACTTCAGGAATGGAAAAATACCTTTTATTTCATCTACCACCACCCAATTACCTCCAGATTTATTCCTTTTTTTCTATCTAGGTTTCACTGGATTCTTTCTTTCTGAAAGATAAGCTACGACTAGCTTGAATTTCTAGGTGAATTGGACTTTGAATTCTTTGATCATTTCTTTGCAGAGAGTAATCCAGGTTAATGAATGACAATGTAACTGAATACACTTTACACGGTATCCTTATTACAGAGAAAAAAATATAAAAATACTTCCTTGTGTATAAACTGAACTCTGGCCTTCACATCTTTGCACTAACAATAACACTTTCTGACTTCATGCAGAATATTTTTAAAATCTCAGTATTGTTTTTAAATGCCATATGTCTTATTTTCCTTCTCCCACATGCATAATTTAGAAAGTCTTAGTATTGTTTTTAAAGGCCGTATGCCTTATTTTTCTTCTTTCACTTTTTATAGCCATTTAGTGTTTTGTCTTTATGACATTATCATTTTGACAGTTTTGTATTTTTCTTCCAAAAAATTTTCCTCATACTCTGTTGGATCTCAATTCTTCTGCAATTTGCTCTTAGGAAACCCATGGTAAACAGGAGAATATAAATACCTTTTTTTTTTTTTGCTTTAGTTTGCAAATGCATGCAAGTGAAAGGTGAACCCAGTGAAAGGTGAGCACAGTGAATAGACATTGGGATAATGACACCACTATGTTTGCCCCTTACTCATCAAGCTCATTCTCTAGTGTAATAGAGCCCTCCATGAAAAACAGTCATATGGTAGATCAGGGAGGAGAAAATGATCACCGCTGGTCTTGTGCTTAGATTTCTCACAAACCTAATAACGACTAAAATTAATGTGAGTAAAATATCATGCAACATGAGTTTTATTGACCAATACAAAGAAAAACGATATGTTTAAAAAAAAAAAGCACTCCAAAAAAAAAAAAAACCAAAAAACTGTGAAACTCAGGAAGCTCATGTTTTACAAATCATTACTGTGAAATAAAGTAAACTAAATTCTACAAATCTCTGGGCTCTTCCATTTCTCCCTGGGAATGGCATATTTGTCATTAGAGCATTGTATGAATATGGTATGATTTTCAGAAAACAATCATACATTTTATAGAGAATTGTATGTAGTGTCCAGAATCTTTTCAAAACAAAAACTGGGCAATTGTTGAAATGTTCTGCTCATTCTGAGCATTGAAACAGAGGAAGTAATAAAAATGTATCTCGTAGTTTGATATTTCTGTTATTTTATAGATGCAGTTTTGTAGCTTGAATAAAAGTTCTACCCAGGTCTTGGTAAAATAAATGAATTAGTAATATATTTGCTTTGTTTAGCACAACAACTTTAATCTTTGACTCATGAACATATTAATATAATCTTGCAATATTTATTTAATGATATATTGAATAAACAATTCACTGATGGAACAATTTTTTTTTTTTTAACAAAACCTTGTGTTGAGGGCTGACTTTCAATAGATTGTAGTGAGGGAGCTGCTCTGCTAGGTACAAAACCCCAACCCAGAAGCAGGTCCTTGATGGAACAATTTTGAGAGCAAGATAATTTGTTCTGTTTGAGCAAAGCAGTAACACTAGCAGAATAGGTACTTGCTGACTTTATTTAGGAGGTAAACTGCTACTCTGTGAACTCAGAAACCTCTCTGCTAATTTGTAGCACACTTTTCTCAAGGATAGAGGAACACGGCCATCCAATGTTATTAGATGGAGTATTTGGGGGCCACTGGGGAGAAGGGGGAAGTTGAAATATTTCTCTGTATTGTTTCTTTTTGAAATTGTGGTAAAATATACATAACAGAATTTACCATTTTAACCATTTTTAAGTGTATAGTTCATTAGCATTTAGTACATTCACATTGTTCTACATTCATCACCACCATCCCTTTCCCAAACTGAAACTCCATATCCATTAAACAATAACTCCCAAGCCCCAGGTGACCATCATCCTACTTTCTATATGAGTGTGACTACCCTAGGTACCTCACATAAGTGGAATCACATAATATTTGTCTTCTTGTGACTGGCTTATTTCACTTAGCACAATGTCCTCATCAACAGCTTCATCCATGTTGTAGCCTGTGTCAGAATTTCCTCCCTTTTTAAGGTTGAATAATATTTTATTGTATGTATATGCCACATTTTGCTTATCCATTCATCCACTGATGGCCATTTGGGTTGCTTCCACCTTTTGGCTATTGTGAATAATGCTATGAACATGGGTCTACAAATACCTGTTGAAGTCCCTGCTTTCAATTATTTTGAGTGTAAACATAGTAGCGGAATTGCTACATCATGTGATAATTCCATATGTAATTTTTGGAGAAACTACCATACTGTTTTCCATAGTGGAGGCACCATTTTACATTCCCACCAGTGGTGTACCAGGGTTCCATTTTCTTCACATCCTCACCAACACTTGTTTTCTGTTCTTTTGGATAATAAGCATTCTCCTAGGTGTGAAGTAGTATCTCATTTTATTTGCATTTTCCTTATGACTAGTGATGTTTAGCATCTAATGTGCTTATTGGCCAATTGTATATCTTCTCTGGAGAAATGTCATTTCAAGCCCTTTGCCTATTTTTGAATCACGTTGTTTTGTTGTTGTTGTCGAGTTGTAAGAAAGTCCTGTTTTCTTTTCAAACTGTGATCTTTATGGTTATTTAACTTAAGCCTTTATTTCCTCACCTTTAAAATGGGAATGACATTAGTAACCACCTCAAAGTTGTTGTAAGAATTTCATGAGATGGCCGGGTGCGGTGGCTCACGCCTGTAATCCCAGCCCTTTGGGAGGCCGAGGCAGGCGGATCACAAGGTCAAGAGATTGAGACCATCCTGGCCAACATGGTAAAACCCCATCTGTACTAAAAATACAAAAGTTAGCTGGGCGTGGTGGCATGTACCTGTAGTCCCAGCTACTTGGGAGGCTGAGGCAGGAGAATCGCTTGAACCTGGGAGGCAGAGGTTGTAGTGAGCTGAGATTGCACCACTGCACTCCAGCCTGGCGACATAGCGAGACTCCGACTCAAAAAAAGAATTTCATGAGATAAGTCAAGTTCTTATCGCTCCACTGCACTTCAGCCTGGCGACAGAGCAAGACTCTGTCTCGAAGAAAAAAAGAAAAAAACAATTTCATGAGATAAGTCAAGTTCTTAACAAGTCACTTGGCTAAGCATATATGTGCATTAGATGGTTTCTATTAGTTCTTGTCATGTCACACCAAAACCACAGAGGGCCTAGGGATGGAGCCTGGGAGCTTAAGCCCCCATATCTGTCTTCAGAATCCTAGCTCTTAACTAATCCTGTTAGTTTAACATGATCGTTATTAGGCAAATAACTTCCTCAGTCTTGTTTATTTTAAAATATTTCCTGCTATTATGCTGGTTTAGAAATAAGCCAGCCTAATCTATGTGTGTATTTCAGAATTATGGGAAACAGTTCTGAACTGGTCATGTAATGAGATTTTTCTCTAAATTCAAAGAAAGCAATATTATTGCAATATCAAGCAACTTAGCTTCCTAGCTGAATTTTGCAATTATACCAATATTTTGGTTATTGGTGGTTCTAGTTTAGAAATATTCTATCATTCTGAACAGTATTAATTCTAAAACTTTCATATGAGAGTTCCAAAGAAAAGTTTCTATCCTAACCATTAATTCAGTTAGTATAGCAGCTCTTTTATTAAGAAGAACAAGAAATATAGGAAACAAAGCAGCTATTAGCAGATGAGCAAAGAGAGCCTATACAAGGTGGATCCAGGCAACAAAACAGTGCAAAGCTCTGCTGTCAACTCTGGGCAGAAGCGTTTTGTGTTGCCTTTGTTCTGAGTCAAGAAGTGATACCCGGCCTCTAGGGAAAACCTAGGGAAGGGCATCTCTCAATGATGCCATGACATGAAAACACCTGGAAACCTGTTTCCCAAAGTCCAAATATAGGTGTGAATTTCTTGAACACCTAATCTCAAATGACATCAAGCATGATTCAGCATACGTAATGGTATCATGAATACATAATGAAGAAGCAATGAATTATTGACAGATGAAACAGAACTGCCACCAAATGAAACGTAGAACACAAATGCCTTATGCGTATTTTACACAGCGCATGTATTTTATATGGAATGTGGGGTCAGCAGATTTATTTTCTAAATTCCCTCAAGAAGTTAAAGTCTGAGTGGGTGCTCCCTTTTTAGCTATCTGTGACTTCCCCATGCTTATTCCTTTTTTTTTTTTTGAGATGGAGTCTCGCTTTGTTGCCCAGGGTGGAGTACAGTGGCGCAATCTCGGCTCACTGCAACTTCTGCCTCCTAGGTTCAAGTGATTCTCTTACCTCAGCCTCCTGAGTAGCTTTGATTACAGGTGCCCGCCACTATGCCCAGCTAATTTTTCCATTTTTAGTAGAGATGGGGTTTCACCATGTTGACCAGGCCGATCTCAAACTCCTGACCTCAGGTGATCTGCCTACCTCGGCCTCCCAAAGTGCTGGGATTATAAGTGTGAGCCACTGCGCCTGGCCCCCCCCATGCTTATTTCTTTGATGCTTAGTCATGTGCTAAAACTGGGTTTTCTATCAGAGCAACAATACCCTTAAAATATATATGGTGGCCCTAAATCTATGGGGATAAACTCGATTTAAATATATACAAAGTTTTTGTTTTGTTTTTGTTTTCGTTTTTTAAGAGATGGGGTCTCACTCTATTGCCTAAGTTGAGGGGCAGTGGTGCGATCATAGCTCACTACAGCCTCGAACTCCTGGGCTCAGGCAGTCCCCTCACCTTAGTCTCCCAAATAGCTGGAACTACCAAGCCTGGCTTAAATACGAGTTTTTAAAATAAAGCATATAGCATATTCTGTACAGTTCAGGTACAGGAAAAAAGGTTACTGCCACCTGTGAAACAAATGTGAAAGGCTCTGTCTGCACATCTATGAATCCTCCCAAAAGGCATCCTTATTGTACACCTTCAACAAAGATTACAAAATATATTTTATAATATATCTTTACAGATATTGACAATAGTGGGTATGTCAGTGACTATGAACTTCAAGACCTGTTTAAGGAAGCAAGCCTTCCTCTGCCTGGCTACAAGGTGCGCGAGATTGTGGAGAAAATTCTATCAGTTGCTGACAGCAACAAAGATGGCAAAATCAGTTTTGAAGAGTTTGTGTCAGTAAGTAATCTAATCCTTTCGGGCTACTGATAATCTTGCTTAGAGCAGAATTGTAGTAATGTCATCACTAGCTTTGGTTAAATCCAGCTTCAGAGACCAGAAAAAGGACTGCTTTAAAATGATGATGATGATGATGACAATAACTATTATTATCGAAATAATTTCCACAACTAATTCATAAAACAAAGGAAAAAATTATTCTCAAATTGTTGGAATGGAAATCAGGTTTAGATAATAGTAATTCATTCCCTAGAATAACTAGGTGAGTTCAATGCTTATTGACCATTAATATAATTGAATAAATATTTATGAAATATAAATTGTCTGGTTTTGCATTCTTTATTGATTAAGCAGGTATTTTAGCTCTTCTCTTCCTAGAAATTTTGCTAGGCACTGTGAGTAATGTGATGAGTAAAAAGAAACGTGATTCCTGTCTTCATGGAGTTTATATGTGTGGAGAAGACTGCATTGCACAAATTGATAAAAGATAATTGGAGAATTGCTATGACAGAGTGGTACAGGTCCTGTGAGAGTTTGTGGTAGAAGGAATTGAATTTGGAGGCAAGGCTGGATAACCCAGGGACTCAGGGAAGGTATCCCTACAGTGTGAAGACTGTGATGTGTTCTGAAGAAAGATGTTAAACAGATAAAAGTGGGTTGTGGGAAAATGAATAATGTAGGAGGCAGGTAGACATGACAGCATGTGTAGAGTCCCTGTGGCTTTAGAGATGGTGAATATTCTCAAGCAACTGAAAGAAGGTTTGTGTGACTGGAGCTGAGATGGTAAGGGTAAGGAATGTAGCTGGAGAAGTAACTCAGAATCAGGTCACACAGGGCCATGTCGAATTTTTGTTTTTATCCTAAAAGCAATAGGAAGACAATGAAGTGGGAAGAATAGAATGTGAAGTGACAAGATCAGATTTGCATTTAAAAAAAAACCCAATCACTTTGCTGCAAGCAGAACTGATTGAATTGAGTCTTGCCAATCTCTGGTGAGTCCAGTGAGAGAGTGATTGGGAAAGGGAGTTTCTGTAAGCCTATGTTATTTCCTCTAAGAGCTGACTTATTTTATCATGAATGCATTTGAGATGTTCAGGCAGGAAAATATCTTCATTAAGGCATTCTTCTATCTTTAGCATGTAGTTAGTTATTTCTTAGGTTTTCAGTACAAAAGATTATGGCAAGCCAAGAAGAATAATTTCAGTGTGTTCAATTTAAGCTTAGTTATAAAAAATTTATTCCACCGTTTGGGGTTCAAGTATTTGTCTATTTTGTGTTATTGGTAAAATGATGAAAGTTATCTGTGTATACAAGCAATAAGTACAACTGACTAGTATTTAATTTGGTGTCATTTCAAATAAAGAAGTGTAAATAAATATCCATTTTGTCAGGTTTTTATTGATTATCTGATTCTCAATTTTACTTATGTTCCATTCCAGCTAATGCAAGAATTAAAAAGCAAAGATATCAGCAAAACATTCCGAAAAATAATTAACAAGAGGGAAGGGATTACTGCTATTGGAGGAACTTCAACTATTTCCAGTGAGGGCACACAGCATTCTTATTCAGGTAACTGACTTCTCCAAATTTGATCTTTTAGTCACTGATTCATTGATTAAGTGACATATTTAATCAGTTCTAAGATGCCACTCATTGTGATTCATACCGTTATTTTATGTGCCACTGAGGAGAAAAAAATACTGCAGACCACAGTATAACATGCCATTGAATTTGAAATACATCTCAGTTTCACAGATGTCAAAATGAAAAATCCTAGAATCATTGAAATCAATGAGTTCCTGCTGTGTATCAGGCTCAGTCTACAGAAACAAGATTATAAACAACAAAGTGGAAGTTGTTTATACTCCAGCATTAGATGTATTTAAAAGTGGCTTTTCAATGGCTTTTCATCCTGACTGATGAGGTGGCTTTACTTTTAGACCTGAGCTAGGAATGGGGGAGAGGCTTCTATCACAAGGATTTTTCTCTTCCATTTTCTGAGATCTGAGATACCCGATTCACCTTTTATCTAGTAACCAAGTGACTAGAGAGCATAGCACCTGATTTGCTTGATCTGATTAAACCACTGGACCATTGCCCAGTGGGAAATGCAGAAGCATATCAACTTTTAAGATGAGGTGTCTTCCCCGTGTTAAGTTATCTAAGATGTCTAAGAACCTTTGGCCAAGTTCTTTTTATTTATATGAACATAACTAGAACTATGCTTTTTGGCCTTTTGACAAAATTACCTGTAACCTTTTCCCCTCTTTCTTCATTTCAGATCTGAATCTGTTAATTATCCTCTTGATTCTGTCCCTTCCTAATTGGATTTTCCTCTAGCGATACACTCAAATTTCTCTCATCTATTATATGTTTTTCCTAACTTTTTCCCACTAGGGAAGCAGCCATAAAGGCAAAGGTCCATAACTGTTACCTTCACTTTTTGAAAGGTATTCACCCCTTAACCCAGTTTCTGCCTGTCAATTCTACTGAAGTGGCTTCTTTTTAAAGACAAAAAAAAATTATTAAGGTATAATACACATTCAGCAAAGTGCTATAATCTTAAGTATATGGCTCAATGAATTTTTCCATGTGTATATACATTCATGTAGCTGCCAACCAGAACAAGACATGGAATCTTTTCATCACCTGAAGACTCCCTCATTCCCCTGATAGTAACTATTCTTCCCTAGAGGTAACCTCTTTTCTGATATTTGTCACCATAAATTTTTGTTTACTTATTTTTTGAGGTATAAGATACTTGTAGTAAAGTGCATGAAGTGTACTTTTTTTTTTTTTTTTTTTTTGAGATGGCGTCTCGCTCTGTCGTCCAGGCTGGAGTGCAGTGGTGCGATCTCGGCTCACTGCAAGCTCCACTTCCCAGGTTCACGTCATTCTCTTGCCTCAGCCTCCTGAGTAGCTGGGACTACAGGTGCCCGCCAACACGCCCAGCTAATGTTTTTGTATTTTTAGTAGAGTCAGGGTTTCACCGTGTTAGCCAGGATGGTCTCGATCTCCTGACCTCATGATCCACCCGCCTTGGCCTCCCAAAGTGCTGGGATTACAGGCATGAGCCACCACACCAGGCTGAAGTGTACTATTCTTAAGTATATGGCTTGATGATTTCTTTTAACCTATGAATACACCTATATAACTATTCTCTAGAAAAATATATGGAATATTTAATGGCTTTTATAAAAAATAGCAGCTTTATTGAGATATAATTGACATACCATGGAATACATTTTTAAAGTATACAGTTCAGTAGTTTTTAGTGTATTCATAGTTGTGCAATTGTCATCACTATTTAATTTCAGAACACTTTCATTACACCAAAGAAGAACACTATATTCATTATCAGTCACTCCCCATTTCCCTCTTCCCGAAGGCTCTGCAACCATTAAACTGCTTTCTATTTCTACAAATTTGCCTATTCTGGAAGTTTCATATAAATGGTATCATACTGTAGTGGCCTTTCATTTGACAGGCTTCTTCACTGGTGTAATATTTTCAAGGCTTATCCATGTTGTCACATATATCATACTTCATTCCTTTTTTTCTGACTGCAGCCTCGACCTCCAGAGTTCAAGGGATCCTCCCACCTCAGCCTCCCAAGTGCATAACCATGCCTCCCAAATGTGTACCACCATGCCCAGCTAATTTTTCTATCTTTTGTAGAGATGGGGTTTTGCTATGTCACCCAGGTTGATCTTGAACTCCTGGGTTCGAGCGATCTGCCTGCCTTGGGATTACAGGTGTGAGCCATGGTACCTGGCCCCTTCATTCCTTTTTATTGCTGAATATTCCATTCTATGGGCAATACCACATTTTGTTTATCCTTTCATCAGGTGATGGACATTTGGGTTGTTTCTAGTGTTTGGCTATTATAAATAATGCTATATGAACACTCATGAATGCATTTGTGTGTGGACATATACTTTGAATTCTCGTAGGCATATACTTAGGAGTAGAATTGCTTGAATTTTTGTTAACTCTATGTTTATCATTTTTAAAGAACTGCCAAATTGTTTTCCAAAGTGGCTGCACTTGTGAGGGCGATCTGGCTGCGACATCTGTCACCCCATTGATTGCCAGGGTTGATTTGGCTGATCTGGCTGGCTAGGCAGGTGTCCCCTTCCTCCCTCAGTGCTCCATGTGAGTCCTTCCCGAAGCTGCGTGCTCGGTTGAAGAGGACAACCATCCCAATAGAAGAGGACTGGTCTTTGGTCAAGGGTATACGAGTAGCTGCACTCCCCTGCTAGAACTTCCAAACAAGCTCTCAAGGTCCAAAGTGGCTGCACCATCTTACATTCCCACCAGCAATGTATGAGGGCTCCAGTTTCTTCAATTCTCACCAACACTTGTTTTTGTCCATTTAAAAAATTACAGCCATCCTAGTGGTTGTGATGTGGTATCTCATTCCTGGTTCCTATACCTGAAACATCCTTTCTTTCCTTGCCTATATTCACCTATTGAAAAACTATATTTCAAATAGTACCTCCTCTATGAAGCCTTTTCTTGATCACCCTAACTAAAAGTGATTGCTTCTTTTTTTAAATTCTGCAAACATTGCATATATATTTCTGGTGGTGTGTGTATTTCCCTTATATCACATTTCTTTGTATATTTGTTTTACAATTACACTAAAAAATTCCTCAATGGCAGATACAGTATTTTAGTGATCTCTGAATTCCTAGACTCCAAATCCTTCTAAGGAGGTGTGTATGAGGAGGCGAGAAGATAAGGCAGATTATGATATGTACAAAGAGGAAATATTAGTACATATTTGTGTTTTTGTTGACTTGTGTGTGTATGTATGTGTGGTGGATTAAATTTTGGGGGTACCTGCAAAATATTCCCTTGGGAAAATTACTTAATTCTAGGAACTGGGGCAACAATGGAGAAGGCCAAATCATTATGTGCTACCCTCTGATGGAAATGGGGATTATTTACTTTAAGGATTTATAATCTTAAATGGTTTTTATATCTACAGAATAATAATAAAGTTGTACAATGTTTTTACTTTAAGTTCCTTCCTATTTTCCCCACTGCATAACCCAACAAAATTTTCTACTTAAGATCAATGTACCCATACTAGAAGCCATGTGTTGAGAAGTTGTTGGATGAAGATGGCCAAAGATAGTGCTGGTATCTAGATTTGTGTCAATTTTTTCTTCGTTTTTTGTTTTTTTGAGACAAGAGTCTTGCTCTGTTGCCCAGGCTGGAGTGCAGTGGCGTGATCTCGGCTCACTGCAACCTCCGTCTCCCAGATTCAAGCAATTCTCCCTGCCTCAGCCTCCAGAGTAGCTGGGATTACAGGTGCCTGCCACCACACCTGGCTAATTTTTGTATTTTTTAGTAGAGATGGGGTTTTGCCATGTTGGCCAGGCTGGTCTCAAACTCCTGACCTCAGGTGATCTGCCCACCTCAGCCTCCCAAAGTGCAGGGATTACAGGCATGAGCCACCGCACCCAGCCAATTTGTGTCAATTTTTTAATAGTTAAATTCCATTGAAATTGAGCTGTTTTATTCATTTGAATAACTCTTGACTGAATTCAGTATTTCTGTTGTAAGCTAAAAATCACAGCTCTCTAAACCTTTTGGGGAGGATGGGATTTATTGCCATGGTATTTGTTTCTTGTATTTTTTTCCTTATTTAATTAACATATACATATTTGACCTCCGATGGTCTGCTTCTGACTCATTAGCTTTCAGAAGCAATACATATTTGGAAATATTTTTGAATCAAACCAAATATATATTGTGCTCATTTAAGATATATACCTTCATCTCTCCTAATAGATCAGTTTTTTGTTTGTTTTTTTGTTTGTTTTTTGTTTTTGTTTTTGAGACAGAGCCTTGCTCTGTCACCAGGCTGGAGTGCAGTGGCGCGATCTCGGTTCACTGCAAGCTCTGCCTCCTGGGTTCATGTCATTCTCCTGCCTCAGCCTCCCAAGTAGCTGGGATTACAGGCCCACGCCACCATGCCCAGCTAATTTATTTTTGTTTATTTAGTAGAGATGAGGTTTTAACATGTTGGCCAGGATGGTCTTGCTCTCTTGACCTCGTGATCTGCCCGTCTCAGCCTCCCAAAGTGCTGGGATTACAGGCGTGAGCCACCGTGCTCCCCGTTTTTTTTTTTGAAAGGGTCTCTCTTTGTGGCTTAGGCTAAAGTGCAGTGGCAGGATCTCCACTCACTGCAACCTCCACCCCCCGGTTCAAGCAATCCTGAAGCCTCAGCCTCTCGAGTAGCTGGGACTATGGGCATGTGCCATTATGCCTGGCTAATTTTTGTATTTTCAATAGAGACGGGGGTTTCTCCATGTTGCTCAGGCTGGTCTTGAACTCCTGACCTCAAGTGATCAGCCCGCCTTGGAAGTGCTTTGGGAAGTGCTGGGATTACAGGCGTGAGCCACCACACCCAGCCACCTTTCTTCTTTTCTTGAACCCTTTTGTGTTTTAGTAGATTTGTAATAATGGTCAATTATTATCTTTGAGCAGAAATTAACAAGTATGTTTTTGTAGTGCAATAGCTATGTATGTTTTTATAGTGCAATAAAGTTTGTGAAATGAGATTTGCCTACCAAGGTTTTCTCCTTTCAGAGGAAGAAAAAGTGGCTTTTGTTAACTGGATAAACAAAGCCCTGGAGAATGACCCTGACTGTAAGCATCTTATACCCATGAATCCCAATGATGATAGTCTTTTCAAGTCACTTGCAGATGGCATCCTTCTTTGGTGAGTTGAACTTCTGGTTAAGGAAGCTGCGTTCTTGCTGATTACATTGATGAGCATTCCATGAAAACTCCAATTCAGCTGTCCATTGTCTTTTGGAGTCAGTAGCTACTTAGGTCATGAGGAATTTATATTGCATAGAAAATGAACTACTGTATATCTATTGGAAAATTTCCAAAATTTTCCTTCAAATACAATCCCTTGTTTTTCTGTTGCCTTTTACGTGTATTACTATAATAATTGCCAGGAATCTTTTGAGTTATTTGTCTGATGCAGTTTTAAATATTCGCAGGGTTTCTCTTTTCTTTTTCCAGTAAGCGAGTATTGATTATTGACTGGAATGGGACATGAGGAAATGTAAAGGGAAGATATTCCTTATTTGTACCTAAATGAAAATAATGTTTTGATTCAGCCTTGTGTTATCCTTGGCTCTTTGCATTCTATTTTTTCTCACTATGTTGTAAACTCTCTGAGGGAATGTCTTTGTCATTGTTGTGTGTACCACAGTCCCAGCATACTTCTTTGGACAAAGCAGAGGTCTTTTCTTTAGTTTATAAAAAGTACAAAAGATTTACAAAGTAGAAAATAACCATCAAAAATATCCTTACCACCCATAAATGACTTATTAATATTCTAACACATTTCCTTCAGTCTTTTTTTTTATGTTTTTACTTAAAAAGGAAAACAAAACCTTACCCATAAGTACAGGATATTAGATTTTATGACATTAAATATAAAATATACCTTGACCTCCACCTACAATTCTTATCTTTCTTTGACTCTCAGAGAAATTCCTATTATGAACCAAATGGGTATTTTCCTATTCTTGTTTTAAAAGGTAAAATTCTAAAATATAGAGACAAAATTTATATTAATTTCTCTGAAAATGTCTAAATTATTGGTCTTAGATGAAATCTCTGGCTTCGTATCTTTCTGCAACAACAGTAATTTTAACAGTGTTGATACTACTTTATGAAACTTGGCTTCTTGGAGAATTTCTTTGTTTTAGGCTGCGGAATACTGATGATCATTAAGTGAAATAAAGACAAAACTAACATAAAGAAAATTCAGGGTGATGACTGGGCGTGGTGGCTCATGCCTGTAATCTCAGCACTTTGAGAGGCTGAGGCAGGAGGATCACTTGAGGTCAGGAGTTTGAGACCAGCCGGGCCAACATGGTGAAACCCCATCTCTACTAAAAATACAAAAATTAGCTGAGAGGTGGCACACACCTGTAATCCCAGCTACTCGGGAGGCTGAGGCAGGAGTATCACTTGAACCCAGGAGGTGGAGGTTGCAGTGAGCTGAGATCACACCACTGCATTCCAGCCTGGGTGACAGAGGTAGACTCCCTCTTAAAAAAAAAAGAAAATTCAGGATGGTTAAAAAAAATTAGGAGAAATGCTTAGATTACTATTGCAGTGAGTGATGGATTTGTTTTAGGAATGGGAATATTTCTTGGATTTTAAGAATTAAGTTCCGGCATGAATTATAGTTTAATTAATTATTATTATTATTTTTTGAGATGAGGTCTCTCTGTTTTACACAGGCTGGCCTCAAACTCTTGGGCTCAGCCTCCCAAGTAGCTGAGATTATATGCATGTGCCACCATGCCTGGCTTACTGTTTAATATTTTAAAGTAATGAATTGTTATTTTCAAAATTTATCTATTTTGGCTGTTTGCAATAATAAACTAAAAAAATTTCTTGGAGTATTAAACTAAATTATTCTCATTTTCTCTTTAGCAAAATGATCAACTTATCTGAACCAGATACAATTGATGAAAGAGCCATCAATAAGAAAAAGCTCACGCCATTCACTATTTCTGTAAGTATTTGCCCTTTGCTTATTATCATGTTACTATGCTGAGAAATATAAGACCTTTATTAATGAATGCTTGGACCCAGATAAAACCTTTGATTTAATTGTAATGCTATTCTCCTATAAAAACTTTTTTTTTTGGAATCCTTTTTTTTATTTTTATTTTATTTTATTATTATTATACTTTAAGTTTTAGGGTACATGTGCACAATGTGCAGGTTAGTTACATATGTATACATGTGCCATGCTGGTGTGCTGCACCCATTAACTCGTCATTTAGCATTAGGTATATCTCCTAAAGCTATCCCTCCCCCCTCCCCCCACCCCACAACAGTCCCCAGAGTGTGATGTTCCCCTTCCTGTGTCCATGTGTTCTCATTGTTCAATTCCCACCTATGCGTGAGAATATGTGGTGTTTGGTTTTTTGTTCTTGTAATAGTTTACTGAGACTGATGATTTCCAATTTCATCCATGTCCCTACAAAGGACATGAACTCATCATTTTTTATGGCTGCATAGTATTCCATGGTGTATATGTGCCACATTTTCTTAATCCAGTCTATCATTGTTGGACATTTGGGTTGGTTCCAAGTCTTTGCTATTGTGAATACTGCTGCAATAAACATACGTGTGCATGTGTCTTTATAGCAGCATGATTTATAGTCCTTTGGATATATACCCAGTAATGAGATGGCTGGGTCAAATGGTATTTCTAGTTCTAGATCCCTGACGAATCGCCACACTGACTTCCACAATGGTTGAACTAGTTTACAGTCCCACCAACAGTGTAAAAGTGTTCCTGTTTCTCCACATCCTCTCCAGCACCTGTTGTTTCCTGACTTTTTAATGATCGCCATTCTAACTGGTGTAAGATGGTATCTCATTGTGGTTTTGATTTGCATTTCTCTGATGGCCAGTGATGATGAGCATTTTTTCATGTGTTTTTTGGCTGCATAAATGTCTTCTTTTGAGAAGTGTCTGTTCATGTCCTTCACCCACTTTTTGATGGGGTTGTTTGTTTTTTTCTTGTAAATTTGTTTGAGTTCATTGTAGGTTCTGGATATTAGCCCTTTGTCAGACGAGTAGGTTGCGAAAATTTTCTCCCATTTTGTAGGTTGCCTTTTCACTCTGATGGTAGTTTCTTTTGCTGTGCAGAAGCTCTTTAGTTTAATTAGATCCCATTTGTCAATTTTGTCTTTTGTTGCCATTGCTTTTGGTGTTTTAGACATGAAGTCCTTGCCCATGCCTATGTCCTGAATGGTAATGCCTAGGTTTTCTTCTAGGGTTTTTATGGTTTTAGGTCTAACGTTTAAGTCTTTAATCCATCTTGAATTAATTTTTGTATAAGGTGTAAGGAAGGGATCCAGTTTCAGCTTTCTACATATGGCTAGCCAGTTTTCCCAGCACTATTTATTAAATAGGGAATCCTTTCCCCATTGCTTGTTTTTCTCCAGTTTGTCAAAGATCAGATAGTTGTAGATATGCGGCGTTATTTCTGAGGGCTCTGTTCTGTTCCATTGATCTATATCTCTGTTTTGGTACCAGTACCATGCTGTTTTGGTTACTGCAGCCTTGTAGTATAGTTTGAAGTCAGGTAGCGTGATGCCTCCAGCTTTGTTCTTTTGGCTTAGGATTGACTTGGCAATGCGGGCTCTTTTTTGGTTCCATATGAACTTTAAAGTAGTTTTTTCCAATTCTGTGAAAAAAGTCATTGGTAGCTTGACGGGGATGGCATTGAATCTATAAATTACCTTGGGCAGTATGGCCATTTTCATGATATTGATTCTTCCTACCCATGAGCATGGAATGTTCTTCCATTTGTTTGTATCCTCTTTTATTTCATTGAGCAGTGGTTTGTAGTTCTCCTTGAAGAGGTCCTTCACATCCCTTGTAAGTTGGATTCCTAGGTATTTTATTCTCTTTGAAGCAATTGTGAATGGGAGTTCACTCATGATTTGGCTCTCTGTTTGTCTGTTATAAAAACTGTTTTTTAAAGAGATGAGGGTCTTGCTATGCCACCCAATATAGATCACTGTAACCTCAAACTCCTGGGATCAAGTGATCCTCCAACCTCAGCTTCCTGAGTTGTTAGGGCTATAAGCATGTACCACTATGCCCTGCTAATTTTTTAAAGTTTTTGTGGAGATGGGGTCTTGCTGTGTTGCTCAGTCTGGTCTTGAACTAGTGGCCTCAAGTGATCTTCCTGCTTCAGCCTCCCAAAGTGCTGGAATTATAGGCATGAGCCACCATGCCTGGCCAAAACTGGATTTTTATTAAATAAAAATTCAGTTGGATTTTGTAATGAATGAAATGAAGATTCAAGGTACTTTGGATGCACTTACTTAAGCTGTAGTATTCAGTTTATATTATTGTAATTGTTGAATTATTTATTAATGAACACCTGTTTGATGCCAGTGCTCTTATTAGGTGGTTGAAAAAGAACACTGCAGTTTTATCATTTCACAAAATTTTAAACTAATCTTTTTGTACTAAATTGTTCTGTAGTTGGCTCCTCCATACAGATCTTGTATAAGTCCAGGTATTTATACTTACCACACTTTCCCCCTCAAAATCTCTAGAACAATGAGTGGATATTAATATTTACTGAGTACTTACTGGGTATCAGTCACTGTTCTAAACACATTATGTAAATTATCCTCCCAGCAACTTTATAATAAGGTATATACTATGATTTTATAGATGAGGAAACTGAGGCACTGACAGGTTATACAGAGGCAGAGCCAGGATGTGATCCCAGTCGTCTAGCGCCAGAGCTCATTTCTTAATCACTGTGTTACACTGCCACTCTCATGTGGTGGTAGTAATAGCAACTATTTAAGGTGTGGTTACAATAGTAGCTATTAAAATTCAGCTACTGTTAACCTGTGTCCTTCATTTGGCAAGTGCAATCCTTGATTTCACTAAAATTGTTGAGTCTTCTATAGAAAGCTAGTCTTCTATAGACTATTACCCCCTGCATATTTTGGAAGTGTGCTATCTAAAAATAAAACTGCATGATAGCCTCTCAGATCCACTCTGTGGCTACCGCAAAATACTTATAGAATATTTTTTCTTTATTTTCTTTAATGCACTAAATATAAATATTAAAGTAAAACCAAGCAATAAATGTATACGATAGTAAGAAATGCTGTATTTCAGATTGAGTGACCAAAAAAAGGTCATGTATATATTCTATAAATAAGATAGATGTTAATATTTTCAGTAATCATGGATATTAGATGAAGATCCCAGTACAACATGTGAACAATAATCTGGCAATTGCAACTGGAAATAGGCTTCTTCAAGAATGGTAATTTCTATTAGTGATATGCAACATTATTGACCTATTAGCAAGCAGGGGACAAGAAAGCCATGTAGTCAACATCCAATTCTTTACTTCTCAAAGATTACAGGAAATGAGGGAACCTGTTAGACAGTCCAAGCCTAACCATGTACCACTGCCCTAAGAAGGCAGGGCCACCTCTCTTGTGTCTCTTGTGTTGCCACCAGTTGTTTGTGGTTCCCTACTCTCCCTATCTTTCCGCATCAACACGAGTCTTCAGGAAGGCTGGGCATTCAGGGCAGTTGTCCATGGTAAGAATTGTATAGCAACTTCTCCATGGGGTTCTCCTGTTACTTCTTGTTCTTAAGATGTTTAGAAGTAGCTTAGTGTGGCCGTTCCATTCCCTACTAACTGGTAGGGCAATAATGTTGTATTTATCAAGTAGAAACTACCATTTACTTGAAAGAAACATGTTGCAACTCCTTATTTTCTACCCATTTTTAAAGCCAAATTACTTTAAGACATTTGATATGCTTGTAAAGCAAACATCTTTGATAAAATTAACATCAAAAGCGGTTTTTCTCCTGTATGACCAACACAACCCGTTGATAAGACAAAGCTGAGTTAACTGTTTAATGCAGTAAGAGAAAATACTTGCAAAGCTTTGTTAGTGTCTTGGTGCTGGGAAAGTGAGGGCAGCATCTGAGAATTGGAATTGTGGTTTAGGGCAGGTCTTTCAATATGAGAGGGGGCAAGAGGGCAAGATTGGGCAAGATTCTCAATACAGCAGCCCAAGATTGGTGGCAATAGCAAGGGGAGGATTTTAAGGTGAGGAGGTCAAAGAATCTTAGAGTATAAACTGTCATTGATGTTTTATTTGAAGAGTTAATGGGTCTTTTAGGTAGCGCCTGCAGTGAAAAATCAGACCTTTTGCCTAGGGTCAAGACTCCTGGAAGAATAAGATCATGGTAATGAAGACAGAGAGTAAAGTCATGCCAGTGAAGACAAGAGGATAGCACACAAGGTCATATTAATGTAGGCAGTAAGATGTGGTTTTGTTTGTCATTGTCCAGGCTGAGAGTAGTGGTAGGTTTTGGTTCTTACTAGTATTGCAATCAATTTAGCGAAATTACACACTTCTTTTGGCCCACAGTACCATGCTGTCAACTGCATATGACATGGGTTATTGTGAGGTTAATACTATTATTGGCTTAATTTTCAGTCCAGTTCTTTCCCCTGCTGATGCATTCTGGGGAATCACAACTGGAGCAAACATCATTTATGCTCTTGGAAGCAAAGAGAAAAATATTAGTGGTCATGCCTAAATCAGCAGAAGCTGTCTCTTGAAAGTTGCATAGATTTGATTTAAGGTAACTTAAAAAACATTTGAAGCAGGAGTGTTAATTAAAAACACCTGAAGTTATTAAAAATCTTAGATTTCCACAAAGTATTTGTAATTTGCTGTTAATTTTTTCATGTTTATGTTTATTTGTAGTTAATTATGAGGTTATAAAAATATTGAAGGCTTCTCTGGTTCTGCTGCTTCTTTCAGGAGAACTATATTTAAATGAACATTGCTTAATACTACTACCAAAATAATTCAAAATGCTAATTTTAATCGCCCCAGACGATCCCCCAAAGATACAGCCATTTATTTACTTGGAGCTCAATAAATCACTTCAGCACACTGTAGGAGGAAGCTGCTGAAATATTCACTATGCTTTGAGAACCTCTATGCTTTGCTGCTGTTGTGACCAGCCCATTAAATTGTCGCTATTACTGCTACAATATGAGAATGGCAGTAATGCATGGCGATTAAGAGGATGGGCTCTGGGCCAGGTGCGGTGGCTCACGCCTGTAATCCCAGCACTTTGGGAGGCCGAGGCGGGCAGATTACGAGGTCAGGAGATCTAGACCATCCTGGCTAACATGGTGAAACGCCATCTCTACTAAAAACACGAAAAACTGGCCGGGCGTGGTGGCGGGTGCCTGTAGTCTCAGCTACTCAGGAGGCTGAGGCAGGAGAATGGCGTGAGCCCAGGAGGCGGAGCTTGCAGTGAGCCAAGATAGTGCCATTGCACTCCAGCTTGGGTGACAGAGTGAGACTCCGTCTCAAAAAAAATAAATAAAAAAGAGGATGGGCTCGGGAGACCGCTGGGATCAGACCCCGGCCTTTCCACTGTGGAAACTGTCAGTGCTGCAGTTTCCTCATCTGTAAAATCCATCTTAAGAGTTACTTTAAAATTATCTTAAAACCTAATTGTACATCATTTTTTAAAGAAGTGCTTCCAAATGAGCACTTTACAAAAATATCATGTTGAGTTTGAGGTATTGGCAGAACATCCAGGTAGACATAACCAAGTACATATATAGATACACAGCTTAGAGTGGAGACTCAGAGGAGGTCTGGGTGGAAATAGGGATTTGAAAGTCATTGGCATATAAAGTAACAGTTAAAACCATGTGTTTTTTTTTTTGAGTAGTGGTATTTTCGTTGTATAAATATTATGTTTATAAATCTGAAATTTGGCAGTCCATTGTTTCTTATAGATAATTTTTATAGATAAGACCTTAGAAAGGACTTCCTCATGTGTACTTTTTTTTTTGGCAATTCAGGAAAATTTAAACCTAGCTCTGAATTCTGCCTCAGCCATTGGTTGTACAGTGGTCAACATTGGTGCATCAGATCTCAAAGAAGGAAAACCTCACTTGGTCTTGGGACTTCTCTGGCAGATCATCAAAGTTGGCCTTTTTGCTGATATTGAGATTTCCAGGAATGAAGGTAAGATCATTAGAAATATTTGCTGTTCATTGACATGTACTTGCTATGGGAAGAATTTACATTTCGCTGTTTTGCCCTCAGCTCTGATTGCATTGTTAAATGAAGGTGAGGAACTAGAGGAGCTGATGAAGCTTTCTCCCGAGGAATTACTGCTGCGATGGGTGAACTACCATCTGACCAATGCAGGATGGCATACCATCAGCAACTTCAGCCAAGACATTAAGGTTTATATTTAAATGTTCAAATTTGTGACATGAAATAAGGATGTGCAGTGTAAAAATAAAAGGGGTTCAGACTTAAATTTGAATTAAATTCACAAGAACACTTGGGATAGAAAATGAAAATTTGCATTACTGTGTGAAGTAGATCCCCCAATTATATTCACAAAATATATATTTTCTAAAAACCAGATATATTGGCTTTTAATAAGAACTACAACTGACTGTGAGAGGAAAGAGGTGCTAGCCTCAACAGATTAAAACACACTTTCTCATTTTTTATGCCTGAGATCTGCTAGATTATAATGAGGATGTCAGTCTGTTCATTTGGACTAATAATTATATCTGTTTACTGGTTTAACACTCTTACTCCCACTTTGCCAATAACCAGCTAACAGGAAATCAGATTATCTGAGGGTACAGAGAATCAGTAAATAAAGGGGATCTTAAGGTATGTGCCTTAACCAGGGTAGCTTAAAACACTTCCCTCTCTACTGGGAGAATCTTGTCAAGGAAACTATAACAGGCATTTTTGTCTAATGACAACTTTCCCTTGGTTACTGCCTGGATGGGCATTGCCAAGCCGGGTCGCTGTGACTTTTTTCTTCTCTCTGTTTCTTTATGTCCTCCCCCATCCTGCCCCCCAAGAGTAATCAGTGCTGGCTCTAATTCATGTTCCGTCTTTAGCTATATAACCTTCAGTCAGGTTATCTTTTTCCATAATGGCCTACAGGACAGTCTCTCAATTTGAAGTGACATTTTATTTCTCTGCTTTCATCTACTATACACTGTTATATTTGAAAGTTTATTTGGGAGATTTCTCTTATTCTG
This sequence comes from Homo sapiens, assembly GCF_000001405.40. Taxonomy (NCBI): domain Eukaryota; kingdom Metazoa; phylum Chordata; class Mammalia; order Primates; family Hominidae; genus Homo; species Homo sapiens. The sequence continues at coordinate 142,685,221 of NC_000003.12, forward strand.
AAATCTCTGAAAATTCAGCTAATCAAACATTTATTCAGCTCTTTCTGAGGGGCATTATGCCCAGGCGATGCAAAGACTCAGCTCTTGAGAAGCTTGCCAATTCTACTCAGAGACAAACATGTACCAGAGGGATATTTCAGTTATCTATTGCTATATAGCAAATTATGCAAAATTTGCTTAAATAATGATTATTTCTCATCATTTTGTGGGTTGATGCATCTTGGCTGGGTGGTTCTTCTGCTTCACATGGTTTTGGCTGGGATTACTAACTCGATTACATTCAGCTGTCAGTTGGGCTCATCTGGAAAGTACACAAAGGCCTCAGTCACATGTCTGGTGCCTCAGTGCTCCTCCACAAGGCCTCTCTACATGGTGAGCTCAGGCTTCCTCACAGCATGATAGTCTCAGATAGTTGGACTTCTTATGTAGAGGTTAACTTTAAGAGAGAGGAAGCAGAAGCTCTTAAGATTTGGGCGTGGAAGCCCCAGAACATCACTTTCACAGCATTCTCTTAGTTAACGTGAATCATAAGGCCTGTCCAAATTAAAGAGGACAGGAAATAGCTTCTGCCTTTTGGTGGGAAGAGTTAATGTATGCATGGGGAAGAACTATATATCCATCTTTGGAGACAATGACATTAGATGATTTAATAGTGTGATCACTGTTTACTTATTAAGATAGGCAAGGGGTGCTGTGCACTACAGAAGAGGGGTTCTTAGTTCATCCTAGAGAATCCAGGGAAGGCATACGGGAGATAATACTTGACCTGAATCTTAACTGATGTTGATGCTTGGGTGTGTAAACAGATGGAAAAGTAAGGGAGGGTATCCAGGTGCAGGAAACAGCATTGCTATAAACTCTGAGGTGTGAAACAGGATTGCTTTGAAGCTCTGAAGTGTGAAACAGCATGGTACATTCAGGAACCTACAAGTAATTCTTTATTTTTAAAGTTATTCCATTCTTTGAGATAGAGGCAATTTCTTCAGTTTGAGCACTTGTTTTCCCTAAATTCAATGATGATTTTATTCGTTTTAAAAATGCTATTTCATATCTTTCCTTGAAGGACTCGAGAGCCTATTTTCATCTGCTTAATCAGATTGCCCCTAAAGGTGGGGAAGATGGACCTGCCATTGCCATTGACCTTTCAGGAATTAATGTGAGTGCAATTTTTAACTTTTAAAATATATTGTGGTAAAACAGACGTAGAAAATTTACCATTTTTATCATTTTCAGTGTTCAGTTCAGTGGCATTCAGTACATTTGCATTGTTGTGCAGCTATCACCATTATCCATCTCTACAAACTTTTCATCATCCTGTAGGGAAATTCTGTACTCATTAAACAATAACTCCCCATTTTCCCCTTCCCCCAGGCCCTGGTAACTACTGTTCTACTTTTTGACTATGAATTTGAATTTCAGTAGCAGGTACAGTCAAATTTAGAGTACAGTTCTCTACAAGCAGCATTCCCCAGTAGAGCCCTCAGCCCTCCATTAAAGTTTGGTGCTTTGCTCTATGGAAGTTTTTTCCATGCCCAAGGCTCCAAGCCTCCATGTCAAGCCAACTGGCTATCATGACGGAAGAAAGGGAACTGCGTAATTGTGACCTGGAGTATTTGTGGAATCAATCCTACATTCATGTTTCCCTGGTGCAAGGCAATTGGAACTCACCAGGGTGCTCTTTTGACTGTCAGCATATGCCAGGAAAGGAAGCAACAACCTGTTGTTAGATTTTTAAGCAATCAATTATCAGTTTTACCAGCTTATATTTAGAAATCTACAAAATAAAAATAGATATTCATGGTGTAGGAAGGACTGATACAGATTCTGACCTACCAAGCATACTTCCTAGGAATCTCATTCTTTTAGCATAAGTTATAAATACCAGGGATGGTTCTATCTAAATCAGGATGTCCAGTCTTTTGGCTTCCCTGGGCCACATTAGAAGAAGAATTGTCTTGGGCCACACATAAAATACACTAACACTAACAATAGCTGATGAGCTAAAAAAAAAAAAAAGGTGCAAAAAAATCTAGTGTTTTAAGAAAGTTTACAAATTTGTGTTGGGCCACATTCAAAGCTGTCCTGGGCCGCATGTGACCCACCGGCCGTGGGTTGGACAAACTTGAATTCTAAACATTAAAATTTGGTCAGATAATAGACTGTATGAAAATATATCACGTACTTAAAGTGCGGCGTCCGTAACATTTGGTTTTAAAGGCAACTTGAGTCATTACTAATTAATTATATCTCACATTATTATAATGACATATTTCAGAAACACAGTATTGCAACGCTCTGTAAAATGTGCAAATCATTTTAAGTAAAAAAATTAGGAACTTAAACTTATGGAAAATTTTGAATATATTCAAGAGAACAGACTTAGTATACTAAACTATCAGGTACTCATCCCTCAGTTTCAACATCTGCCAATTCATGGTCAATCTTATCTCGTTTATTCCCTATTTCTCTCCTCTCCTATATTATTTTGAAGCAAATCCTAGACATTACTTCATGGATAAATATTTCAATATATATTTCTAAAAGACAAAGACACTTTTAAAATAAAACCACAATACCTTATCATACCTTAAAAAAATTACAACAATCTGTAACATCATCAAAATATCTAGTCAATGTTGACATTTCCACTTGCCTCATAAATGCCATTTTTTTCATAGTTTATTTGAATTAGGATCTAAAATAAGGTCCACATGTTGTCTTTATTTGTTTGTTTTTTTTTTTTTTTAGATGGAGTCTTGCTCTGTCGCCCAGGCTGGAGTGCAGTGACACAATCTTGGCTCATGGCAACCTCCGCCTCCTGGGCTCAAGTGATTCTCCTACCTCCACTTCCTGAGTAGCTGGGATTACAGGTGCACACCACCACACCTGGTTAATTTTTGTGTTTTTAGTAGAGACGGGGTTTCACCATGTTGGCTAGGCTGGTATCAAACTCCTGACCTCAAGTGATCCGCCTGCCTCTGCCTCCCAAAGTGCTGGGATTACAGGCATGAGCCACCACGTCCAGCCACATATTGTCATTTTTTGATGTCTACAATGGTAACTTTTCTTTGTTAATTTAATAATCTGTTGCTTTCTCTGATTTCATTTATATGATTAATTATTTTGCAACTCTGGTGCACAGAATTAGGTAGGTTATCTTTGGTCATGATATACTCATATGGGTCTGTGCATACCCATTTTTAAATTTATTTTTGTGTGTGGTTGTTTGTTTTGAAATTGTAACAAGCCTCATGAACTCTCAATCTAACAGGAAAACTAAAACTTTGACGTGACATTTTCTGTACAGTTCTTCCCTATCCCACCTCGGTTTTCGCCCAGTGTGGTAACCACAGTCTTGAATCTTGTGTTCATTGTTGTTCTGCTTTTCTTTTTATGTAGTTTCCCTTCATCCAAATGTATCCCTTACAAAATTAAATTCTTCATTTTACTTTTTAACTTCCTTTAAAGTTTATCATGTTATACTTAAATTTCTAGTACTTCTTTTTGGCCTTGTATCTCTAAGAGTTACCCATATTGGATGTCATTGTGTGAATATACAAATTCATTCATCTACTCTCCTGTTTATAGGTATTTGGGTTGTTTCATTTGTTTCCAGGGTTTTGCAATTGTGAAAGGTGCTTTTCCCTATGATTTTAATTTTTAAAATATGTATTTCAACTTGTTTTTCATCAAGAAGAGCCTTCTGGAAATGTCACTCAGTGTACAGTGGGTATGATAACTATGCCTGTTATCCAGAGGGCACTCTACTAGCTGGTCTTGAATAAGTTATCTATAGTGCAACCAGTAGGAGCTTACTGATACAATATTTGAGGATTTTGCTGAGTATTTTAGCAAAAAGGGTAAAATATAACTCAGTTATCCCAGCAAGGAAATTCAGAGACTTTTTTCCTTTTAACTTAAAAGGCACGGGGGCTGGGCTTAGTGGCTCACGGCTATAATCCCAGCACTTTGGGAGGCCGAGGTGGGCGGATCAGGAGTTCGAAACCAGCCTGGCCAACATGGCAAAACCCTGTCTTTACTAAAAATACAAAAATTAGCTGGGCATAGTGGCATGTGTCTGTAATCCCAGCTACTCAGGGGCTGAGGGAGGAGAATCACTTGAACCTAAGAGGCAGAGGTTGCAGTGAGCCAAGATCACGCCACTGCACTCCAGCCTGGGGAACAGAGCAAGACTCTGTCTCTAAATACATAAATAAATAAATAAATAAATAAATAAAGGAATGGGTAAGTTGACTTGGAATTACTACACATTTTGATCTTATTTTGAGTTATTATTTGATATATTTGTGGAAAAGTAATTGCTTATAAACATGTATACCAATAAAAATTATGCCAATTAAAACTTCAATTGTAACCATTTTTGTTTTATTGTTTAGGAGACAAATGACCTGAAGCGTGCTGGACTCATGCTTCAAGAAGCAGATAAACTGGGCTGCAAACAGTTTGTTACTCCTGCAGATGTGGTTTCAGGCAATCCTAAACTTAATTTAGCTTTTGTAGCTAATTTGTTTAACACATACCCGTGCCTGCACAAGCCGAATAATAATGACATCGATATGAATTTACTGGAAGGTGCGTTCTTTCTGCCTTTAATTGACTTGCTATATTTATCTTCTTATGGTATTGTCTTACTTCACTGTCAGAGATAGGGGATTGTGGTGGGAAATGCAATTTAGTGTGTGTAGGTATGTGTATCTATTGAAAAATTAAAATTATGGAAGGTGGTTGCTGGTTTTGGTTAAAAGAGAATGCTGGGGTAAATCTTTTATTTCTCCATAAGAGGTTAGTGAAAACTATCATACATTTAAAATATTCTCATAAATGATCACATAACAGCTCTACCACCAACATGGACAATGAATTATCTATTAGAATAAAATAATTATTTGTAGGTGTTTTTCTCCTTTGAAAGGTCCAGTTTGACTCTAGTATTGTTCTCTTTTTAAGGTTTTTAGTGTACATGAAAAAAATTACAGTGTTCGTTATTTGTCTTTTGTGTGGTCTATCGTTATCTGTCTCATAATATATAATACTTTCCTGTTTTGCTTCATGAAATGCAGATTTGACCCCTCCTAATGTAGGTACTGTATTTAGTACTTTTCTATACTCTATAAATATATTCATTCTGAATGTTCTTTTTATTAGTACCATTTATTCTTTCCATCTGGGTTGATATTTTACTTTTTGCATTGTTCATGCTGTGTTATTTCTCTCTTAATATGCCCATAGAATGAAACACAAATAAAACTTAATTAGAATAGCAGAACAAAGCTTTGATTTTGTAAAATTTCTACCTAATTTGCCTTCTATAATGATGGGATATTGTAGTTGTAAACACATTAGAACTCAATTTTGAGAACTGGAATTCATGATTTGATGTAAAATCTTTATCCTTCTCCTGTGACAAAATGTCAAGTAATCTTTGAAAGGATTCATTTAGGTTCTATAACATATTATTTTGTATCAATTAGCTATGTTATATTTACTGAACCTCATTGAAGCTTACAGTATATGAATCATAATAACAAAACATTCTCAATACCCAGTTCTTACTCATTTGTTTCCCAGCCTTTCTTTTTTTCCCACTCTCATACATACCAACACCCACATTAGTATCAGAACTTAAAGTAAAAACAGTGGCAGTGGTAATGGCAGTTGTTGAAGGGAAAGGCAGTTGTCAGAGGAAGGCGCCAATCTTAAGATTTTTCTTGCTAATTGCCCTGGTTTGGAGAAAGCAGGGATTCTTCTTGGTGGGGAGAGTATGATGTGCGGTATTCATGATCTCAGTGTTCATTCTCTCACAAAACTCACACTTATCCCTTCTTTCCCAGTGAGACAGAATGAGAAATCAATTTCATGATCTTTTTCTGCTTGACTGCCATAACCAAAGTTCCAGTGTCCTTGTCACCTCATAATTACAGTTTTGTGATTAATGAACGACGTTTCAGATTTAACAAATATATTCTTCAAAGAATATGAGTAATTCATTCTTCTTGAAGGTCCCGTAAAATAAAATAAAGATTATATTTTCTATGTAGATACGTAACTGAGAGGGAAAATAGACAAAAAATGTAGATTTTTCAGCGAAGAGAAATTTAGGGTGAGAGATTAGAACTTGAAAAAAAATAAGCAAAAGCAACACTGTTAGGTTTTATCAGTCTGGAAAATTTCAAAATCCCTCTGTCAGTAGAAGGCATTGTTTAGAGTGGCATATTAAAAATGATCTGCTTTTTATAGTCACTGAATTCTTGCTAGGTATCTTTTCCAACTTGCTCGCTTTCTTATTTTTCATGTTTGAATTCTTTTTGCTAGTGTTCAGCATGCTTTTGGAATTTTTCAGTGTGAATAGGATTGCTAAATATTTCCATTATTATTTACTGTCTATTAAGATAACATGGGAAATATTTATCAGTCATCTTTATTATGTATGTCCTCATACATCTGCCAAAAATGTATTTGACTTTGACTGTCATTGGATTATTTTCCTCTGTAAATTTGTGTTTTAATATATCCTTATGAAATTTGAAGCTTGATCATATCACATCCCAAATTCATATGTTAGTATGTCCTCATTGGCAGAGAATTTTCTCTCTAGGGAATTAAATAAAACACAATTAAATATTAAACGCTCACATCAAATTGAACCAGATATGTGGGCTACGTACAGAAAGATCATCTCAGAATTCATTTATGATTACAGAAGGTACACAGGCCATAAACTATCAGACTTTGTTCAAATCATAGTTCCACTATTTAATCTGAATGACCTCTGTGAGCCTTGGTTTTTTTCATATATAAAACAAGACTAATAAACTTAATTTGAAGAGTTACAGAGCAAGCTAAATGTGATCATGAATGGAAGAATACAGTATGTGTTTATTAATGGTCAGGGAGGGAGGAGGAAAGCACTTCATATGTCACAGCACATTTGAGTGTTAAATATATGTTAACTCCTCTTTTCCCTCTTAGTAACCTACTTCTAAGATATTTGTTATTTTTATTACTATTTTTTATTATTTGTAGACGTCAAATTGAGCCTGCAAATGAAAAGAATGTTTTATAGTTCTTTCAATCTTGTATATCAGCAATTAAGATTTTACTTCTTGAAATTGTATATCAGATCTAGGGGGAAAAAAAGGTTTTACTTCTAAGATTGCTTTAGCTGTCTATAATCCAGACAACATTTTCCAATCTGGAACACATATATCTTTGTAATGCTTTACCATGGCTGTTGCACAAATGCATAGTGCCTCTAGCTTTGAGCATTTATTTACCAAGACACTTTGAAATGTTATTAGATAAATAAATGCTCATTTATAAAATCTATTTTACTTTCCAGGTATCAAAAATTAAAATAATTATATAATCAGTTGAGAACAATAGGAAGAAATATGAACCCCCGAAGATAGTTTCAGAACTCAATCAAAATGCAAGTTTAGTTATTTTAAAATATTATTCACTGCATCATTAGGTTCAACAGAATTTGGATATTTTAATTAAAAATTAAACCATTATGGCACTATTAATCTTCATAATTTTAAGACATTTAGATTTTCCTAGATGGAAATAATGTAAAACTTCTGTAACTATTAGAAACATATATATATATATCTTTATGATAGATAGAGAAACAACTGAGAGGTAAATCCAAATCAAAGGCATCAAGTTATTGATCATAGTATGTTTATATTTATGTCACTTTGGGGATAGTTCATAGATTTAATTTGTACCTGTTTAATAATTCCTACAAATAAGGCTGGCATGGATTCTAGAAATATTTAGTTTAGCTTGGTTATTCTTAAAAAAAGATTCTCATGTAGACTGTTTATTATAAAGTGGTGGTAGCAGATACAACAGACTGATCAGTTACCTTTTATGCAGACCAGAGGGAACAAAATTTAAGCAAGAAATTATAGGGCTACATAATAGAGCAATAATTAAAGCAGATTCTGGGAAAGCTGTTAGATAATGGCATTGAAATCACATGAAACTACAGTGGGTAGATGATTTCCTGAACAGTTGGCACAAATAACAGAATCCTTTAGATCTGACAAGGCTTGCGTTCCTATCATGGGTGTGCAGGTTTATACTGTCTTTGGCACTCAATGTGAAGATGACTGTTGCAATCGCTCTATACGAACGAGCCCCTGGAACGCAGATGATTATAGATTTATGTGCCAAATTGTCCTGTGAGTCTCACATGGGCCAAAATCTAGAGAGTGACTTGAACTTGCCTATAACTTAGAAGTGATGACAGGTGTAAATGTTTCAGTTTTTCAGGAGTCTGCTGATAAGATGTAAACTAGGCCATTCCACTGTCTAATAACTTTGCCGAAGAACAAATAATCATGATAGTTACTTAGAACTATTTGCAGTCAGGAGATGACTAGAAGGCAGACAGTGGCAGAGCCAGCCCACATCCCTGCTCACTTTGTGGTATACTATGACCCGCATTTTCCTTATAGATGATGTAAGCACTGTTACAAAGGGAATGCTCAGGGAGGTATGGTTAAATAACAGCACCTGAAGGAGTTATCTCCTTGAGGGGATCTTTGAGGTCCAGGAACTTACTATGATGAAATCTGTCTTTCTCTTATCAACCTGTATTGGGTCTGTGTTCCTTATGTATTTTCAGTAATGATAATCTAAACTAACTCAGGAAGCCTGTAAAATAGTTATATTCCCCTCATTGTGTGTTTTTATATTTACCTGTAATCCCCTCTGCCCTTCATTGTGTGGTGTAAAGTGTAGGTCTGTGTGCTGAGAAACTTTCCTATGTAAAACCATAATTTGTACAAATTTAGAAACACTGCACCGAGAAAGGTATAACTTTTCTATTTGTGTTTAATGTGCTAATGTTACCCTGACTGCGAAAACATTTTGTTTTTATTAATGTTTAGTGAATCCCTTTTGCATCTAATCATAATTATAGACCACAGAAGTGTATCTGTTATTTCTAGGTAGAGAAACCCATGGCTCAGTACTAGTTCACAGACATCAAAGGGAATCTAGAAGGAGAGATTTAGAGCAAATGGAGGCTTCCTAGATAGTAGGAAAGAAGGGACTTTGGCATTAAGAGACTTTTTTTCTCCCTTTAAAGAAACTGTAGTATCTAAAGAACCATGGCAAGGTAGGTTTGACCAGTTTGTACCTGCTAGAATGGTTTAACATATAGTTCCTGGTTCCTTTTGTCCTGAGTCATCAGTGTGAGCTTGTGTCTACTCTAGGAGAGAGCAAGGAAGAGAGAACATTTCGGAACTGGATGAATTCCTTGGGAGTCAACCCATACATTAATCATTTGTACAGGTAAATATTTTATTGTGCTTCAGCTTTACTGTCAGGGTCCAACTTTTCAAGTTTCAAACTGTAGGCATGTTTAAATGGAACATTTTCTCAAGTTGCAAGAATTTTAGCCAATTTTTAGAGTTTCAGGATGCTGGGAATTGGCAATACAATGGATTTTAAAAGAAAGCTACTATTCAAAAAAGGAATAATAGTTATGTTTTTGATGATATACGTAAATCAGTAAAGATAATCCTTTTTTATAGTTATTGATTGTAAAAATAATTTCAACTTTAACAGATTAGAGTAACAGTAATAACTGATAAATTGTTGTTATATCAGTATTTTTATTATGTCATTTTTCATTTATTTTTGCCAAAACCTTAATTATTCCATAATTTTTGTGTATATTTTTTTCTAATTTGTAAAAGTAACTTGTTTTCCTTGAATAATTGTTATAGCTTATCTCATTCTTTCTTGTTTAAAAAATGATAACACATTATTGACATTAGTAGGGCTAAGAAAATATTTTACTAAATCAACTCCTGGGCTAACGATGCATCTTTCTAAGTGTGGATGAGAGGAAACCATTCTTCTCTCTTTATTATACAATCTACCAGCCTGCCTTGATAAAGTGCAAAATAAGCCAACTTCAGCTAGTTGTATTTTTTTTTAGAAAAAAGTTCTAATTAGCTAAATGTATTAATAATTTATATACCCAAGAAACTCCTTAAACAAGATTATGATTAACTCCTTAAAGAAGATTAATGTCACAACAGGCCAAGTTCACTGGTTCACTGAGGATTTATGATGTTGTAATTTCTGCTCCTTGGTGTTTATTCACAATGTTCTTTAAAATTGAAAACCAGTGTTACCTTATTATGGTAACTGGCTTTGATGTGATAGACCCATATTTGTAAAGCTCTTAAAGAGTGTGTAAATTTCAGCTGGATGAGGAGATATACGTCAATTAGACCAGAGCTCCTGTTACAGTAGCAGGGAAGTTAAAACACAAATATTGAAGGTGAGGAGGGATTCACTTTTTATGGACTGATTTGAAAGAATGTCTATAATATATAGTCAAGAAAAAAGAATAACAGGTCTAGTATGATCCCATTTTGTTTACAATTTGAGTGTGTGGATATTTGTATTCGAATTTTAAAAGAAAATCTAGAGAGGTACATAGCAAACTCTATGTAGCCTGGGTAGTAGGAGTAGAGAATAGTAAGGAGACTTACTTATTTATTTATTTATTTATTTATTTATTTATTTATTTATTTATTTATTTGAGATGGAGTTTCACTCTTGTTGCCCAGGCTGGAGTGCAATGGTGTGATCTCGGCTCACCGCAACCTCTGCCTCCCTGATTCAAGTGATTCTCCTGCCTCAGCCTCCCAAGTAGCTGGGATTACAGGCATGTGCCACCACGCCCAGCTAATTTTGTATTTTTAGTAGAGATGGGGTTTCTCCATGTTGGTCAGGCTGGACGCGAACTCCTGACCTCAGGTGATCTGCCTGCCTCGGCCTCCCAAAGTGCTGGGATTACAGGCGTGGGCCACCGTGCCCAAGACTTTTACTTTTAATCTTAGTAACTTAAACATGATTGCATTTTTTTGGACCATGAGCATGTACTTTTCTATAATTAAAGAGTAAGCTTAAAAATAGCAGATTAAATCGATTTGTTGATACTCATGTAATTATTTCATAAATGTCAGGAACACTAGAGTTCTATCACTGACAGTGGAGAAAAGAATTGACCAAACCTTTTAGCTAAAGATATCTGAAGAATATCTTTATTCAAGAAATACCAGCATAGGGCTTCTGAGCATATAGTATTTTTTCTTGCAAAAAGAACTGTTACTTTCAGAAAATTCTTAAAAGTAACATAATCTTGGAGAACCGTCAGATGTAGAAGAACAATAGGTGGACATCTAGTTGACACTGGAACCATGTGTCCATAGAATTGTGTCTGCATCATATTCCTAAACCCACCCCCAAGAATTTTTAGGTTCCTGCCTATAGTATAGCCAGCCCATACCAAAACAGCTAGATTTTCACTGAAAATTCTCTTCTCTAAAATGTTATATATTTCAAGAACTATTAGTCCTAGAGTTTTTCTATGACCAGTTCGTTCTAGAACTCATCTTGAAGTCTCTGGAAATCATTTAAACTCTCTGGACCTCAGTTCTATTTGCAAAATAATAATAATAATAATAATAATAATAATAATAATAATACCATACTAGACAGGAATGAGAATGAATTCATTTAAAGTAAAAAAGAAAAATACATGAAACATAAGATTCCAGAACCTATAGAAATACTTCAGTGATTTTTTTTTATACAGAATGTTTCATGTGCCTAAAGATAATCTATTCAGATCTTAATTACCTTCATATCAGACTTTCTCCCTCTATCACCCAGTACTGGGCCCAGCTCCCTTCACTGCCATATGGTTTGTGCTCAGAGAATGCAAAGTAATTTAATATGAACCTTAGCGAAACATAACTTATTGGACAAGCTGTTGGAGGAGAAAAGCCATATAATATATCACAAAGCTAGCAATTTAAAAAATCAATTGCTATTGCTTTATGTCCTTAGCATACAGCATTGAAAATAGACTAAACAGCCATACGTTAACCTTCTCAGGAGAACATATTTTTCTGAATCCAAAGTAGTAATATTTTTACTTTGAGAATTCCTACTTGTTCATAAGTTCCTTCCTCTTAACCCTCATTCCCGAACACAAACAGCTGCCTACTGAGTAGCTATTGTGATTTTCCTGTAATTATGTTTTAAGTTAAAAAATAATGTATAAATAATACAGGAACTTATTCTTACTGTACAAGTTTTAGGAAGTATGTAAGTATATGGAATAAAATAAAACATTCCACCCTTACTCTCTCATACTCCCCTTTTCCTGACCTCTTTCTTTACCTAATAGAGGTAATTGCTATTAACTGTCCTTAGCATATATAGGTACATAAATACATTTGACTCTAAATTTTTTTAAATAAATGAGATCAAATTGTATGAAGTGTTCTGCCATTTTCTTTTTAAAATTTGATATGTCTTGCAAAGCTTTTCATATCAATACATAGAGATCTACCTTATGTCCAATGGTGGCCAAGGAGTTTATAGTATAGTTTACTTAACAGCTCCCTACTGCCAGGCACTTAAGTTGTTTCCAAATTTATAAATATTGTGGCAATGAATGTCCTTGGATGTATACCTTTGTAAATATTTATGTAAACATTTTGGACAGATTCTTAGACTGGAAGTTCTGGGTCAAATGATATGTCCTGTCATTCTTTAAGAATTAAATGACTTATGTTCTTAAAGATATAAGTCTATCTCCAGTGTACTTAATAAAATTAGGTAATACCCAACATTTCCTCCTCCTTTATCTGCTTTTCCTTCCTGCTTCAGTGACCTTGCAGATGCTTTAGTGATCTTTCAGCTCTATGAGATGATCCGAGTGCCAGTCAACTGGAGCCATGTCAACAAACCTCCTTATCCTGCCCTTGGAGGGAACATGAAGAAGGTGAATGAAATAATGGCCATGGATATATTGTTATTGTTCTGATATGAAACAAAGAATTTAGAGTTTCATGAAGTTATACGTGCTCTGTCCCCACAATTCTGATTCAGACCAAAATGTGTTAAGCTTAATAGCCTTTTTACAAGTTTGCTTTAATAAATTTGAAGATGAAGGCAATCCCTCTAGTCAGACACTTTATATAACTATTTTCATCTTTATCAAGTCATAGTACTTAATGTTCTTTGAGATGTCCTGTAAATGTATTCTTTTTTTACAATTGGTATAACGTTCTGAATGTTTATTGGTTATCCACTCATTTATTCAACAGATATTTATCAATTACCTAATACCTATACAGTGTTATGCAGGATGTAAAAAAAAAAAAAAAGTATAAAGCATGGAGTTGGTCCTCAGGAAAGCCTAAATAAATTAGGGAAATATGTGTGCAAACAACTACAATATGGTACATGGTAAACAAAAGTGAATATTATGAGTTCTAGGGAAGAAAGTTGAAGAGCTACTGAAATAGTAATAGCAAAATGGGAAAGACACATGAATGAACAATTCATAGAAAAATAATGATGAATAATAGAAATATGAAAAACTTTTCACCCAGAATAAAGAAATGCAATTTAAAACAAGAAACTATTGAACTGCATCCAATGTAAGAGGAAGTATTCATTTGTATAATCCTTCTAAAACCAGTTTGTCAATACATATTAATCTTCCAAAAAATCTTTTGACCTAATTTCACCTTTTTCCACCTATCCTGATGAAAAAATCAGAAAGACACAAAGTTGGGTGGCAAAATGCTAATCATAGCAATGTTTATACAGCACACAAGAAAACAACCTAGTTGTTCAGTAAAGGGTTAATAAAATTGATACACCCATAAGATGAAGTAAAATGTGCCATTAAAAATAGTGTTTGACAGGAACAGAAAACCAAACACTGCATGTTCTCACTCATAAGTGGGAGTTGAACAATGAGGACACATGGACACAGGGAGGGGAACATCACATACCTGGACCTGTCAGGGGTTGGGGGGCAAGGGGAGGGAGAGTATTAGGACAAATACCTAATGCATGCAGGGCTTAAAACCTAGATGATGGGGGCCAGGTGCAGTGGCTCACACCTGTAATCCCAGCATTTTGGGAGGCTAAGGCAGGTGGATCATGAGGTCAGGAATTCGAGGCCAGGCTGGCCAACATAGTGAAAGCCCATCTCTACTAAAAATACAAAAAATTAGCCAGGCGTAGTGGTGGGTGCCTGTAATCCCAGCTACTCGGGAGGCTGAGGCAGGAGAATGGCTTGAACCCGGGAGGCAGAGTTTGCAGTGAGCCGAGATGTGCCATTGCACTCCAGCCTGGGTGAGAAAGCAAAACTCTGTCTCAAAAAACAAAACAAAACAAAACAAAAACCTAGATGATGGGTTGATGGGTGCAGAAAACCACCATGACACATGTATACCTATGTTAACTATCCTGCATGTTCTGCACATGTATACCAGAACTTAAAGTATAATCAAACAAACAAAAAATAGTGTTTTAGTAATAGTGGTATGGAAATGAGCAGGACACAAAATTATATATATACATAATATGAATCTAATTTGTTCAAAATACATAACACATACAGAGATGTATTCAAAAGGGACTTTTAGTTTTCCACATCTATAGAATGAAAATGTATTTATAGACACTAATTTTAAAGAAAAAAATTTTAAAAGACTTTTAAAGGGAAATACATCATAATATTAAAGTAGTTAAATGGGTGGTATAATTATAAAGAGTTACTCGTATGTTTCAGCATTTCTAGTCATTGGACTGCCTGCATTTTTAATTTCATTTGATTTGCATATAATTCTTTTCATGGGAGTAGAATTCAGAAAATTTATTGACTAATTTCATGTAAGTTTTTTCTCCAAAATTTTGAATGCAAAATGTAACAGGAAAACAGAAATTAACCATTCATTATACCTGGAATTTTAATGTGAACTACAAATAAATACATATGTCACAAATGAATCATATGCAGAATACTTTTTCAACAAATACAGAATGAAACATAAAGCCTGAAATAAATTCAAGATGTTTAAAAAATGAAGAAGCAGTACTTTCATGACACAGTATCACAGGGAATTATTTTATGGAATTTGGGCAATAATCAATACATGTCACTTTCCTTCGCTTACAAAGTTCTTAAAGCTGCACCATTAAAATAGCCTTTCTTCTTCATTATTATTATTATTATTTTATTTATTTATTTATTTATTTGAGATGGAGTCTCGCTCTGTTGCCCAGGCTGGAGTGCAGTGGCATGATCTCGGCTAACTGCAAGCTCTGCCTCCCAGGTTCATGCCATTCTCCTGCCTCAGCCTCCTAAGTAGCTGGGACTACAGGCGCCCGCCACCACGCTCGGCTAATTTTTTTGTATTTTTAGTACAGACGGGGTTTCACCGTGTTAGCCAGGATGGTCTTGTCTCCTGACCTCGTGATCCACCCGCCTTGGCCTCCGAAAGTGCTGGGATTACAGGCGTGAGCCACTGTGCCCGGCCTTCTTTACTTTTAAGTATTTCTTTTCACTTGAACCCTTGTGTCCCATTATGTAACTCTTCTCATTGTCTAAATGATCTAAGCTTCATTTTTGTCCAAAGCATTTAAAGTACTTGGTAATTGATATGGTTTGGCTGTGTCCCCACCCAAATCTCATCTTGAATTGTACTCCCATATTCCCATGTGTTGTGGGAGGGACCCAGTGGGAGATAATTTGAATCATGGGGGCAGTTCCCCCATACTGTTCTCATTGTAGTGAATAAGACTTAAGAGATCTGATGGTTTTATCAGGGGTTTCCGCTTTTGCATCTTCCTCATTTTCTCTTGCTGCCACCATGTAAATAGTGCCTTTTGCTTCCTGCCATGATTCTATGGCCTTCCCAGCCATGTGGAACTATAAGTCCAATTAAACCTCTTTTTCTTCCCAGTCTTGGATATGTCTTTATCAGCAGTGTGAAAACAGACTAATACAGTAATCATTTCTTCCATTAACTCTGTGAGACTGCACTCCAAGTTTTTCTTGCTTTCTTTGTGCTCATTCTTACCTTGCATAGGTTCTTCATCTTTTAGCCTGAGAACTCAGTATTTCCAAGGCCTGGTTCTTGGGCCAAAGGTCTTAACTTTTATATTTACACCCTCAGGGAGCAGATCTGTTTTTAGTGTTTTAATTGCAGGTTGAGTATCCCTTATCCAAAATGCTTGGGACCAGACATATTTCAGATATTGGAATATTTGCAGTATACTGGTTGAGCATCCTTAAGCTGAAAATCTGAAATGCTCCAGTTAGCTTTTCTTTTGAGTATTGTGTTGGTGCTCAAAAAGTTTTAGAGTTTGGAGTATTTTGGATTTTTGGATTTTCAGATTAGGGATGCTCAACCTGTACTACCATACACATGGATTACCTCTAGGAACCTAATTTCTCATTCTTTCTCTAGTTTGGTACCTCTCTAGATCTCTTAGAAGTGTTCTGCCAAATTTGGAACCAAATATTGCCCATAAAAGAATATATGCTTTCCCTTATGCTAGCACCTATTTCCAGTTTCTCTTTCAATGCTGGTCCTATCAATATATTCTTAGGCCTCTATACTAGCAACCCTGAACTCCTTTCTCACCATCATCTCCCTTAGGAACTTTGGTAGAACTGTAAAGCAGATGGCTCTTCATTGAAACACATTTTACACATGTGATTACTGCAGTTTGCTATAAAATTCTCCCACTGAACTGGGTGTCCATGGTAAATATGCTGGCTTTTTACTCTCCTGTACACAGTGTTAAATAATTCAAGTGCTAATGTTATTTTCCATAAATTAGGAATCTATTCTATTTTTTAAAGTCTACATTCTTACAGCATATATTTCTTTTAAGCGGGCTAAGCCTATAATATGATTCCAAAAAATGTTTTGGAATATTATCTCTGCATTAAAAAATTCTTTTAAAAACTTTTTAGAAGTAGGGTTTCACTATGGTGCCCAGGCTGGAGTGCATGCTATTCACAGGCGTGATTATAGCACAATACAGCCTTGAACTCCTGCCCTTAAGTGATCCTCCTGCCTCAGCCTAAGTAGCTGGGACTACAGGCATGTGCCACCACACCCAGCTTCTCCTTGGATTTTAAAAAAATGAATATATATCAAACATTTTATTCAATTTGTGAAGTTAGCCAGGCAGATGTTACAGCAGGTTCCAAAGATCTTCCATTTTTATTTGTAGTAAATTGAACTTTGGGAATTTGGATTCTCTTTTTTAAGAACAATAACCATATATTTGTACAAATTCTTTTATTGTATTAGCTGTCTCACATTTCCTGCAAATATTTTCTTACTATTGGGGAAAATGTATCTGTGTACCTTAGGTTAGACTGTTTTGTAATGGTACCTTAACTAACTCGTGGAAGAAAATTAAGAAAAGTAGTGTTCTCCTTTTAAGTGTTTATTCCAAAAAGTACTTAGTGTAAGCACTTTTGTTCCTACTGGTGATATAAGATTATGAGAGCTTATAATTTCACTGGAGCAAAAAGACTCAGATACATAAGAATTTATAAGTTCTGATGTAAGAAACACAGCAGTAGATGATGCAGGTAAAAAACCCTATTGACTCCAGGATAGATAAAAAAAATTATTAGAGAAAGGACCTAACTGGACTTATATCACTGGAAAGAAGTATTGTGGTTGGGGAGGGTAAACAATTTATTAGGTGTTTATGTATCAGATTCTTACTTTAGGCAGGGCATTGTGCTGAGAGTGGGGACAGTATGATATAGATTTGTGCACGTAAAAATTTTTGTCCTTTAGAAGAAGCTTATACTCTAGTTGTTGAAAGGAAACACATACAAGGCTAAGTATAGTAGAAGATGGTGCATAAGCATTACAAAGTAAGCATTCTTAGGAGTTCAAGCAAAGGATAGATCATTATTAGCTGGTACAGTTAAGGTTAAGCCTTTATTGAAGAAAGTGGGCCAAAAGCTGAATTTCAGAGGATAAGTAAGATCTGGGTAAAGAATATCGGAGATGAAGTTAGATTCTTAATAAAACAATTACTTTCTTTTCTATTTTTAAATTTTAAATCTACACAAAACATCATCTATTACTTCTATGAAAGGAAAGCAGGACACCTAGGTTTTTAGGCACACATGTGCCATTAATAAGCTATTTCATCTTGGATAGTCAAGAATTTTTTTTTTTTTTTTTTTTTTTGAGACGGAGTTTTTGCTCTGTTGCCCAGGCTAGAGGGCAATGGCGCGATCTTGGCTCACTGCAACCTCCACCTCGCAGGTTCAAGCGATTCTCCTGCCTCAGCCTCCTGAGTAGATGGGATTACAGGCACCCGCCACCACACCTGGCTAACTTTTGTATTTTTAGTAGAGATGAGGTTTCACCATGTTGGCCAGGCTGGTCTCGAACTCTTGACCTCAGGTGATCCACCTGCCTTGGCCTCCCAAAGTGCTAGGATTACAGGCGTAAGCGACCACGCCCGGCCTGGATAGTCAAGATTTTTAGAGTAGGAAGGGATCTTAAAACTTTCCGGCCAGTTGTTCCTCTATCTAGGTTAACCCACTCAGTGCTTTAATATCTTCAACTATAAAATGGAAATAATTATGTCCTTGCTTTCCCTGGGTTATTATTATGAAATTGGTCATATAAATTTAAGGTGTCATCATAATTGTTTTTCAGATGGCTGAACTAGGCTGGCCTATTCTGGAGATATGTTTTTAAAAATCTTTTTATACCCAAACTTTTACTTATTTATAGATTGAAAACTGTAACTATGCAGTGGAACTTGGGAAGAACAAGGCCAAATTCTCCTTGGTTGGCATTGCTGGGCAGGACCTAAATGAAGGGAATTCAACACTTACCCTGGCATTGGTATGGCAGCTGATGAGAAGGTAAAGGCTGATATGTTGGTAGCAACACTGCCTGTTTCCTCCAACAAGTAATCTGAACCAAATTTTTAGCTATTTTTGAACAATAATGAACACAGAAGAAATATACAATGCAAAATATTTTAATTTTTAAAGGATTTACTGTTGATTATGGTTTTTTTGTAAATTATATTTTATTTAAAAATGGGTCAATATCCAGAAACACTATCACTTTTATTAATGCCTCTTAAAAATGGCTTCATAAGGAATTGCTTTAAGTTTTAAAAATACCATGTAGTAGTTTTTGTTTCTGATTAATGAGGTTTGTAACTTTGGAATGTAACTGGGTGCAAATGCCAGACTAAAATTAGAAATATTTATTAGAACTGAACTATTTCTTAAGTATTTATCTAAACATTGATATAAATTATGTGAAAGCAAATTTCACCCTTTTCAGTCTCAAATATACATCTTTTCTGTTGCAGGTACACATTGAATGTGTTATCGGATCTTGGAGAGGGTGAAAAAGTAAATGATGAAATTATAATTAAATGGGTCAATCAGACTCTTAAAAGTGCAAACAAAAAGACTTCTATTTCCAGCTTCAAGGTAATCAAGAGTCCTAAAAAAAATTTTTTTTTGTAGGTATAGGAAGGAATTTTTTTTTTTTTTTTTTTTTTTTTTTTTTGGAGATGGAGTCTCGCTCTGTCACCCAGGCTGGTGTGCAGTGGCGCGATCTTGGCTCACTGCAAGCTCTGCCTCCCAGGTTCACACCATTCTCCTGCCTCAGCCTCCTGAGTAGCTGGGACTACAGGTGCCCGCCACCACACCCGGCTAATTTTTTTTTTTTTTTTGTATTTTTAGTAGACATGGGGTTTCACCATGTTAGCCAGGATGGTCTCGCTCTCCTGACCTCGTGATCCGCCCGCCTCAGCCTCCCAAAGTGTTGGGATTACAGGCATGAGCTACCACGCCTGGCCAGGAACGAATTTTTATTGGAAATTACATTGGTTTGGTTTAGAAATATATTAATGTTGTATGTCAGAAACATGATTTATGAGTTTAGGCATACTAATTATTTGGCCTGTGTAAACTTGAAATATTCAGTTTTAATTACTAAATTTTTGATTGGTTGTCCAGTTAAGTATAAATGTAGGTTAATATTATCTGACTCTGGTAATCTAATCTTAAAAAATAAACAGAATAGAGCTAAAAAAAATCCAGTTATCAAATGAAAAAGATAAGAAGCCATTGTTTATATAGGACCTATAATGTTTTGTGCTCCCTAGCAGCAGTCTCAGAATTGTATTGACATCATTTCCAAGGCATAACAGAGCCAGCCAAACCGATTCAAGTGGGAATTGAGAAAACTGGTAGGAAAAAAAAAATCTTGTCATCTGGCTTCATAATGGCACTTAACACTCACTTCCAAGCATTTGTGGATGATTCATAAAGCACTCAAAATGTAATCTGTACATACATACCCACTAATTTTCATGCATTTCCATTGTGTTTTGCTTTTGCATGCAAGCCGATGTTAGCTACAAATAAGCATGTCTGCTTGTACACATTCATTCAGTGAGCCTTGTGTTTGTGATTTTATTATGTGTGAAAAACTAGCAATAAATTTGTGGTTTTTTTACTGAAATAAAGTACAAAGAGATGAAACACTAAGCTATCCTAAGAGATTATCTACCCATTTTTATTTCTCTCTTTGCCTTCGCTCTATATGCTTAACAACATTGCAAAGTGAAAGAAATGTCAGAAATTTATCAGTTCAATCTTCTCATGTTTGCCAAAAACTAAGACCCAAAACGGTTTTAACAGGACAGCTGGATATTGGCAGAGACGTTGCCTGAGTCCTAGTTCAATTGATTTCCACCCCCCCTTTTCTATCTTGGAAGAAACTAATGACATTGAGTTTTTGTTACTGCTTGTTTTTTTTGAAGTAATTTTCAGTGCATGATTTGTCTCTCTGTGTTTTAAACATAAAACACAAAAATATAAAATAGCAATGGGGATTGTATTATAAAATTCTCTAATTGGCAGTTATTCTTTAAAATTGTTATGTTGAAATTATATGCATTTGCACATTATAGAAAATATTAAACATGTATATAGTTAATATGAGAAAATATTTAGGAGCAAATTAATATTTATTGAGCTCCTATTAAGTAACTTTTATAAGTAAAGAAAAAGGCATAAAGTATAGGAAATTAATTTGGCCCTCAGAGTGTTCACCATTTATTTTAAAGACAAAGATTGTATAACTGAGAAGGTAACAATACTACAGAGTAATAAAATCCAAGTAATGCAACTAATATTATGGATGAAAAGTCTGATCATTTCCAATTGAATGGTCAGTGAAGAGCCGATAAAGACAGCTGGATTTGAACATCATAGATGGTGGGAGGATTTGAATTAGTGGAGAGAAAGGGGGATAACAAACTTAGAAGGGTCCATCTTGAATAAAGGCATGTCTCAGAAAGTTAGGAGAAATAGGACGGTTCCTAAGGGATGTTGCGCAAGACATAAATTGGGTCAAGATTGTAGAGGATTTTGGCCTAAATAAAGGATATTGAGTAAAGGGGGTAATAAGAAAGGCAATTATTTTAGGAATACCAATCTGAATGTAGTGAACAGGATGGGGAGGGAGAATAGTGTAACTGCAAGGACAATGCAAAAGAATCCAAGGCAGTACTCAAGGTGTGATGTAATAAGGGGGCTGGGGCTGGGAATGGAAATGGTAAGATTAGAAAGCTATAAGTTATTGCAAAAGAAGAACTAGGATTTGGCTTCCTGATCTGGGGAAGAAGAAGGGAGGGAGGAGCCAAAACTCTTCATGTTTTGGGCATGGGTAACCGGAAAACAGATAACACTAATAGAAATGAGGATGTCATGAGGTACAGCTACTTCCTGGAAAAGGTGATGAGTTCAGTTTTAAGCTTGAATTTGAGGTAATTTTAGGAAAATGGGGGTGGTGAAAGGAGATACTAAAACTGGAAAGACAGACTTGGTGATCAGTTGAATAAAAGGGTTGAGAAATGGGAGTGCATAAACCTTTTAAGGGAGAGCAACCCTAGAGAACAGCCGACCTGAGAGTTTGGCTCTACTTAGAACTGAGGTGGCAGAAACATCGCGAAAGTGCTTGGCATTTTGCATATGCTTAATGATAAAATCTTTAAAGAGAGTGCAAATGGTTAAGAAATGAGGCAGTGAATGCTAAAACATAGTTGAGGTGAGGGAGGTATTTTTCCAACTACAGAAGGCATTATGTTTGAAGGCTATAATAAGTGGCACTAGCAGAAAAATTTTAATTATAAACAAGGTAGCACTATAGGAATTTCAGAAAAGACAAATTTACCCTTTTTAGCCATAAATTTCCCTTGCTAAGAAGACAGAGAAGGTGGTAGATCAGCAAATAATAATCATAATTACCATTTATTGAGTCCTTCGTGTCACTATGTTAAGCACTTTACACATTGTTTAATTTTCTAAATACTCTGAGCAAAAAGGTGAGCATTAGAGAAGTTAAGTAACTGTCTACTGTCATACAGCTTTTAAGCAGAACAGCTGGGTTTCATATCCAGGTCTGTCTACACACAAGGTGAAAGCCAAGCTTTGGAGTTGTATGGCCCTGGGTTGACTTTTGGCTGAGCTACTGATTAGCTGTGTAGCATACTGCTCATTTATTCCATAAATATTCAAAGCTTGCCCTGTGTCAGGTGCCTTGCTAGTCGCTGTGGCTACATAGTGCCCTCAAAGAGCTCACTATTCAGGGAAGGTGGCAAATAAGAAAACAAGAATCACAGTATGGGGTGTCAGCAATACTATATAAATCAGCTAAGGGGGGAGTGTGGGACCACATGAGAAGGGCATCTGTTTTACAGAAACCTTAGCGGTTTAAACTAACAGCAGGGCTACATCTACTGATGAATAAAACAGAGCTTACTTCTGGCTCAGCATTTAGTATCTGTGTGACCATGGGCAAGTTATTAATTTCTCTATTCTTCAGTTTCCCCATATCTAAAATGGGGAAATTAATAATCCCTCTCTACTAAGATTGTTGTTAGACTACATAAGTTAACAAAATGTAAAGAGCTTAACAGTACCTAGCACATATTAAGGGCTCAATAAATGGGGCTTACCACGCTGTTGGCATTGCTAATATATAAAGGGCATCATATGTGGCAGGACAGGGGACTCTGCTGAGCCTCTTAGGGAAGTCTGGTGTCCACATCACTGTTTTTCCAGATTTATTTGTTTATTTTATTTATTTATTTTTTTGAGACTGAGTCTTGCTCTGTCACCCAGCCTGGAGTGCAGTGGCGCGATCTCAGCTCACTCCAACCTCTGCCTCCCAGGGTCAAGCGATTCTCCTGCCTCAGCCTCCCGAGTAGCTGGGACTACAGGCGCCCGCCATCACGCCCAATTAATTTTTTGTACTTTTAGTAGAGATGGGGTTTCACCGTGTTAGCCAGGATGGTCTCAATCTCCTGACCTCCTGATCTGCCTGCCTTGGCCTCCCAAAGTGTTGGGATTACAGGCATGAGCCACCACGCCCGGCCTTTCCACTTTTATTTTTTAAAATGACAGAAACAGCAGTGGAATGAAATGTTCTAATACATATCAAATAGAGGGAAAAATCATTATCTTGAAAATCAAGCTGTAGGTAATTCTAGATTAAGATATTGAAATTCTTTTTGCCGAAGTCATTTCTTTATGATTAACTTAAGGAAATAAAAGGAGAAATAATGGAAATGTATTTATATACTAACCTAAGGGTTTTCACTATAACCCCTTTCCCTTTGCAAAAGTAAAATGTCTTTCACTGATAATGTACAAATCAGAGGATTTGGAAGACAGGGCTATTTTCTTGGAAACAAGAAGATAAGAGATCTGATACAATCTTTAGAAACTTAAATTCTTCATTAAACTCAGTAGAAGCTTTACGCAAGGTAACTCATAAGAAAATGGGTGGGAAAAATACTTGTTTCCTAAATCTAAATGAAATATTTAAAATAACACAAATATGTAAATAAGGAATCAAATTATAGCACAATTAAATAAGTCACTTGTATTTTAAAAAATAATCATATACATATATGAAAGGTAAGCCCATAGAAATTAAAATGCATTCTAGAATGAAATATTGTTTTTAGAAAGTATAATACAGTACACATTTAGAGTCATCTAGAAAGCTTATTAAAAATGTAGATTCCCAGCCTCATTCATAGATAACCTGACATTAGTTTGAGTGGGGCTAGATTTGCACTTTTAACAAATACCCCACATGATTTTCATGTAGGTGGTCTGCAGACTGATTTCTCAGAAACAGAAAAGATACAAAAAGCAGATCCAGATTACCAGCATCAGATAGACTTAAAGGACCTAATTATTTTTACCCTCTCTCTCTTACCCCTGCCCAGAGATCTGTATCATAAAATGAACATTACCCCTGGCCAAAGATCTGTATCATAAAATGAACATTCCTGCCCAAAAATCTGTATCATAACATGAACATAAGAATATAAATTTTTCTAAAATTAATAAATGAGGCCGGGCACAGTGGCTCAGGCCTGTAATCCCACCACGGTGGGAGGCCGAGGCGGGTGGATCACGAGGTCAGGAGATCACAACCATCCTGGCTAACACGGCGAAACCCCATCTCTACTAAAAATACAAAAATATCAGCCGGGTGTGGTGGCCGGCGCCTGTAGTCCCAGCTACTCAGGAGGCTGAGGCAGGAGAATGGCATGAACCTGGGAGGCAGAGCTTGCAGTGAGCCAAGATGGCAACACTGCACGCCAGCCTGGGCAACAGAGCGAGACTCTGCGTCAAAAAAAAAAAAAAAATTAATAAATGAAGTGGCTCATAGATTGTGGCTCAAAGAAGCTGTTACTCTTCTTCACATGGCTTCAGATTGTTTTATTAGATATTGATTAAGAACTGACATTTGGCTAGAGCCTATACTAGATGTTTTCACCTATACCACCTCAGTATTCCTAAGAATCCTATGACATTCTACTTTAGAGATTAGGAAAGGGTGCTCTGGCTTCAAGTAACAGAAACCCAATTTCAAGTGGTTTAAACCAAAAGGAAAGGTGTTGACTACAATAACAGTAATCCAGAGGTAGGGTAGACTTCTGGATTGGTTGAACCAATAATTGAAGAATGTCATTCAGGACTCTTTTTTTTTTTTTTTTTTCCCATCTCTGCTTTGCCATCTAATGTGCCAGCTTCACCCTAAAGCTGGTTTTCCTTTTGGTCATAGGATAGTTGCTGCTTGTGACAGAGGTTTCATTCTCTCATTCACATCCAGGAGGAGGGGTTGCTGGCTTTCCATAACATAGGCCCAAATTAAATTACTGTGGTAATAGAATAGCATTCCTCTATTTGGCTTAGACCAGTGTTTTGAAATCTTAAAAGAAAATTATCCTCTAAGGAATATTTTTAGACCTTTTTTTCCGTTTTTGTCTCTCCCATGAAATTTTAATGCAGAGATACACTGTATACCTGTTTATGCACTGTATGCTTTATACATAAACAAGGTTATCACCCTACCCCTATTGAGAATGCTTGACCTAGATTAATTTAGGTTCACTCCTGGAACTATGAATGTCAGCTTTCCTTGAAGCTGATGTCTGTGTGAAGGAGGTATGGATATAGAGCAAAAATATGGGTTCTACTTGTATGAAAGAAGTAAAGAGTGTGTAGATTCTGGGTAGGCAAGCAGTGGTGGCCACTATTCAAGCTGAGAGAGAAAACAAATAATTTGTTCAAGTACTGATAAGTGGTAAAAATCAGTTCAGACCAGGATGTCTGATTTCATCTGCAGTGCGCTATTCACTATAATTTAGTTGTCCATTTTTAGCTTGCCTTGGTGGTAACTTAAAAATGGAGAGACTCTTGGGCATTTTAGAGTCAGACTGTCATGGGTTCTGTATTTACTGGTTGTGTAAACAAGTCATTTGAGCTATCTTAACTTTATATTCTTCATCTTTTTTTAAAAAAGAATTCCTTTACTATCAAGATGCTAGGGTTTAAAAGGTGGATTAAATAAACTAAAACATGTAAAACAACAAGACAATGTCTTTGTAAGTGTTAGTTCCCTTTCACTATTTCATTTTTCTTTCTGAAAAATATTAAGGGAAGGCTTTTGGATTCATGGTCTAAGAAATATGTGAGTAGAATTTATAAAATTGTTAATTAAAAATTCATCTATTCCCTTTCAAAAGTTTTGTATTTTTTACAGAATGGACACTATAGTTAGCATACTTAGGAGCTATCATGTCCACAAACCTTATTCAGATATGGTGACAACTCTATATTATATATAAAGATTCAAGGAAAAGTATATTTTAAAGGGTTTATTTATGTGTGCTGGTTGCAGAAAAGCTGAACGTTAGGTTAAGTACAAAGAATTTGTAGATTGCCTTCAGTTATATGATCAGAAGAGTCTGAAAATAATGAAAATTAAAGGTCAGATGTTTATGAATGTTCATCTATGCTTTATTTTCTAGGATAAATCTATAAGCACAAGTTTACCTGTCCTAGATTTAATAGATGCCATTGCACCAAATGCAGTTCGTCAAGAAATGATCAGGAGAGAAAACTTATCTGATGAGGACAAGCTGAACAATGCTAAGTAAGCCTTTATGGTTTATATTACAATACATGGCCCTTTAATTCTCTAAAATCCTTATAGGAAAAGTTACTATGCCCTTAAAATTCATATTTTTAAATATAACTTATATGTGAGTCTTAGATTTAAGACTCACAAACTTAACCTTTTCGTAAAACTAATCTTGTCAAAATATTTCACTCTTTTGTTAAAATATGTTAAGTGAAAACACAGTGGATAACACCAAGATATTTTTCTTGTCTCTTCAAGATACGCCATTTCAGTTGCTCGAAAGATCGGTGCCCGGATATATGCATTACCTGATGACCTCGTAGAAGTGAAACCAAAGATGGTTATGACGGTGTTTGCATGCTTAATGGGAAAAGGACTGAACAGAATAAAATAATCATTTCATATGATTTTCTGCCACATTAAACATATTGTATGCCTCACAGTTTACAGGATTCTGAAATGTAGTGGGTGTAAAACCAGAGATTATTTGTATGCTCAAAATAGTTATATATTCATTAATGAATTCAATATCCTGTTCATACTAGTTAGAGCTGGTCAGCCTTTTTGGGTAACACAGTTAATTTACCAACTGATACAGATAATAGAATATATTCATAATCAAGCTGATACTTCATGATTAAATTATTTTTGTTGCTTAAAAGTCGTATTAGACAAGACTAAATCATTCTTTTTTATGGTTCAAAAAAGATGAATACAAACGTTTTTGCAGGTTCTGCTGTGAAATGTGGTTTGATTTTTTTGGTGTGTTAATTTTGATCATAAATGCATTCATACTCATAATCCAGTTTAATCCTTTTATTTGCTTCCTCCAACTATTTAAAGTGGTCCAAAAACACTTTTCTGTAAGTTTCTATACTGTCTAAAACCTTATGGTGACCAGAATTGTTTATTAATATCAAACTTTTTTATATATGAGAACTAATTCTTGAATAAACCCCAAAGTTCACTCTCTTGTTTAAGTAGCAGCAGCTTTTTACTTAAAATTTAATTTTAACTACATTGATACTTTACACATCCTAGTTTGGTAACACAGCTTTAACTATGTCATGCAACATATATATGTTGGTAGGATGTTATTAGAGAGATATGTGTGCATATATATTTTTTTGCACCTGAATCACCCAGCTTTTCATAAGTGGTATGTTTAATTGGTCATTCAGCCAACCATCAGTATTTTCCCCCCACAACATGTGTAACACTTTTCAGTCTGTGGATATCTGATACATTAAGATTTCTTTTTATAAGTATTCATTTTGAATGTGCATATAGTTATTTGACCCCTTCCAAATACTTGTAGCCAAACATTGGCTAGAACATCCCAAGATATGCTGACACTGTCCTGTTAGCTTCATATTATACTTGCTAGTTTAGGTCTCTATAGAAGCCCTATATAATTTAGAATATGCCCACTGAATATCTTTAATAGAAAGTAACATAAAGCTAGTATTCAATGTAGAGTATTTTCATATGTTTTTCACAGCCCGTTACAAATTGGCAATGTTTGGTTAATGTTTGTATTACTTGGAAATCGCTACAGCTTGGACTATTTTTTTCTAAATTTTTAGCATTAGTCCATTTCTGCTGCTAACAATTGAATCCAGAAATCTACTTTCTCCATCTTCCACTGTTAGTGCCAGTGAGCAATACTGTTGTGCAACAAAAATGTCACTTTATCTCAGTGTGAATGAGTAGTCTAAATTCCCTTTCTACCATTGATTTAAATATATATATTGGTAAGAGAGACTGCCCATGTGTTTAGAATAGAATTTTTTAAATGAAATGATCAACAGGTGGAATTTGAAATATATTCTTCTACAAAAGAGATTTCTTTCCCTTTTATATTTTGATGATTGTTTTCTTAAGATTAAGATATGTTCTTGCTCTTTTATAAGATTATTTAAATTATGTTTCCCTCTGATTTTTTTTCACCATTGTATTTACTAAGTTATTGGATTTACATGAAATCTGGCACTTTAGGGTGTTCTTTTTCTCACAGAGTATATTTAATAAAAATGCTGTGTATATAGAAATGTGTTTATATTTATTTCATTTGAAGAAAAATATTCAGCCTTGAAAATTAGTCTAGCATAAGCTTATTTTCCAGAAAAGAAAAGAATTCCTAAATGAGTTAGTAAAACAAAAAAAAAATTGTGTCTGATTTCTTTGAAGATGAGGGTAGTTCTTTTGTTCTTAAATATGAAGAATTATTAAAAACCAACTGTGTGATTACTACAATTTAGTTTGTGCTGAAATAATTCAGGTGAATCAATCCATTCACAAATTTATCATTTATTATGATCCAGATACTATGCTAGACACTGGGGATTCATCTGAAAAAAATACAGATGAAGTCTCCTGACCTCATGTATCACATCCATGTATGATATCCTAGTAGAGAGACAATTCGTAAATAGGAATTTTAGACAGTGATAATGCAGTAGAAGAAATAACATAAGGTAATGTGATAGAGACTGACTTGGGAAATGGAGTGGAGATTATTTGTATTTGGGTGGTCAGGGAAGGTCTCTCTAAGGATATTTGTGCTATAAGTGTTCAGCAGAGAGAACAAATGTAAAGAACCTGAAGCAGGCAGTCCTGTAGGCATCCTAGAAGACAAACAGGTGAACATGACCTGAGAGTACTGAGGGAGAGGCAGAGTCTGGAGATGGAGATGGAGTCTAGGGTATTGTAGGACTAGATCTAAATCTGGATTTTTTTTTTTCTTCTCTGACTGGAGTCATGACTGCTCTTTTGTATATGTGGTTTGGGTAAGCTGCTTGAAGTAATATGCTGCTTCTGAATCTTGGATGCTACTGTTCATCATAACTCTGCCACTGGTCTCTGTATCACCTGTGTAGAAAAAACTGATGATAGGCTGCATAGATTATGTTAAAATACCCCAATTTATGCTGGATAAATAGTGTACCAGGCCAGGCACAGTAGCTCATGCCTATAATCTCAGCACTTCGGGAGGCCAAGGTGGGAGGACTGCTTGAGGCCAGGAGTTTGAGACCAACCTGGGCAACATAGACTCTTGCTACAAAATTTTATTTATTTATTGAGACGGAGTCTCTCTCTCTTGTCCAGGCTGGAGTGCAGTGGCACAATCTCGGCTCACTGCAACCTCTGCCTCCTGGGTTCAAGTGATTCTTGTGCCTCATCCTCCTGAGTAGCTGGGATTACAGATGTGTGTCACCATGCCTGGCTAATTTTTTTTTGTGTTTTTAGTAGAGACAGGGTTTCACCATGTTGGCCAGGCTGGTCTTGAACTCCTGACCTCAAGTGGTCTGCCCGCCTCGGCCTCCCAAGGTGCTAGGATTACAGGCATGAGCCACTGGGCCCAGTCCTCAATTTTTTTTTTTAATTAGATGGGTGTGGTGGTGTGCACCTGTAGTCCTAGCTACTCAGGAGGCTGAGGTGGGAGGATTGTTTGAGCCTGGGATTTCGACACTATGATGAGCTATGATTGCACCATTGCACTCCAGCCTGGGTGACACAGCAAGATGCTGTCTCTTAAAAACAACAAAAAGTGTATCAGAGAGGTAAGAGAGGATTTCTGCAGCTGAGATGATCCAAAAAGACTTGTGAAGAACAGGGTGCAGTTGCAACACTGGCTTAGTTTGAAGTAGGAACAGCACCCCCACCCCCAGCACTTTGAAAGGCCTCCTAGAATTATCTACCAAAGTAAGTTGGGATTCCCCAGTCTTAGAAATTAATCCAGCCCCTATGGGAGTCCTCTGGATAAAGAATCATCTAGGTCCAGCAACTTGCAAATGCCTCGGATTAAAGTGAAGCTATATCTACATCGCGCTCTATCTCGCTTGCTCTCCTGCTATATCACATGTGCGACATAGTTCTGAGCCATCTAAATTTTTTCCCTCAAACACGAAGTTTTGGGTACATCAGGGTTAGTGTTTTTCTGCTACTAACTAAAAATTGTGCTGCACTACAGAGAGTGTAAGCACACACGCATAAATACAAATATGTGCCACTGTTCACTGGCCACAAATTTACAGGAACAATCTTGACATTCCACCAAATAAACTTGGAACTGTATTAAACATTACAAAATGAGGAAGATTTACCATCTACTAGGGATAAGACAGAAAACAAACTCAATAGATTATCAACTGTTTTGAAGTAAATACATGAAAATGTTTGGAAAGACGGTCTGCTAAGGCCTCTTAGAAAAGACCTAACAAAGACTTTGAATTATGAGAAAGTTGTATTTAGGAAATTTTGGGAGTTAACGTGCTGGCTGAGACAGGGATGGAACATACCAGCCTGAACAGGATAGGGAGTATTTCCTCCAAATATAAGATACTCTGAAGTAAATTTATGTATTCTTTTAAAAACCTAAAACTTTAAAGGCACAATTTAGAGTTTTCTATATGATTATGGGAAGCAACAGGAATTATTCAAGAGGCGGAATTTCCAGTTTCTCCTCCATTACCTTTTAAAAGCAGAAGACAACAGCAACTCTATAATGGTTATAATACTTTAAAAGTTTGGTTAAAAATAAATTATTTGGCAGGGTATGATGACTCATGCCTGTAATTCCAGCACTTTGGGAGGCCAAGGTGGGCGGTGGCACTTGAACCTAGGAGTTCAAAGGCCAGCCTGGACAACATAGTGTGACCCCTTGTCTACAAAAAAACTTTAAAAAGTTAGCCGGGTGTGGTGGCATGCACTTCTGGTTCCAGCTACTTGGGAAATTGAGGTGGGAGGATTGCTGGAGCCCAGAAGGTTGAGGCTGCAATGAGCTATGACTATGCCACCGCACACTCCAGCCTGGGCCAAACAGCATGACCCTCTGGGAGAAAGAGAGGAGGGAAGGAGCACTTACGGAGCTTCATTCAACTCTTGCCCAAATAACAGATCTGTCTTTTAAAATCAGATTCATAAACGTGATGACAAACTTATCCAATAGTTACATGTCCATACTTTTGAATTAATTGCAAACACATGTGTGACAATAGGAATCTTATGCCAATTTCAGATCACAAACTGGTTGTTAAAAAATATACAGACTCGGCCGGGTGTGGTGGCTCATGCCTCTAATCCCAGCACTTTGGGAGGCTGAGGCGGGCAGATCGCGAGGTCAGGAGTTCAAGACCAGCCTGATCAACACGGTGAAACCCTGTCTCTACTAAAAATACAAAAAATTAGCTGGGCATGGTGGCGGGCACCTGTAATCCCGGCTACTCGGGAGGCTGAGGCAGAAGAATTGCTTGAACCTGGGAGGCAGAGGTTGCAGTGAGCCGAGATCGTGCCATTGCACTCCAGCCAGAATGATGGTGTGAGACTCCATCTCAAAAAAAAAAAAAAGAAGAAAAAAAGACCAGGCACAGTGACTCACACCTGTAATCCCAGCACTTTGGGAGGCCAAGGTGAGCAGATCATGAGATCAAGAGATTGAGATCATCCTGGCCAATGTAGTGAAACCCTGTCTCTACTAAAAATAACAAAAATTAGCTGGGCGTGGTGGTGCACGGCTGTAGTCCCAGCTACTCGGGAGGCTGAGGCAGGAGAATCACTTGAACCTGGGAGGCAGAGGTTGCAGTGAGCCAAGATCACACCACTTGCACTCCAGCCTGGTGACAGAGGAAGACTCCGTCTCAAAAAAATAAATATATATATATATACACACACACACACACACACACACACACAGACACACACACACACACACACACAGAGCCTCGAGAGACCTGTGGATGGTTCACATCATAGGACTCAGTGCAGACAACCCCCAATACCAGCCCAGAGCCTGATAGACTTGCTGGGTGGCTAGATCCAGAAGAGAGATAACAATCACTACAGCTTGGCTCTCAGGAAGCCACATCCCTAGGAAAAGGGGGAGAGTACTACATCAAGGGAACACCTCATGGGACAAATGAAGCTGAACAGCAGCCTTGAGCCCTAGACCTTCCATCGGACATAGACTACCCAAATGAGAAGGAACCAGAAAAACAATTCTGGTAATATGACAAAACAAGGCTCTTTAACACCCCCCAAAAAATCACACTAGCTCACCAGCAATGGATCCAAACCAAGATGAAATCCCTGATTTACCTGAAAAAGAATTCAGGTCAGTTACTAAGCTAATCAAAGACGCACCAGAGACAGGTGAAGCCCAATTTAAAGAAATAAAAAAAAATAAGAGGAAATACGGGGAGGCCAGGTATGGTGGCTCATACCTGTAATCCTAGCCCTTTGGGAGGCCGAGGTGGGTCGATCACTTGAGGCCAGGAGTTCAAGGCCAGCCTGAGCAACATGGCAAAACCCCGTCTCTACTAAACAAAAGAAACAACAACAACAACAACAACAACAAAAAACAAAATGAGGGGAGAAAACTTCCGTGAAATAGATAGCATAAATAAAAAACAATCGAAACTTCAGGAAACAATGGATGCACTTAGAGAAATGCAAAATGCTCTGGAAAGTCTCAGCAATAGAATCGAACAAGCAGAAGAAAGAACTTCAGAGCTCGAAGACAAGGTTTTCAAATTAATCCAATCCAACAAATACAAAGAAAAAAGAATAAAGAAAAAATGAACAAAGACTCCAAGAAGTCTGGGATTATGTTAAACAACCAAACCTAAGAATAATTGGCATTCTTGTGGAAGAAGAAGAGAAATCTAAAAGTTTGGAAAACATATTTGGGGGAATAATTGAGGAAAA
Source organism: Homo sapiens (assembly GCF_000001405.40). Classification (NCBI taxonomy): domain Eukaryota; kingdom Metazoa; phylum Chordata; class Mammalia; order Primates; family Hominidae; genus Homo; species Homo sapiens. The sequence continues at coordinate 142,718,319 of NC_000003.12, forward strand.
CTTCCCCAGCCTTGCTAAAGACCTAGACATCCAAATACAAGAAGCTCAAAGAACACCTGGGAAACTCATCGCAAAAAGATCATCGCCTAGGCACATTGTCATCAGGTTATCAAAAGTTAAAATGAAGGAAAGAATCTTAAGAGCTGTGAGGCAAAAGCACCAGGTAACCTATAAAGGAAAATCTATCAGATTAACAGCAGATTTTTCAGAAGAAACCCTACAAGCTAGAAGGGACTGGGGCCCTATTTTCAGTCTCCTTAAACAAAACAATTATCACCCAAGAATTTTGTATCCAGCGAAACTAAGCTACATAAATGAAGGAAAGATACAGTTTTTTTCAGACAAATGCTGAGAGAATTCACCACTACCAAGCCAGCACTACAAGAACTGCTAAAAGGAGCTCTAAATCTTGAAAAAAATCCTGGAAGCACATCAAAACAGATCCTCTTTAAAGCATCAATCTCACAGGACCTATACAACAAAAATACAATTTAAAAAAAAAACAACCCAAGGTATACAAGCAACAAATAGCACAATGAATGGAATAGCACCTCATATCTCAATACTAACATTGAATGTAAATAGTCTAAATGCTCCACTTAAAAGATGCAGAATTGCAGAATGGATAAGAATTCACCAACAAACTATTTGCTGCCTTCAAGAGACCCACCTAACACATAAGGATTTGCATAAACTTAAGGTAAAGGGGTGGAAAAAGACATTTCATGCAAATGGACACCAAAAGCAAGGAGGAATAGCTATTTTTATATCAGACAAAACAAACTTTAAAGTAACCACAGTTAAAAAAGACAAAGAGGGACATTACATAATGACAAAAGGCCTTGTCCAATAGGAAAATATCACAATCCTAAATATATATGCACTTAAGACTGGAGCTCCCAAGTTTATAAGACAATTACTACCAGACCTAAGAAATAAGATAGACAGCAACACAATAATAGTGGGGGATTTCAATACTCCACTCACAGTACTAGACAGGTCATCAAGACAGAAAGTCAACAAAGAAACAATGGATTTAAACTATACCCTGGAACAAATGGGCTTAACAGATGTTTACGTAACATTCTACCAAACAACTGCAGAATATACATTCTATTCATCAGCACGTGGAACTTTCTCCAAGATAGATCATATGATAGGCCACAAAACAAATCTCAATAAATTTAAGAAAATTAAAATTATATCAAGCACTCTCTCAGACCACAGTGGAATAAAACTGAAAATCAACTCCAAAAGGAACCTTCAAAACTATGCAAATACATGGAAATTAAATAACCTGCTCCTGAATGACAACTGGGTCAAAAATGAAATCAAGATGGAAATTTAAAAATTTTTCAAGCTGAACAACAATAGTGACATGACTTATCAAAACCTCTGGGATACAGCAAAGGTGGTGCTAAGAGGAAAGCTCATAGCCCTAAATGCCTACATCAAAAAGTCTGAAAGAGCACAAATAGACAATCTAAGGTCATACCTCAAGAAACTAGAGAAACAAGAACAAACCAAACCCAAACCCAGCAGAAGAAAGGAAATAAGATCGGAGCAGAGCTAAATGGAATTGAAATGGAAAAAAAAAAATACAAAAGACAAATGAAATAGGCCGGGCGCAGTGGCTCACGCCTGTAATCCCAGCACTTTGGGAGGCCGAGGCGGGCAGATCACAAGGTCAGGAGATCGAGACCATCCTGGCTAACACAGTGAAACCCCGTCTCTACTAAAAAAATACAAAAAATTAGCCCGGCGTGGTGGTGGGCACCTGTAGTCCCAGCTACTCAGGAGGCTGAGGCAGGAGAATGGCATGAACCCGGGAGGCAGAGCTTGCAGTGAGCTGAGATTGCGCCACTGCACTCTATCCTGGGTGACAGAGCAAGACTCCATCACAAAAAAAAAAAAAAAGAAACAAAAAGCTGGTTCTCTGAAAAGATAAATAAAATTGATAGACCATTAAAAAGATTAATCAAGAAAAGAAGAGAGAAAATCCAAATAAGCTCAATTAGAAATGAAATGGGAGATACTACAATTGACACCACAGAAATACAAAAGATCATTCAAGGCTACTATGAACACCTTTACACACATAAACTAGAAAACCTAGAGGAGATGGATAAATTCCTGGAAAGATACAACCCACCTAGCTTGAATCAGGAAGAATTAGATACTCTGAACAGACCAATAACAAGCAGCAAGATTGAAACGGTAATAAAAAAAATCACCAACAAAAAAAGTCCAGGATCAGATTCACAGCTGATCCTGTGACATTTAAAGACATTTAAAGAAGAATGTCACTATTCCACAAGACACAGAAAGAGGAAATCCTCCCTAAAGCATTCTATGAAGCCAGTATCACCCTAATACCAAAACCAGGAAAGAACATAACCCAAAAAAAAAAAAAAAAAAAAAACCAAACTACAGACCAATATTCCAGATGAACATAGATGTAAAAATCCTTAACAAAATACTAGCTAATTGAATCCAACAACATATCAAAAAGATAATCCACCATGATCAAGTGGGTTTCATACCAGGGATGCAGGGATGGTTTAACATATGCAAGTCAATAAATGTGATACATCACATAAACAGAATTAAAAACAAATCACATGATCATCTTAACAGACGCAGAAAAAGCACTTGACAAAATCCAGCATCCCTTTATGATTAAAACCCTCAGCAAAACTGGCATACAAGGGACATACCACAATGTAATAAAAGCCATCTATGACAAACCCACAGCCAACACAATACTGAATGGGGAAAAGTTGAAAGCATTCCCTCTGACAACTGGAATAAGACAAGGATGCCCACTCTCACCACTCCTCTTCAACATAGTACTGGAAGTCCCATCCAGAGCAATCAGAGAAGAGAAAGAAAGAAAGGGCATCCAAGTCAGTAAAGAGGCAGTCAAACTGTTGCTGTTTGCTGATGATATGATTGTATATCTAGAAAACCCTAAAGACTTCTCCAAAATGCTCCTAGAACTGATAAAAGAAGTCAGCAAAGTTTCAGGATACAAAACTAATGTACACACATCAGTAGCCCTCCTATACACCAACAGCAACCAAGCTGAGAATCAAACAAAGAACTCAATTCCTTTGACAATAGCGGCAAAAGTATTTTGTTTTATTAGAAAAATAAAATACTTAGGAACATACCTAACAAAGAAGGAGAAAGAACTCTACAAGGAAAACTACAAAACACTGCTGAAAGAAATCACAGACGAGGCAAACAAATGGAAACACATCCCATGCTCATGGATGGGTAGAATCAACATTGTGAAAATGACCATACTGCCAAAAGCAATCTACAAATTCAATGCAATTCCCATCAAAATACCACCATCATTCTTCACAGAACTAGAAAAAATAATCCTAAAATCCATATGGAACCAAAAAAGAGCCTGCATAGCCAATGCAAGATGAAGCGAAAAGAACAAATCTGGAGACATCACATTACCTGATTTCAAACTATACTATAAGGCTACTGTCACCAAAACAGCATGGTACTGGCATAAAAATAGGCATATAGACCAATGGAACAGAATAGAGAACCCAGAAATAAACCCAAATACTTACAGCCGACTGATTTTCAACAAAGCAAACAAAAACATAAAGTGGGGGAAAAGACACCCTATTCAACAAATGGTGCTGGGATAATTGGCAAGCCACACGTAGGAGAATAAAACTGGATCTGCATCTCTCACCTTATACAAAAATAAACTCAAGATGGATCAAGAACTTAAATCTAAGACCTGAAACTATAAAAATTCTAGAAGATAACATCGGAAAACCCCTTGTAGACATTGGCTTAGGCAAGGATTTCATGACCAAGAACCCAAAAGCAAATGCAATGAAAAGAAAGATAAATAGCTGGGACTTGATTAAATGAAAGAGCTTTTGCATGGCAAAGGGAAGAGTTAGCAGAGTAAACAGACAACCCACAGAGTGGGAGAAAATCTTCATAATCTATGCATCTGACAAAGGACTACTATCCAGAATCTACAATGAATTCAAACAAATAATCAAGAAAAAAAAAATCCTAACAAAAACTGGGCTAAAAACATGAAAAGGGCTGGGGGCAGTGGCTCATGCTTGTAATCCCAGCACTTTGGGAGGCTGAGGCAGGCAGATCACCTGAGGTCTGGAGTTCGAGACCAGCCTGACCAACAGGGAGAAACACTGTCTCTACTAAAAATACAAAATTAGCCGGGTGTGGTGGCACATGCCGGTAATACCAGCTGGTCGGAAGGCTGAGGCAGGAGAATCACTTGAACCTGGGAGGCGGAAGTTGCGGTGAGCCAAGATCACGCCATTGCACTCCAGCCTGGGCAACAAGAGCAAAACTCTGTCTCAAGAAAAAACAAAAAAACATGAATAGACAATTCTCAAAAGAAGATACACAAATGGCCAACAAACATATGAAAAAATGCTCAAGATCACTAATGATCAGGGAATTCCAAGTCAAAACTGCTATGCCGTATGTACCACCCTACTTCCGCAAGAATGGCCATAATCAAAAAAATCAAAAAATAATAGCTGTTGGTGTGGATGCGGTGAAAAGGGAACACTTCTACATTACTGGTGGGACTGTAAACTAGTACACCACTATGGAAAACAGTGTGGAGATTCCTTAGAGAACTAAAAGTAGAACTACCATTTGATCCAGTAATCCCACTACTGGGTATCTACCCAGAGGAAAAGAAGTCATTACACGAAAAAGATACTTGCCCATGCATATTTATAGCAGCACAATTCGCAATTGCAAAAATGTGGAGCCAACCCAAATGCCCATGAATCAATGAGTGGATAAAGAAACTGTGATATATATATATATATATATATATGTGGTATATATATATGTGATATATATATAATGATGGAATACTACTCAGCCATAAAAAGGAATGAATAAATGGCATTCGCAGAAACCTGGATGGGACTGGAGACTATTATTCTTATTCTAAATGAAGTAACTCAGGAATGGAAAACCAAACATCGTATGTTCTCACTCACAAGTGAGAGCTAAGCTTTGAGGATGCAAAGGCATAGGAATGACACAATGGACTTTCGGGACTCGGGGAAAGGTTGGGAAGGGGGAGAGGGATAAAAGACTACAAAATTAGGTTCAGTGTATACTGCTCGATGATGGGTACATCAAAATCTCACAAATCATCACTAAAGAACTTACTCATGTAACCAAACACCACCTGTTCCTCAAAAACCTATGGAAATAATATGGAAATAAAAATTTATATATTTGTATAAATTATTTAAACATAATATAATTATATATCTATATATCCTTTATAAATGAGAGTTCATTTCCAGCCTAAAATGAGTACAACATACAAACCCACGAGTCTGGCTCTCCATTGTGCTTTAAAGCATAGTGCACCAGAATATGAAATAGCTGGACAATTCCACAAAGGATTTCGACTAAACATTAAGTCGTCAGAGACTCAATTAACATACTGCTCCATATTTGCTTAATTACCTTAAACCAGTACCCTGGGTGTGGAAAGGGACGATTGAGCGAAGTCTTCCTCAGACTGCGGTTCACCTCACCAGAGCGAAGGAAGCTGCAGCGGGCTCCAGGAGCCCAGTGCGTCCCCACCGCAGGCCCCACCCACCCACGCCCCGCTTGCCGCAGGCCCCGCCCACCCAAGCCCGCCCTTGCCGCAGGCTCCTCCCTAGTGTCGTCGCTACAGAGGAGCAGAGGATGACGTGAGGACAGAGTCGCGAACATCTCCTCGGAGCGCAGCTGGGCCAGCGGTTCCCACAGCCCTGGAGCCCAACGTGCGCAGAAGCGCCTCTTGGAGCTCCTCTCCCACAGATCTCTCGTCCTCTTCCTGGGCTAGGCCGCCCCAGGCGCGGCCCCTGCGACTCCTGGCACGGCCCCGTGCTCGGCTGCCGCCCTGGCGCGCGCCACACTGTCGTCCCCGGACGGGCGCGGACCGGCTCGGCCGGGGCGCCGGCGGCTGGGGAGGGGTCGCTGGCCCCGGGGCCGCGCATGCGCCGCCACCAACTTGGGGCTGTCAGTGGAGGGCGAGTGCTGGTTCTCAGGGGAGGCGACGCCCTTCGGGGCCAACGGGCCTCGAGCCGAGGCAGCAGTGGGAACGACTCATCCTTTTTCCAGCCCTGGGGCGTGGCTGGGGTCGGGGTCGGGGTCGGGGCCGGTGGGGGCCCCGCCCCCGTCTCCTGGCCTGCCCCCTTCATGGGCCGCGATGATGGCGGCCCTGTACCCGAGCACGGACCTCTCGGGCGCCTCCTCCTCCTCCCTGCCTTCCTCTCCATCCTCTTCCTCGCCGAACGAGGTGATGGCGCTGAAGGATGTGCGGGAGGTGAAGGAGGAGAATACGCTGAATGAGAAGCTTTTCTTGCTGGCGTGCGACAAGGGTGAGAGTTAGGCCCCTTTCTCCTCTGGACGCCCCTGTCCTCCAGACCTTTAGTCCTCTCCCCCGCCTCAACTTATATCGGGGCATTCCCTCTGTCTCAGGCGCCGAGTGTCTTCCCGCCTCGCCTGCTGCCTCAGGCGGTCTTCTCCTCACCGCCTCTGCCCTGTGAGTGTGGAGCTGGCGGGAGAGTGGAGCTGGGGCTGCGCCCTCGGAGCGCTGCACCGTCGGGGGTGGCTCTGGCCTTGGGGTCCGGGGTTTAGGTAGCGCCTTGGGAGCCCCGACCCCAGCGTTTTAGCGCCGCCCTTGCTACTGACCGCATGAATGACCTGGTCTTCTCTCTGGCTCGCAGTTCATTCCTTCCGGGAGTCGAGAGGCTAGTTTCCGACACTCCAGTCGGAAAATTCCGTCACCTTACCTTAGGATGCCTCGTATGGAGGGTTCTCATCACCTGGTTTTTGTTTTTCTTAAAAACAAAACCAGACCCTCTATTATTTAGCTTCACCTGACCAGTGCTTTAGCCAGTGACTGTTGACTGGCATTAATAACGGAATATCCTAGGTGGAGATACATGAAGTAAGGACGGGACGGAAGAAATTCTGCCTTAGTTGCCAAAACTTTCTCTGGATTTACGGAACGCCTTTGATTGTTAGTGCTTTTTATTGGAGAGAAAGATTTATTGCTCCCAGATCTTTCTTTGGGAGATAAAGATAGTGAAAAATAATTACAGGAATTACAAGGCAAAAATATGTGGAATATATTTAGCGCGTTATCCTTTTTTTAGTCTAGAAGTTAATCATTTTTATGGCCATATTAAGGCCATGTCACGCAATCATCCTTTGTAGTGATGTATATAACAAAAGGGATAGGAAATTGATTGCCCTAAGACTGCTTTTGTTTCCTACATGGAAACACTAAAATTTTTCTTTTTCCAAATTTATATGGCTGTACACTTAGGAAAACTCTGTTAGAAACATGCAAACTTCTGGAACAAACCCAAAGGGCAGTTTACACTATGAAAAGACTAACTACACAGGATTTTTGTTTGTTTGTTTGTATGTGTGAATGTGTAATTAATAAATGACAGCCTTCCTAACCTCTCCTCCTGCTTTTGAAATAGGATTTTATTTACATGATTTTTTGAAAACAATTGACATATAAACAAAGTCCACCTATGTCTGTGGTTGAGCCATTTTTATGTTCTTATGTAATAGTATTAAATAATATTATGAAAGCAATATTAATAATATTGTTAAAGTACACCATGGACACAACTTTGAGCAGTCTTTGAGATGTAAAGAAACAGAATATACATCTACAACGTCACAAAAATAGGGTCTGTGGATTATGTAAAATTATTTAGTATTGCTGGAGTGGGTTGCCTGAGTTCTCTTCCCTCAAAAGTTCTGAGAGAGGAAGGGGAGAAGATTGTGTTGTACTAAAATGAGTAAGTGCTGGCTCCATGTATTCCAGCTCACTGTGCAATGGTTATTTTAAAGCAAACAGAAAGTATGTCAAGAAAGGAAATTTGATATTCCTGTCAAACTGAGGACAGAAAAATATCAGTGGAATATGGTTGAGCAAGTATTTGTGCATTGTGTATATTTAGGATTATTGCATGACATATCTCAAACAAAAGAGAGTTTTAATTTATGATAGTTGTATAGCCTATTTAGTAGTACCAGGTGAAATACCTTGATATTCTTTGTCAGTTTTTTATTTTATAACATAATTGAGATGAGAGACTTGGCTTTGGGGGGGTAGGGTGGAAATTAAATATGCATATTTTCCCCATATATAAATTAGAAATTTTTAAAACAAGTGAGCTAAAATGGGAATTTTCTGTTTCAGGTATGTCTAAACAACTTCTTGAGTTAGATTTGGAAAAATAGCATAATTCTTACGCATACTTATGGGGTACATTTACATTTAAAAAGTAACTTTGAGTTATAGGAATATTCTTTTGATTACGTGTTTGTATTCGCTAATATTGTTAGACTTTTTAAAATGTTACCTAAACCAGTCTAAAAGTGAACAATTTCCTGAAGTAGCTATGACTTCCACCATTACACTGGAGCCTTCCTCAGACCAAATGTTAAACATTCACTAAAGCAGCTATTGGGGTCGAGTGTTCATGCTTTTCATAGAGGATTTCATTTAAACCCCACAACCCCATGAGCCAGATCTGTTGTTGTCCTCAATTTGTAGATGAGGAAAATGAGGCTTAGCAAAATTTTAAAATTACTTTGCCCAAGGTTACATTGGTTAGATAATAGTAGAACTGGCATTTATCTTGAGCCTGCACTCCTAACCACTACGTTATATAGATCTGGTTGTAGGTGAATGAGTGAACATCATTTGTGTCAGAAAAGACACATCCATATTTGGACTTACTAGTTGAAATTACATTTTCTTTGTATGGATGCTTTATAAACCTTGATTTCTGTGTATTACATTTGTTCAATGAAGGGTAAAAAGCAAGCATGGTACTTCAGTAGCACCAGAGTAAATCAACTCTAGAGTATCTATGGTGTTCTAGAGTGTCTCATTCTTTTCATGTAGCATTCTTGTTGTACATATGCAAAATGTTCATAACATATTCTTCTTAGGAAAAATTGAGGAATTCCTAAAGCAAAAATTGTGGAGATGAGATGGATATGTGTATGTTAGTGGATGGGTGGCCCTTTGAAAGATGTGTACAGATTAAAGAGTACAATAAATGTAGGAAAGAGAAAAGAAAAAGATTTATAGTTTGTGATAGCTGGCTTTTATGTAAGTAAGTTCGGTAGATTTAGGCAACTGCTGATCTAGGTAGTGGCCACTTAGTAATGGCTGTTAGTGATCTTCATAGTGGGTGAGGATCATCTCAGAGGTAACATTGAATCCTTTCTTTGTAAAGGAAAACCTTAATTGAAAGTTACTGTGCCAGCAATATATAAAGTGAAGTCTAGGACCCCCAGATAAAATTCTCAGAAAGTATACTCATGTTCTTTCTAGAGATAGAAAGCTATATAAATTCAGAGGTAAAACTTAATTGAAACAAGAGCTGACTATAAATATGTTGTTTTATGAAAAATTAAGTAGTGATTCTTACAGCCATGGCTTTGTCCTCTCTCATTGAGAATTAGTGTCATAATGAGCCTCTTTTATTTGTAGGCACCTATGGTGTCCCTCAGGTCTGTTAACAGGAGAAAGGGTAAATAAGTTTATTTAGAAAACACCTAAACTAAGTGTAGTTCATGTTAATTTTCCTCTAAAAAAAAAAAACTTGTTGAGTAGATGGTAGCTTTTAGTATATATTTGTAAATATAAACCTGCATAAACTGTTTGATTTGCTGATGATCATTAATCAGTTCATGTGGAGGAAAGAAAGTATGAAATGATTCAGTCCCTGCCAACTCTCCATGGAGAGTATTTTCAGGAAATCTGATGTGCGGTAAATGAGTTAGAAGCCCCTTCTTGAAATTTCAGCATGGGGTTAGGGGGAGGGATGGAGAGAGCAGGTTTTCACCTTTATCAGTGGGCTCAGCCTAGTCTCAGTGTCCTGTGTCACCTTTGTGGTAAGATTTGCTGTGTTGTAAGGAAAAATGTTTTGATGACTGTATTTCTTTTTTTTTTTTTTTGAGATGGAGTTTCTCTTGTTGCACAGGCTGGAGTGCAGTGCAACCTCCGCCTCCCGGGTTCCAGCGATTCTCCGGCCTCAGCCTCAGCCTCCTGAGTGGCTGGGATTACAGGTGCCCACCACCACGCCCGGCTAATTTTTTTGTATTTTTAGTAGAGACAGGGTTTCACCATGTTGGCCAGGCTGGTCTCAAACTCCCGACCTCGAGTGATCCACCCGCCTCGGCTTCCCAAAGTGCTGGGATTATAGGCGTGGGCCACCGTGCCTGGCCTGATGACTGACTTTCTCCATAAGCTTTGTGTACCTTTGGGCTAAGGATGCTTTAAAAATGTGCAACAACTCCAGAGAGAAGCCAGAGTCAGAAGAAAAAAGTGCAGCATTTCTGAGAGAAGTAATATTAAGCTGCTGTTTTTTAAACACCTTATTTATATATAATGGGCCTTTAAAATTTTTTTACTTATTTGAGAAGAGATTTTGAAGTCTGGTATTAGAGAGGATGGTGGTGGGAAGAAACAAAAAATGCAGAGTACTGAGTATTGGTGTGAAGTGTTATGTTGACAATGGGGCACCTAATGTAAGGAGGTATGTGCTGTGAGGAAAAAACTTTGCAGAAATGAGAGGTAAAGAGGGTATTGTAGGCAGCATTCTATAAACACTTCACAAATCATCATAGACATAGCATTTATGTACTTTATATAGGAAAGCTTTTCAAATAACCAAAGTTTTACAATGTAATAGTTGAAAAACATTGCCATGGCGAACGGTTCAGGGATACTTTAACAACAGCAACGAAAGACTCAAATTGCGAAAATCTTAGTGGATAATTTATCTCTAACAGACTAGTAATTCAGCAGCTAGCTGCCTGGTAGTTCTATGATACTGGTAATTCTTTATAGTGATCACGCAACTTTGCTGCTCTTTTTCTGTAAGTCACAATCAAACTATACTTATCAAGCTGTTAATTGTGTTAAGGCACTGTGAAAGTGCTTTATCAAGAAAGTACTGAGTACATCCCTATCCTTTAGGAGAATATTCTTTAATGGAGATGCTCTCTTGTGCTCTAGCGAGGAGAAGTAAGGAAACAAAAGTATGTTTGTATTAAATATATCTGTCTGAAGGGAAGAAGCAAGTGCTCAATTTAACTTAAATGGCCTATATGTGATTTGGAGAATGGGATATTACGTGTACAGGGTCAGTCTTTTATCTGGGCAGTTAAAAAAAATGTAACCCAAGCCAGACTCCTAGCTATACCTTGTATATAGACTTGGAGGAAGAGTGTGAAAAGATTAAATTTTATTATATAGGTATTATCGTAACCTAATAATTCCTCTTCTACCTTGCTGCCAGTGCTCTAAATATCTTCTTCATTGCTAACTCTTCCAAATTTAATGATACTGAGAAATTTAAGATTTAAGATCAATAGTTGAATAGGTAATGAGGATTTCAAAAGTTATCACTAAGATGTGATTAACTAATGACTTTTAGGAGCCTAGATGAATGATAAGGACTAAAAGAATTCCAGCACTGTATCAATATAGTCATGAGACTCAGTAGATTTCTTTGGATGCCAAAGCTTTGTTATGTATAAAGTGGGGGTGACTGGCACTGTTATTAATAGCTTCTGTTAATTTTTAAACATATGTTTTTCTAGATTAACATATTGGCCAGTAATATATTTTTCTAGTTTTATAAATATGTATAATTCAAATGTATATGAGATTAAATTTAAGCAACACAATAAATCCTTTCTGAGACTGTGTTGCAACAACCTGATATAAACTAAGTTTTAAACAACTTACAGCAGCATTGTGAATGGGATCTCATGTCATTTATCAGACTCTAACTACAAAATAAACATTGCTTTTGACTATTTTTCTAATAGAGTTAAGAATATGCTGTTTATAATTTTTATCAACTGATTTACTATGAAAAAATCAGCATTACCTTCTGTGCTATAGTGTAATTTTTTCAGGCAGCAGTGTGAATCTTTGCTCTTTTGCCAAATGATATTCATTATTATTAATGGTCCTCATTAAGATTCATAAGCAACTAAGAAATTATGGTAATAATTGTCTTTTTACAAAAATGTTCAAAGTGTTATAAACAGTTTAGCCTACCATGTTTTTTAGTATCTTTAATTTTGAAGGTTTCATTTACAATAATATGGTTATAAATACATTGGGGTCTGTAATACGAGTTTTGCACATTTGATAAAGCTACATTTTAAATCATTTTCACTGTAAAAAGTCTGCATGGGTTTTTTTTTTTTTTCCTTTTTAAAATTTGGTTCAAGCTAATTTGAAGTTTGATGTCAGTTAACATTTTTATCAGTATTGTCATTTATATTTCCAGATCCAGCAACTGAACTTGATCATGTCTTTTTATTTTTTCACATCATCATTCTTTTTCCTCTTAATAAAACTTTCTGTTTTAAGCATCATTGGTAATATTTCAGTTAGAATGTTGCAATTGCCACACTCAGGTTTGTTACAGAAACTTGGTTTGAAAAGCTTTACAAATTTTTTGACATTAAATTCTCTCACACTTCACAACTAACTTCAAATTTGGTTAATATAAAATTAAACTGAACAACATTGATACTCTCTTTGCCATAAAATCAAACGAGATGCTAATGAGGAAGAGGTGGAATCACCTGTTCTTAATCAGTATTGTAACATTTCTCCATTGTATTTCTCAAGGGTTTATTACAGTTGGCCAGAGTAAATTTGTTGCTAAGGATCTATGGGATCACTCTGGTATTTTGTATACTAGTTCATTTTTTTTAAATTGCTGGTTAGGACTCACTAAATTGATTTTATGACTGTTAATGGGTTGCAACCTGCAGTTTGGAAAACATTGGTTTGGAATGATCATTGGCTGAGCCGCAGAGAGGCACAAGATGAATTCAGAATGTTAACAAGGTCTAACTAAGTCCTATAGGGCTTTGTAGGCCACAGTAGAAATTTGGCCTTTATTTTAAGTGTGATAGAAAAATCACAAAGTTTGTAAGCTTGATATGTTTTGATTTTTTTTTTTTTTTTTTTTTTTTTTTTGAGACCGAGTCTCGCTCTGTCGCCCAGGCTAGAGTGCAGTGGCGTGATCTCGGTTCACTGCAAGCTCCGCCTCCCACGTTCACGCCATTCTCCTGCCTCAGCCTCCCAAGTAGCTGGGACTACAGGTGCCCCCCACCATGCCCGGCTAATTTTTTGTATTTTTAGTAGAGGCGGGGTTTCACTGTGTTAGCCAAGATGGTCTCCATCTCCTGACCTCATGATCCGCCTGCCTCAGCCTCCCAAAGTGCTGGGATTACAGGCATGAGCCACCGCGCCCGGCTTGTGTTTTGAATTTTTAACCGATAACTCTAGCTGTGGAGTGCAGAGTGGATTGAAGGGGTGGGGCTAGAGCAGGAGTGAGCAAACTATGGGCCACAGACCATATCTGCCTGTTCTGTGAGGTCTTGGAGCTAAAACTGGTTTTTTACATTTTATATTTCAAATGGTTAAAAAAAATTTCGTAACACATGAAAAGTCTATAAAATTCAAATTTCAGTGTCCATAAACAAAATTTTCTTAGAACACATCCACTATCATTTGTTTACATATGGTCTGTGGCTGCTTTTGTGTTGAAAGGGCAGAGTTGAGTAGCTGTGACTGAGAGTGCATGGCCCACAAAGCTTAAAATATTTACTCTCTAACCCTTTTTCAGAAAACTTTGTTGACCCCTGTGCTACAGTATAAAGTATTAGTAAGTAATATAAGTTGCAATAGGGAAAAGAGTAAACAAGGAAGGGGGTGAGTGTGGGCTCAGTGGAGTCAGGGAAGTGAAAAATTACAAAATACGGGGCTTGGGGAGTTGGTCCATGTGAATCCCACCTGAGTTTGCTAAAGGCACTTAAGGAGTTAGGCTCCTACCCTCCCTGGAGGCTGAGAGATAGGGGCCCTGTCTTCAGGTGTTGGCTGGAACAAAAGTAAATTTTTATGTCAGCTTTGAGTTTTCTCGGGCAGGCATTTTAAGAGGGGCTAGGGTCATCCTAGGGATCCGGCCTTCAGCTGTTAGAAACACTTAAGTGTTTTGTTCAAGTTTATATGGGCCAAGGTGGAGGCCTTGTGGAGAAGGGCTCAGAAAAGCCTGACTAGAGTTTGGTTAAGGAGAGAATCTTGGTCAGCAGCTGTGTTAGTTAAGAGGCTATTGCAGAGTCCAGGAGGAAGATCATGGGGGTTTGGACTGTGGGTAGCAGTATACATGGAGACAAGTAGATGATTATGGGAGATATTTTAGAGAGGGGGCTAAGAAGACGTGCTGTTGAATTGGTATACTCCCTGTGGAATTGATTGAAAATGGTTTCTTTTTCCTTGACTGAAAAAGACTACCATCTAGCCAAAAAAGTAAACAGATTATGTTGCACTTCCTTCTATGTGTTATATTTTAAAAGACAAAAGATGTAACTCTTGAAAGCAACTTCGTTATAAAATGAATGGCATTTATATATTTGTCTGTCATACACAGGCATTTTGAATTGTAATCCTTGTTCTATAACTAGCTACTTGCTGTCTATTTTAAGTTTTCTGACCTCTTTTTACATATATACTCATCCTAAAAATTAAGAGTGTTCTGGTCTTTTTTTTTTTTTGACATAGTGCATTGTTTTAAATGAATTGCAAATATAAACTTCTCTGAAATGCTTAGCAACCACTCTAGGTTTCCTGTAGGTTCTGTGACTATAATGTGATTTTTCATTTGCATGACTGTGTTAGCTGTAGCAGGGTGGAACCTTTTATTTTTAGGGATGAAAATTATTTATTTGGTTTTGATTTTTAGGGATTTTCTTTCTTTCTTGTATAGCTCCTTGACTACAATAGAAATAATCTTTAAAACCTTAGGGCTGGGCACGGTGGCTTATGACTGTAATCTCAGCACTTTGGGAGGCCAAGGCGGGCAGATCACTTGAGGTCAGGAGTTCGAGACCAGGCTAGCCAACATGGTGAAACCACATCTCTACTAAAAATACAAAAATTAGCCGGGCGTGGTGGCAGCTGCCTGTAATCCCAGCTACTCAGGAGGCTGAGGCAGGAGAATCGCTTGAACCCAGGAGGCAGAGGTTGCAGTGAGCCAAATGGTGCCATTGTACTCCTCCAGCCTGGGTGACAGAGTGAGTCTCTGTCTTAAAAACAAAACAAAAACTTTAAAGCTGGAATATATGATATTTGTAATGTACTTTCCTTTTTAACAGCAATCTAAACTTTTAAACATGTAGCAGTTATTTTTGTCTATTTGCTATACCTGAAATTTATAAAATGTCATAAGGATTTATTTGTGTAGCTCTTCCTACGTTTCTGTCTCTAGCAATATGGTTGATTAGATAATCTGAAAACCTTTCTTCTTCAAATCACCTAGAAATTATAGCTAAAATATAATGAACATCCAGTTAAATGAACAGCTGAGCTTTCAAGAAAGTAGGGGAAACAACCAAGATACAAAAGTGAAGAAAAAACTGAAAAACAGGAGTTTGTGAGCTGACACTATGGCTGCTCCATGGGTGGGGATAAGAGTTACTGTTCTGGGCATTGCAGGGATTTGAGTCTTAATGCCCATATGAGAACAGGTTACAAGGCCTGGAGACTGTACAAAGTGAGGAGTTGGATTCAACATCTAAGCATAAAACCAGGATTCTTAAAGGACTGTACCTTCAGCAAAGAGGTAGATGAGGAGAAAAACCAATCTACCAGCACATGGAGACTTCAAAGAAGCTTGTTTGTGTTATTGTGGGCTCTGAATAAGGCTAAAAATAAGACTCCTTTAAGAATACATAACCATGGTCCTGCCTCTTGTTGTCTTGGGGTTCAAATTAATACTACTTTCAGATAATTAAACTGTCATACAGCGACTACAAAATAATTATGTTTAAAATGATGAGAAAGTTAAAATAAGGAAATGAAAACATAAGAAAATAAGAGAGTTGGAAAGAAATCTGGTAAAACTTATGCAAATAAAAAATACAGTCATTAAATTTTTAAGAAATCAGTGAATGGGTTAAAGGAGGAATGTGAATGGAAGCTAAAGGAGAAATAAGTGAGTGGAAGAAATATGTGAAGAAATTACCCAGAATGCAGGAAAGAGAGAGGAAAAAAAGAAAAAACAGGAAATCTTGAGAGACACAGATGTTGAAATGGGAAGGTCTAACTTAATGTCTAATGGAAGTTGACAAGAGAAAAAGCAATATGGAGATGAAGCAATATTTGAAGAGAGAATGGCTGAAAATACTGAAGAATTAATGAAGGGTAGAAGTCCTTAGATTTAGAAAGCCTAGGCCAGATGTGGTGGCTCATGCCTATAATCCCAGCACTTTTGGAGGCCGAGGCGAGAGGATTGCTTGAGGCCAGGAATTTGAGACAAGCCTGGGCAACATAGCGAGACCTCATCTCTATAAAAAATAAAAATAAAAAAAAAAATTGAAAGCCTAATGAGTCCTAAGCAGAATAAATAAAAAATTACTTTTCACCTGGACACATCACGATAACAAAGTATAGCAGAATTTTTATGTGTAGCATTCTACTACTAAGATGTTGAAATAGAGTCACCTGAAATAAGATTTTAAATGTCACTTTCCAGTAATAGCGATAAATTTTCACTGGTCTATCTTTGGTCACTATTGGTTCAACTTGTGACTTAGAGTATCACTTTGTGAAGTGTCTGTCTGATAAGGTTTTCCCAGGGAGCATTTGTGTCTAACTATTAACTACTAGTACTATGGGGAAAATATTTCTTTTTGTGACTAGTTTTCTTCTTGAGGGACCTAAGGAAATACATTGTCAAGAAAACTATCACCCAGCTTCCTTCAAAAGAAGTTGTATGTGTGAGGCAGGGAGTTTAAGGCCATAGATTAAAAATAGTAGCAAATTTACTTGAAATTTTAATAAATAAAATATGTTACCTGTCTTTCTTACTCACTTATTTAGCCCAGTTTCAGTATTTTCTTTTTCTGTATCATGAAATCATTTCTTTTTCTATTTTCTATGCTGATTGTTCTTTCCCTGTTTATTTATAGACTTCTAATGAGCAACTGTATTTGCACATCACGTAAAATGACTTATTTATCTATTGTTTAACAAGTCAAATGAAACAAAACAAGCAAAACCCACCTTGGCTTTTTTTCTCTATTTAATTAGCATTTCTCTTGATTTATTCCCCATATTCCTGTACCATCTGGTCAGCAGACAAATACAGTGGGGCCTTGCTGAAAATAATTACTGCTGTAATTGTTGTCATTTCCTCACATGGGACAACTGTTTTGTTGTGGGCTACAGTCACACAGAAGGCAATTTGCCTGCTCCTAACAGGTCAGGCACTAATCCTAGTCCTGCCTTAAGAGTTTTGTGAACTGAATGTTCCCTGGCCATTTAATCTAATCAGCTTCATTAATGAGATGGTGTGTGTGTGTGTGTGTTGGGAGGGTGGGAAGTAGGGAAGAGGATTTTCAGACATCTTTCCCTTTACTATACATATCCTTGAATATATATGTATTTATACTGCTTTTCCAAAGTGTTTTCTCCTGTAAAACCTCTTTATAATATCCTCTGCTTATTACTAGATCTCATTTTTAACTCTATGTTATGTAAGTAAATATCTATGTATATTTGAGGTATAAAACTTAATTCTTTAAGCTTTTTCCATCTAATTTTTCTAGTGTCCAGTCTGTGCCTTTGGGCATCCTTTATTAAATTGCTTTAAATATCTTCCAAAAGTTTCTCCTCTTATGATCATTCAGTTATTAATTTTAAACTAATAATTTTTATTTTATTCTGTACATTTAAAAATTTTCTACTTTTTATGTCTGCTGCTGATGTACGTATTATTTTATTAAGGTATAAATTTTCATCAAGGAAATGTTCACATTCTCTGTGTACATTTTCTTATACAAAAATGAGTTTAGGCTTTTAATCTTTTAATTCAACAAGCTAAGTTTTTCTTTACAGTCATCCTTACTTGATATGTCACGGATATTAAATTATGTTTGTATATTGTTATTTAGGTGACTATTATATGGTTAAAAAGATTTTGGAGGAAAACAGTTCAGGTGACTTGAACATAAATTGCGTAGATGTGCTTGGGAGAAATGCTGTTACCATAACTATTGAAAACGAAAACTTGGATATACTGCAGCTTCTTTTGGACTACGGTTGTCAGGTACAAGGCTAGATAATTTAATCCAGTTAACTTCTAAGTGCTGTTAGATATGCCATGCTTTCTTCCCTTCTTGTTTTCTTTCTTCTTTTTCCTCCTCTTCTTCCTTTCTTTTTCTTTCTTTGTCTCTCTTACTCTCCTTCTGTCTTTCATCTTTTATTTGGTTTTGAGGCACTAAAAGTTTTAAAAACAAACCAAAAAAAACTTTTTGAAAAGTATAATATTTTGAATTGATTTATCTTTTTCCTCCCAAATGTCATTTTCCCCACATGACTTATTAAAGATGACTTTGTTTTCATTACCTATGTTAACACTATTTATATTATATATCTAAAATAGTACAAATACTCTGGAAGTGTCAGAGGAATAGTTTTTTTTCTGGCCCATATTAGTTACAGACACATCAACAAAATGTTCCTGCCTCAAAACAGTTTTCAGTTTGACTTTGGTTTTATTAAATTTTATTTTTTTGTTTGAAACTTAATGTTTGTTTTTATCTAAAGATGAATGATTTTTATCCATCTATAAAAGGTAGACCTTCCTACTTCATATCAGTTTGGGTAGAAAAACAGGCATGTGTGTAAGTCTTGAATGAATTCAGTCTAGAGATTCTGAAGGGAATTTGATAATATTTTCCTTTCCTTTTTGGTTTGCTTATGATGGGACTTGGCACATTAATTCTACCTCTTTTTTTTTTTTTCTTAATGAGGCACATTTTTTTTGAGTGACATCAGGAGACATTCACAGCAGATTTTCTGAATATAAGTAGGGTAATTCTATGTACATTGCTATTTTATATATATATATGTATGTATGTATGTATGTATGTATAAAACAACATGTGGTACTATCTCCATGTACATGTTTGGAGTAAAAAAAAAAGAATTGCTTACCCAGCAACTTCAGCTATCCAGACCACAATTGAGAAGCAGAAAGTAAGTAAAAAATACCTCTGAGCAGCCAGTGGTTTGCTGCCATGAAGTTTACAGATTAAATTTATGAACTTTAGTTATAGGAGTCCTCCATCAGGGTCTATTTTTTCTCATTTTAGTTTCCATTTTAACATAATTAATTTCTAATCCATAGAGAATCTGAGGGACAATGGAAGGGGCATGAGAGCTGCAGTGGAATAAAATGAGGAGTGGTACCTCCGACACTGTTTAACAGAGGTCAACAGCATTACACATGTGATCTCTGAGGGAGCTGTATGTTAGGATGATAATTAAGGCTTATAACAATGGTGCAGAGTCAGTAAGGAAGAGTTAAATTATATTCAGTACCTATTGTTTTAGAAGAAAGACTGTATATATGTGTGTTTGTGTATGTGCGTTTGTGTGTTTATAAGACACAAAAGCAGAAGACTTCCATCAAAATAGTTTAAATTTTAAAATTAAACACTTAAAGGCATAAGCTTCAGTTACCTAGAAAATAAGGGTAGAAAAAAATTCATACGCTGATTCTGGATAAAAGAATTACTATGGTATTATAATTTTGTCTTTTTACACATGGTTATATACATGTAATGGTTTTGCAGTATACATGGTGCTTTCATATACTTGATCACATTCAGACATCACAGTCAACCTATATAGATGTTACATTTTATAGATTAGAAAACTGAGGCTCATAGACTTTAATGAATTTCTCAAAGTTCTAAAATTAGTAAGGACAAGACAAAGATTTAAATATAATCTTCTGATTGCAAATCTCATGCTCTTTCTAGTTCACTGTGTTCTGTCCAGGTTACCTGTGTCTTATTTTATCAGTCCACAAATGTCCAGGGCCTTTGGTTGGGTATGATTGTGGAAATGAATAAGTAAAACATGGGTTCTGTGTGATAGGATCTTTAAGACAAATTGGACAATTAAAGTATGTATGAATTACAAGTAAATTAAGTAATACAAAGGTATATTTGGTAAGTGTTGAGTGGTAATAATATTTGACCATTTTATATTGCTTTGCATTTATAAGAGCTTTCATGTATCTTGTGCTATATCAGTGGTTCTCAACCAAATGATTTTGTCACCATAAGGGGACATTTGGCAATGTCTGAAGATACTTTGGTTTCACAATTGGAGGGCAGTTTACTACTGTTATCTAGTGGGTAGAGGCTCCTACAATACCCAAGACAGTCCCCACAACAAAAAATTATTTGGCCCAAAATTTCAGTAGTGCTGCTATTGAGAAACCCTGTTTTATGTTTAAACTTTTGTGGTTTGATATACATTATTTAGAAATATAGAATAGGTTGGGGCTATCAAGAAAGATTTCATTGGAAAAGTATCAGTTGACTCAGCCTTGAAATATTAATAATTGCTAACATTTATATAATAACTACTCTCTGCCAGGAACCTTAAATATGTTCACTTACTTAATCCTCACAATATAGGGATTTGAATTTAATCTTCAAATTAAATTCAGGGATGAGTTAGATATTATTTTATTATTATTATTTTTTGAGATGGAGTTTCGCTCTTGTTGCCCAGGCTGGAGTGCAATGGCGTGATCTCGGCTCACTGCAACCTCTGCCTCCTGGGTTCAAGCGATTCTCCTGCCTCAGCCTCCCAAGTAGCTGGGATTATTATAGGCATGCACCATCACGCCCGGCTAATTTTGTATTTTTAGTAGAGATGGGGTTTCTCCATGTTGGTCAGGCTGGTCTCGAACTCCTGACCTCAGGTGATCCACCTGCCTTGGCCTCCCAAAGTGCTGAGATTACAGGTGTGAGCCACTGTGCCCAGCCTAGATATTATTATTGTCCCCATTTTATAGAGGAGGAAACAGGTAAAAAAGGTTAAGTAACTTGCCCAAAGTCATTCTGTGAATGGCAGACCTGGAATTTGAACTTAGGTTCTGGCTCCAGAATCTATGGTCTTACCTATTATGCTAATCTACTCTCAAACATGTAAAGACAGGTAGGGAACAGGAGATGTGGAGAAGGATATAAACAGAGCCATGTGCAATGTATATTTTTGAGACACTGAATTGATTTAGCATTTTTGAACAAAACAGTTGGGTTGGGGAGTAGTAGGAATTAGGAAAAATAATTAAAACAAAATGGATACAAAGGGCCTTGAATGCCAGAATAAGGAATTTGGGTTTTATATAATAGTTAGGGGATATCATTACATGATTTTCGAGAAAGGATGTGATGTGTCCAGTGGTATTTTAGAAAGATGTATCTAGTGGCTGAATTTAGTATAGACTGGGAAATGGAAAGTGGGAAAGGCTATAGCCTATGTCAATAGTTTTTGTAGTAATCTACATATGAAGAGGTTGAGGCTTGAACTGGAACAGTGCTGTAAGAAAAACAGTGGCTATGAGAAGAAGGGGGAAAAGGCAGATATGAGTCCATGGCCTATATGGTTCCGTGGTCTGTTAGGAACTGGGCTGCACAGCAGGAGGTAAGCAGCAGGTGAGCGATCATTACTGCCTGAGCTCTGCCTCCTGTCAGGTCAGCGATGGTATTAGATCCTCATAGGAGTACGAACCCTATTGTGAACTGCACATGCAAGGGATCTAGGTTGCATGCTCCTTATGAGAATCTAACCAATGCCTGATGATCTGAGGTGGAACAGTTTCATCCGAAACTATCTCCCTACCTGCTCTATGAAACCAGTCCCTGGTGCCAAAAAGGTTGGAGACCGCTGTGAGGAATTGACAAATCTTAGTGAATATTTTGATTTGGAGTGGGAAATTGAAAAGGAGTCCAGGATGATTTGGAAATCTTAAACGTGGGTGACTAAGAGAAGGAAGAAAGGAAAACATTAAGTTCAGAAGCTAAGTAAAGCTTGGGGCAAGGGAATGTGAATTCTGGTTTTATCCTTGTTGATTTGGCAGCTATCAGGCAGTCCTCATCAGACAAACACAGATGAACATTATATTTCTAGGGAGAGATCAGGCTAAAGAGATACAGTAAGCTGTCAGGGCCATGGGAATGCCCATCACCATTGTGAGAGTAGGTGAAATCATGGAGAAGAGCAAAGGGCTGGTGCAGATTCATTCTTAAGGAAACATCTACATTTAATAAAGAGCATTACATGGAAAGAGTTTCATTAAAGACCAAATGAATTGTTGAAGATATCAGAGGCAGTTAGGATAATGCAACATTGTGAAAGCCAAAAGAATAGTTTTTAACATATTGGCTTAGAAATTAAGAAAAATTAGAAGGTAGAAAAAGTAATTGGACTTGGAAACTGGCATCAGTAGAATTGGAGAAATGATACACTTTGATTTGCAAAGTTTGACACAATGAAAGGAAGAAGAAAACGAGTGGTAAGAGAAAGATGGAATTAAGTCAAGTTAGCAAAGAGCTAGTAAGCAAGTTAGCAAAGAGTGATGAAGGATTTAAAGTTCTGGGAGGTGGGAGATTAGACTGGTATTTCTGCAAATGAAGGACCAGGGTTCTAAAGATTGGAGAGCATCAAATAGAATACTAAGGTGGAAAATGTAGCTTTGGAAAGGAAATACGTAACTTTTTTACTCTGAGCTTAAAGGAAAGAGTATGGGAATTGTTGAAAAGATAAATTCTAAGGTAGGAAGGAAGATAATGATCTCATAAATATGTAATAAGTATATATTGAAGAGCTTTTAATAAAGAATCGTCAAATATCTGAGAAATTGGAAAGCAAAACTAGTGAGGATTTTTTGTATAACTATGTATTTTTAAAATAATTTAAAACATTTATTTCTCTCATAACTGCCATTGATTTATCAAATAACATACCATTTGTGCAGAATAAGTAAATGGTAACTCCTTATTTACAAGAAATTTTAATGTAAATGAATATTTTTATAGCTGAAGCTTATCCTTTTAAGCATTGAAAGATTTAATGTAAATCTTTATTCCTTACTAAGTAATGTATCTGAATATAATTTAACTTTACCATCCTTAGTTGGAATAATTGAGAATGTAATTATTTTACTTTGCTTCATATGGTCTGAAACTATTAACATGTTTGTCCTTACATTAAGTGGCTTTAGACTGTTGTGCATTGATAGTGATTTTGCTGTACTGGTATTTAATCTTTTCAGTAGTCAACTTTTAGTAATTCTTTCTTCCTTTCCCTCTACGCTGTTGGTTTTAATCTTGCTATTCTTTTATTCAGTAAAGATCTGAAGGATACTTGGGAAAGCCAGATATTCATCATTTATGGACAATTCTAAATCAGAATGCTTGGGTCTGTTTCTTTTGGGAAATAATACCCATGGAGTTTCTTTGTGACAGCTCAATATGTTGCTGTTTTTAAATCCATGGCTATTTTTCAGATTGTTGAAGTTCCCTGGTGTTTGACTTTGAAAGTAATGACATTACTATAGTTAGCTTTATTGGTTAAAATTAAAAATCATAGGCTGGGCGCAGTGGCTCACGCCTGTAATCCCAGCACTTTGAGAGGCCGAGGTGGGTGGATCTCTTGAGGTTGGGAGTTAGAGACCAGCCCAGCCAACAGGGTGAAACCCTGTCTTTACTAAAAATACAAAAATTAGCCGGGTATGGTGGCATGCACCTGTAGTCCCAGCTACTCGGGAGGCTGAGGCAGGAGAATCCCTTGAACCTGGGAGGCGGAGGTTGCAGTGAGCCAAGATTGTGCCACTGCACTCCAGCCTGGGTGACAGAGCAAGACTCTGTCTCAAAAAAAAAAAAAATTAAAAATCATAAATGAAATATTTAATAGTAATGGATATAGCATTCTTTTTGTTCATTTCCTTCAACTGATTAAATATGCTAAAATCTGAAGAGAAATGTTTGCAAAGCAGAGTAATAATGCTAGGACTTTAAAGCATAGGCCACAGCTCAATGAACCCTGAAAGTTTTAAGAGATAGTGCAATGGGTTAAATTTCCCATCTGGGTGGGAAGTTTTTCTGTGGGAAAACATAGGTGATTCCTAAGGGTTGAGTGAGGACTCCAACCCTTTTTTTTGAGGTGCATAGTCCTATTTTTAGATATTCAGGTAAAGTCTGCCACTTTTAGTTCTATTTTTTACATCCAGATAAAGTGAATATAAACTTTACTCTTTTCAGCTACAAAGAATATTAAAGATCGATATAGTTTTGTTTCCAAGAGCAAGAACATTGATTTAAATAGTTATTAATGATTATAGCAGTTAAAATGTACAGATTGAAAATAATTAGGGCATTTTCTTAGATTAAATCATTATTTATCCCCATGTTTTCCTTCTTCCTTTATATTTTTCCCTAAAAATCCAAAAACCTGATGTTATAGTTGCCAGTAGGACTATAGGCTTTGTTACAGAGTTGAAAAGTCCCCATTTCCTCAGAGTCTCCTTACTTTTTCCTCTTTCGGATCTTCACAGTGAGCTATAGACTGGGAGCAGAATGATAAAGTCACTTCTCCCTCCAGTCTCCATGAACTTTGGTAGCCTAACTATTTGTGGCTTATACTTGATAAAATTGCTCATAAATGTCAAATTTGTAGCATTTTAGTCAGCCATGTGTTTTAAAAATGAGAACAGAAGGCTCTCACCTTTAGATATTCTCCCTATATTCCTGTTTGCATTGATGATAATCATTTTCATTAGACTGAAAAAAATCCTTTACCTGTAGTAATAGTTCTTGACAGTTTCTTTTATAGATTTGGATTGTTAAGATTCTTTTGGTCCACAGTTCAAGAGTAAGGATCTTGAAAAAAAATTTTCAACTTTAAATCCTGCATGGATCAGCACTGTTACTCTAATAATCCCTTCAATGAGACATTCATTATTTTACCAACTCATGCATTGAAACCAGGACAGAAACGTGTGTATTGTGGTACACAGAAGTACTCCTAAGGCAAGCAAATGTACTATTTGTACAGTCAAAATTTTTGAAAAATTTTGTATTACTGTATATAATACAGTTTAAATTTTTAAAAAGTTTTATTTATGAATTAGTAAAAAGAAGTAGTTTACCTTTTTATCTTCCATTTTCATTTTTAACTTTTTTTTTTTTTGAAGTCTGCAGATGCACTTTTGGTGGCAATCGACTCTGAAGTAGTGGGAGCTGTTGATATACTACTTAATCATCGACCAAAACGATCATCAAGACCAACTATAGTAGTTAGTACTCTTAAATATTTATTAATTTGGATTTTTAAACCAAAATAGATCTCTTGCCCCATTGCCATTTTTTCCTTCCCTCAAATTTATTTTGTTTTTTCAAAAAATAGATATTTTTTCTCACTCTGTAAAATATTAAAAGTGGACACTTGCAGGAATAATTAGTATTTCTTTCAGGAAAACTTTTTAAATTTAGTTGATATTTCCATAATTTTGTCACTGTGGACCAGTATTTACCATTTGAAATATTCTGCAGGTAATGTTGAAAATATAGATTAGTTTGCAGATAGATAAGAATTAAATGTAAACAATGAAACCAACAAACTGGAAGAAAATGTAGGTGAATGTTTAACTGATCGTGAGTAGAAAGACTTTATGTGCATAAAAGCAATGGACAGAAATCACAGTGGCACAGTTTTTGCTGTTAAAAAAGTTAAATTTTTGGAATCCAGACATCAGACAAAATTTAGAAAGCAGATGAATAACTGGCAAAAGATATTTGCAGCATATATCATAAATTAATAATCTTAATATTGGACAAATTGGTGAAAAACATATTAGAAAAGGACATAGAAATAGCAGAAAATACAAAATGTTAAATCTTAATGATAATCAAATACAGTAAGATACTAATTTTAAACTTACCAAATTTACTTATTAAAGTTGAAAATTTAAAAAAAATCATTGATAGCAAGGGAGTATTACAGTCTCATGCTACTAGTGAGGCAGGTATTTTGGAAAGTGTTTTGGCAGGATCTGTCATAAGAAAGGTGTTCATATGCTTTAACTTAGTGCTTTCTCCTCTGGGAACTTATCAAGGAAATGGTCAGAAATGTGGACAAAAATGTTGGTTGTGATCTTATTTGTAGTAATTTTTAAAAGCCCATGTGACATAATCTAAACATTCCAAAATAGAAGATAGGAAATATAAATGATTACATATATGTACAATGGAATATTATGCAGTCATTAAAACAGTACTTTTAAAAGAATAGTTAGGAACATGGAAAAATATAACGTAGTAAGTGGAATACTTACTATGGTTAAAATACTTACCACGGTTAAAAATATGCGTAGAAAAGGGACTGTGTGGAAATGCAACAAAATGTTACCTAACAATCATCATCTCTCATTGACTAACCAAATTATGGATTTTTTTGTACTCTTTTTATTTTTCTTTATTGCTTTTGTAATTAGGAGGATAGTCACTACTAAATAAATGCTAATTTTATTGTTTTTTAATCAAATTTTAAACATGATAACATTCATTATTGGTGACGATACCGTGAAACAAGCAGTTTAAATAACTGCTGGCAATATAGGCTGGCTATAAGCAGAAGAAAAATACTGTTTTAAGAGAGAATTATAAATTGGTTGTTGACTCTCTGCCATGTTTGAGAAATGTGAGAGGCTCTGCTAAATTGCATACTTTGTTATATAGTAACTGAAAAATCTTACTCATTCAGACTATTACAAAAGTGTGACTTTCTCCAGAGGATAGTACCATCTAGTTTAAGTGGTGGTAAGAAATCAACAGGAATAAGGAACAAAAGGCTAAGAATATAGTCCCTATCCAAAGCATCAGAAATATCTAAAATACCATTCAATTTTCTGCCACTTATCTTGCAGTTATTATTATATTTTGGCACACCTGTCCCATCTTCTAGCCTTTTAGTCCATTTCCTTTCCTGGGGGAAGGGTGGGGTGTAGTGTGCTTGAGTACTGGAACCATTGACTGGTTTTATTCATCACCATTATCACTAACGATTAAATCTTAGTGTTGGCAGCCCTCACCTACTTAGTAAAATAACCTTTGGGAGGCCGAGGCGGGTGGAACATCTGAGGTTGGGAGTTCAAGACTAGCCTGACCAATATGGAGAAACCCCATCTCTACTAAAAATAGAAAAATTAGCCGGGCGTGGTGCCGTGCACCTGTCATCCCAGTTACTTGGGAGGCTGAGGCAGGAGAATTGCTTGAGCCTTGGAGGTGGAGGTTGCAGTGAGCTGAGATCGAGCCGCTGCACTCCAGCCTGGGCGACAGAGCAAAACTCTTCTAAAACAAAAAAGAAAAAGAAAAGAACACTTTCTACTCTGTCTCTAACAAATAAAGATTATTCAGCCTTTATTTAAATACACTCAATGACAGCAAGATCATACCTTCTTTTATTTTATTTTATTTTTTTGAGACTTAGTTTCGCTCTTGTTTTGTTGTCCAGGCTGCAGTGCAATGGCGTGATCTCAGGTCACTGCAACCTCCACTTCCCGGGTTCAAGTGATTCTCCTGCTTCAGCCTCCGGAGTAACTGGGATTACAGGCACGTCCCACCATGCCCAGCTAATTTTGTATTTTTAATAGAGATGGGGTTTCACCATGTTGGCCAGTCTGGTCTGGAACTCTTGACCTAAGGTGATCTACCCTTCTCGGCCTCCCAAAGTGCTGGGATTACAGGCCCAGCCAAGATCATATCTTGATAGCCCTTTTACTTCTAGAGAGGCAATATTAAATATTTTTATATATTTTAAATAACTGAGGGAATATAAACTGGCTATAAGCAGAAGAAAAATATTGTTTCTTTTAGCGTTTCAGTAATGGTAATATTCTTTTAGCATTTCAATGAATTCATTCTGTATTCTTGGCTTGCCAGATTGTCTTTTTGGCAATTGACTTTCAAATTTAGGTTTTTTATTTAATAGTATACAGATTATATTATGAACAATGGAATTATGAACTTTAATCTTATGCATATCTAGTGATGTTTTTCATACAGTTAAGTATGTTTCATAAGAAACATGAGGACCACTTTTCTCTTAAGGGATTAAATATATTTTATTCTTCTTTATAACCAGTAATGCAATGATAAGATGGAAAAGGGCTAGTTTTAGGTTTCTCTGTAATTTTAAATAAAGTCATTAATTTGAAGTCCTCAATAAATAAATAAGTATATAAACAAATTAGTCATAAAAGAGGAGGAAAATCAGATAAGTATATCAGAAAATATTAAAACTTACCAGTGATCAAAGGAAATTAAATTACAATTTCATGATAGTATTTTTCACTATAAATTGGGAGTGATCATGCCTAAGACGGGTGAGTAAAACTTTAGTGTGAAATGGGTACCTCCTTATATTATTGGTAATATAAACTATTAAAAGGACTTTAACAATATGTTTCAAGAGCTTCAAAACTGTTCATGGCCGGGAGGCGGAGCTTTCAGTGAGCCGAGATAGTGCCACTGCACTCCAGCCTGGGCGAAAGAGCGAGACTCCACCAAAAAAAAAAAAACTGGTCATGGCCTTTAGACCCATAATTCTGCTGCTGGGCTTTTATGTTAATGAGATAATCCTAAATTTGCAAAACACTCTTTTCATAAAGACGTTTATGGTAAATTAGCAAAATAAAATACTTGAACACAGAATCTATGAACTTCCTTAAATTGCATATAAAATTATGTGCATGAATTATTTTTTTCTGAAGATTCTGGGCTATGTAAAGATCCTGCTTTATGGATTATTAAAAGGGTCCCTGATCTTGGAGATATTAATGACCACTGTTTAATCATTGGTCCTTAGAATACCTACTGTTTATGCCAAAGATGTCCTTAAAAGGGGGGTGTAGTAGAAAAAGGATTAAAATGAAATACTGTACTGGAAAATGTTCCTTGGGTAGTAGGAATATGGGTATTTTTAAAATTCTTTCTGATTTTCTACATTTTCAGATATTTTATAATAAGTATATACACTACTTTTATAATATTGCAAAAAAAAAGTAAGTATTAGAAAATACGATAGTTATAAAATAGTCAACCTTTTTATTTAAGCCTGGTTCTTTAATTACTAATGGTATTTTCCTCATTTCATGCTCTTACCACACCCATGGACTCCTGTAGTGGAAGGAGCTCCAGCTCTAGAGTAATACAAACCTGGATTCTGATCAGCACCCAGCCACCCTGTTTGTGGCTCAGGCACATTAACTTCTCTGAGCCTCAGTTTCTTCGTGGGGATTATAATGCTTGGTTTTGCAGGCTACTGTGGCAATTAAATGAGATGATAAATGTAAAGTGCCTAACAGTTCCAGAACTCATTAAATACTAGCATTATTGTTAATTTTTTGGCGTTTATAGTAGGAAGTAGTATATGTAATGATTGAAAATGTGTAGAAAATTATACAAAATGAAGAGTGCTTCCTATTGCCCTTTTCAAGTAGCTGCATTGCTGTCAATGTGATAAGGTTTGCCATAGAGGTGAAATTCTTAGTTTTTCTCACATGTTAATATTCTCCCTATTTTTTAGCATTTTTATTTTTCTAATATATTTTTCTAACATTCTTCTTTATTTTTGTCAGGCATGATTCTATAATCTTGTGAAAATTAAACACTTTTCCCTAAGATATTTCTCTAGATATTCTCACTTCTTTGTTGGAAAAAACAGACCTCTAGTTAAATGAATGTTACCTATTGAAGATTTTGTCTGTTATGATTACATTGCATTTATTAATTAGAGTTAAGTTTTGAGGTTTCAAAGAAAAATTTAGTCCAAGCAAAATGTTTAACATATTCCTTAAATAATTCTTAAGTTCTTTGTGCCTTCCTATTTTTTCATTTCATTCTTCAGATAAATATATTTTTTGAAGTCACAAATAATAACTTTGGACATTTATATAAATATTTTTCAGAAACTAATGGAACGAATTCAGAATCCTGAGTATTCAACAACTATGGATGTTGCACCTGTCATTTTAGCTGCTCATCGTAACAACTATGAAATTCTTACAATGCTCTTAAAACAGGATGTATCTCTACCCAAGCCCCATGCAGTTGGCTGTGAATGCACATTGTGTTCTGCAAAAAACAAAAAGGATAGCCTCCGGCATTCCAGGTTAGAACATTAAACTTTTGATAAATAGATGTGTGATATATATCAACAATGTTGATTTTTAAAATTGGTATTCTTTCTATGCAGCTTTTAAGAAATGTGATGCTGGGGTGACTTATGAAAGCCAAACTTGTAGCTCCTTTGTTTTATATAATGCATTCTGCATTTTTAAGAAGTGTTCACCAAATGCTGAATAATTGCAAAAATCCTTCAAATTATGAATGAAGTTATCTCATACTCCTGCTGGCAGGGGCACTATTTGCTTTTTAGAGGCAGAGTTTATTAATCCAAGAGAAGTTCCAAGTCGTGGAAGGAGTGGAGATACCACCTCCTATCTCATTTATAAAGAAATCAAAACTATTTTCTGTCTAACTAAGTATTGACCTTTTATGCCTCTATCTTCCCCTCTCACACAATGTTCAAGTCTTTTTCTCTTTCTTATTGATCATCTCTTCCTGTTTCTTCAATTAAAAATGTTAAGAACAACTGAGGATTGATTGACCAAGAAAATACCCTGTCACAGGTTGAGCAAGATCACACGTGGGCATGCTGTATAAGATACATGGTGCTGGACTAGATTTGAGAATCTGATTTTCAGCAGAAACATTTATACATACAGTCATGTGCTACATGACATTTTGGTTCAAAAACAGTTCACATATATGACATCGGTCCTGTAAGATTAAAATGGAGCTGAAAAATTCTTATCGCCTACTGATGTCATTGCTGTGGTCACATCATAGTGCAACGCATTACTCACGTTTGTGGTGATGCTGGTGTAAACAAACCCTACTGTGCTGCCAGTCATTTAAAAAAAGTAGAGCACATATAATTTTATACAGTACATAATACTTGATAATAATGACTGTTACTGGTTTATATATTTACTATACTTTTATCATTATGTTAGTGTGTATTCCTTCTACTTATAAAAAAATAGTTAACTAAAACAGCCTCAGGCAGTTCCTTCAGGAAATATTCCAAAAGAAGGCATTGTATTCATAGATGACAGCTCCATGCATGTTATTACCCCTGAAGACCTTCCATTGGGACAGGATATGGAGGTGGAAGACAGTGATATTGATCATCCTAGGCTTAAACTAATGTGTATGTTTGTGTCTTAATTTTTAATAAAATAGTCTAAAAAGAAAAAAGTTAATAAAAAATTTTACAAAGAACAAAGCTGGAGGCATCACGCTACCTGACTTCAAACTATACTACAAGGCTACAATAACCAAAATGGCATGGTAATGTTACCAAAACAGATATATAGACCAATGGAACAGAACAGAGGCCTCAGAAATAATGCCACACATCTACAACCATCTGATCTTTGACAAACCTGACAAAAGCAAGCAACGGGGAAAGGATTCCCTATTTAATAAATATGTTGGGAAAACTGGCTAGCCATATGCAGAAAACTGAAACTGGACCCCTTCCTTACACCTTATACAAAAATTAACTCAAGATGGATTAAAGACTTAAACGTAAGACTTAAAACCGTGAAAACCCTAGAAGAAAACCTAGGCAATACCATTCAGGACATAGGCATGGGCAAAGACTTCATGACTAAAACACCAAAAGCAATGGCAGCGAAAGCCAAAATTGACAAATGGGATCTAATTAAACTAAAGAGCTTCTGCACAGCAAAAGAAACTATCATCAGAGTGAACAGGCAAACTACAGAATGGGAGAAAATTTTTGCTATCTATCCATCTGACAAAGGGCTAATATCCAGAATCTACAAGGAACTTAAATTTATGAGAAAAAAACAACCCCATCAAAAAGTGGGTGAAGCATATGAACAGACACTTGTCAAAAGAAGACATTTATTCGGCCAACAAACATATGAAAAAAAGCTCATAATCACTGGTCATTAGAGAAATCCAAATCAAAACCACAGTGAGATACCATCTCATGCCAGTTAGAATGGTGATCATTAAAAAGTCAGGAAACAGCAGATTCTGGAGAGGATGTGGAGAAATAGAAATGCTTTTACACTGTTGGTGGGAGTGCAAATTAGTTCAACCATTGTGGAAGACAGTGTGGTGATTCCTCAAGAATCTAGAACCAGAAATACCATTTGACCCAACAATCCCATTACTGGATATATACCCAAAGGATTATAAATCATTTTACTATAAAGACACATGCACACGTATGTTTATTGCAGCGCTATTCACAATAGCACAGAGTAGGAACCAACCCAAATGCCCACCAATGATAGACTGGATAAAGAAAATGTGGCAAGAATACACCATGGAATACTATGCAGCCATAAAAAAGGATGAGTTCATGTCCTTTGCAGGGACATGGATGAAACTGGAAACCGTCATTCTCAGCAAACTAACACAGGAATGAAAAACCAAACACTGCATGTCTCACTCATAAGTGGGAGTTGAACAATGAGAACAAACCACCATGGCACGTGTATACCTATGTAACAAACCTGCCATTCTGCACATGTATCCCAGAACTTAAAAGTAAAATTTTTAAAAATTAACAATAGTAAAAAGCTTATAGAATAAAGATATGAAGAAATAATATTTTGTACAGCTGTATGTGTTTGTGTTTTAAGCTGTTACTCCAAAATGGTAAAAAAGTTAAAATTTAAAGTTTACAAAATAAAAAAATTACTGTGAGCTAGGTTTAATTTAGTATTAAAGAAACTTTAAAAATATACATTTAGGGTAGCCTAAGTGTATAGTTATTATAAAGCCTGTAGTAGTACAGTAATGTTCTAGGCCTTCACATTCACTTACCACCCACTCACTACCTCACCCAGGGCAACTTCCAATTCTGCAAGCCACTGATGGTAAATGCCCTGTACAGGTATACCATTTTTTAATATTTTATGCTGTATTTTTACTGTACCTTTTCTATGTTTAGATATGCAAATATTTACTATTGTGTTACAGTTACCTACGGTATTTAGCATAGTAACATGCTATACAGTTTTGTAGCCTAGGAGCAGTAGGCTATACCATATAGCCTAGGTATTTAATGGGCTATGTCAACTAGGTTTGTGTAAATTCAGTTAATGATGTTCGCAAAACGATGAAGTTGTCTAACAACACATTTCTCAGAATATATTCCTGTTACACAATGCATGACTGTGTGTGTGTATGTAAATGGTAATTAAATATAGTTGAAATAGTATCAAATATAATACCTACTGTGGAGAATATCATCTGGAAGTCCCAGGCAGCCTGGTGACAAACTATTTTTAGGTTAAGGATTGTTAAACAGTATATGAAATAGACTTTAAGGCTGTAAACCATCCACCCTCACTCTTTCCTCACCTTAAGAACAAACCTTTGATGGATTTGAGATAGTGACAGATCTCTAATTTGGGAAAGTCTCCTGGGAATCAATCTGATGTTTATTTGCAGAGGTTTACCTGGAAATTTTTTCTATTTTCAAGTCTATTTTACAAAGAGATCTGTGTTTCTCTTTGATAAGATCTGGTTGATAGCGATGGCTACATCACTTAACTTTTTAGTTTTAAAATGACTAGTTTATAAAATGACAAGCAGAAATTATCTTTAAGGCTTTTTCCAGTTTTAAAATCCTTTATTAGTATTAAGTGAAGGGGTGGCCTGCCCCTCCACACCTGTGGGTATTTCTAGTTGGGTGGGATGAGAGACGGAGAAAAGAAATAAGACACAGAGACAAAGTATAAAGAAACAACAATGGGTCCAGGGGACTGGCACTCAGCACACCAAGGACCTGCACCGGCACCGGCCTCTGAGTTCCCTCAGTTTTTATTGATTATTATTTTCATTATTTCAGCAAAAAGGAATGTAGTAGGAGAGCAGGGTGATAATAAGGAGAAGGTCAACAAAATACATGTGAGCAAAAGAATCTATATCATGATTAAGTTCAAGGGAAAGTACTATGCCTGGACGTGCACGTAGGCCAGATTTATGTTTCTCTCCACCCAAACATCTCAGTGGAGTAAAGAATAACAAGGCAATATTACTGCAAACATGTCTCCCCTCCCGCCACAGGGCAGCTTTTCTCCTATCTCAGAGTTGAACAAATGTACAATCGGGTTTTACACCGAGACATTCAGTTCCCAGGGGCAAGCAGGAGACAGTGGCCTTCCTCCATCTCAACTGCAAGAGGCTTTCCTCTTTTACTAATCCACCTCAGCACAGACCCTTTACGGGTGTAGGGCTGGGGGACAGTCAGGTCTTTCTCATCCCACGAGGCCATATTTCAGACTATCACATGGGGAGAAACCTTGGACAATACCCTGCTTTCAAGGGCAGAGGTCCCTGCAGCTTTCCACAGTGCATTGTGCCCCTGGTTTATTGAGACTAGAGAATGGCAATGACCTTTACCAAGTACACTGCTTGTAAATATTTTGTTAACAAGGCACGTACTGCACAGCCCTAGGTCCCTTAAACGTTGATTTTATACAACACATGTTTTTGTGAGCTCCAAGTTGAGTCAAAGTGGCTGGGTCAGAGTGGCTGGGGCAAAGCTACAAATTAACAACATCTCAGCAAAGCAATTGTTTAAAGTACAGGTCTTTTTCAAAATGGAGTCTCTTACGTCTTTCCTTTCTGCATAGACACAGTGACAGTCTGATCTCTCTTTCTTTTCCCTACAATTAAGTGTGAATATTTTTCAAATTATATGCTTGTTAAATAAGTGTGTAGTTGAAGCAGCGGGGTCTTACAGGTTGAAGCTAGAGAAAACACTTTACCTGGCTTGGTTTGAGGTTGGGGGACAAACTTGTTTGAAGGCTTTTAGGGGAGCTATGACTTGACATAGATCTTTTAGTATGAGTAAGAGTTAAAAATTGAAAGGTATTTTAGGCAGAAAGTACAGCATGTGATTTGTTTATTTGGAAACTGCAAATGGTTTGGAACATTAACAGTAGAGTTTGAGAGAGTTTGTTAATGATCTTTGAGAAAACATTTGTACGAAATGGCAAGGACCCCTGACTTAAGTCATTTCTGGGAATTGCTAAGTAGAACTGCAGAAGAAAAGGAGGTTAACAAAATTAGTAAAAAGAGACCGGGCGCGGTGGCTCACGCCTGTAATCCTAGCACTTTGGAGGCCGAGGCAGGCCGATCACCTGAGGTCAAGAGTTCGAGACCAGCCTGGCCAACTTGGTGAAACCTCGT
The DNA here is from genome assembly GCF_000001405.40 of Homo sapiens. Taxonomy (NCBI): domain Eukaryota; kingdom Metazoa; phylum Chordata; class Mammalia; order Primates; family Hominidae; genus Homo; species Homo sapiens. The sequence continues at coordinate 142,753,596 of NC_000003.12, forward strand.
CTCTACTAACAGTACAAAAATTAGCTGGGCGTGGTGGCATGCACCTGTAGTCCCAGCTACTCAGGAGGCTGAGGCAGGAGAATCGCTTGAACCTGGGAGGTGGAGGTCACAGTGAGCTGAGACTCTGCCTCAAAAAAAAAAAAAAAAAAAACTTAGAGAAATAGCAAGGTTTCTCAGAATTTGAAGAGCCAATATACTGGCAGTAAGAAAGTGAGATGGCTGGACATGGTGGCTCACGCCTATAATCCTAGCATTTTGGGAGGCCAAGGCGGGTGAATCACTTGAGTCCAGGAATTCCAGACCATCCTGGGCCATATGGCTAGACCTTGTCTTTACAAAAATAGCCAGATGAGGTGACTTGTACCTGTGGTCCCAGCTATGCAGGAGGCTGAGGTGGGAGGATTACCTGTGCCCAGGAGGTTGAGGCTACAGTAAGCTGTGATTGCACCACCACACTCTACCCTAGCCTAAGTGACAGAGCGAGACTCCGTCTCAAAAAAAAAAAAAAAAAAAAAAAAGAGAGAGACAATTGTTTTTTAAATTTTAGAGATGGTGTAGTTTCAGGGTAATATTTCCTAATGGGCCAGGGAAGGGTAGTAAACCATTGTAGTTTAGAAAAACATTTTCAGTAATATAATAGCTGTGATTTGGTTTTAGTCTCAATATTTGATGTATTTTGAAACTTCAAATAACTTTAAAGAAGGAGTCTTTATTTATTATCTATTAGTGGAAGACAAAAATTTAAAAAAACTTGAGAAACACCGGAATTGGGAAAGATAGCAAAGAAATGGATTGCCAGTTAAATTTAATTTGCATAAAGTATAATAAAAAAAATGACGAGTTAATGTAATGGATGCAGCACACCAACATGGCACATGTATACATATGTAACAAACCTGCACATTGTGCACATGTACCCTAAAACTTAAAAGTATAATAAAAAAATAAAAATAAAAAACAAAAATTTAATTTGCAGAAGAGCTTTGTTTAACTTGCATAGTGTTTTTTATAATTTTGAATTTGAATGCCAGTAAGCCCTATGTACACTCAGCTTTATTCATATTATTACCAACATCACCCCTGAAGGCAAATGAATTTGTAAAACTTGGCTCAGTATCTACCAAGAGAGTAGGATGTTGGCTGGGGTCATGTTAGGAATATGGAATTCTTCTGGCATAGTGGCAGGAAAATGGCTTGGGAGAGAGACTGCTTAGTGCCACAGTCCTCAATGAATATACAAGAGTGACACGGAAGTAGGAAATGACAGTGATGATGATGAGGGAGTATTGGAATAACTGAATGGTATGAATCTCCAAAAAGGGTGATTTTGATATGAGAATGAATGAATAATATAGCCTGTAAGATTCAGGTATTGTGACATTATGCTTCCATATTGCCAGAATCTTTAAAGGGAAGTATTGTTCAATCCCAATTTTCAATCCCAATTTTTCTTTTCATTTCTAGAGCTAACCACTGTTACTAGTTTGGTATTCTACACGTGTTCCTTAATGGTTAACATTACCATTGGTTAGAAATGTTGAGTCTTGCTGGGCGCAGTGGCTCATGCCTGTAATGCCAGCACTTTGGGAGGCTGAGGCAGGTGGATCACCTGAGGTCAGGAGTTCGAGACCAGCCTGGCCAACATGGTGAAAACCCATCTCTACTACAAATACAAAAATATTAGCCGGGTGTGGTGGCAGGCACCTGTAATCCCAGCTACTTGGGAGGCTGAGGCAGGAGAATCACTTAAACCTGGGAGGCAGAGGTTGCGGTGAGTCAAGATTGCACCATTGCACTCCAGCCTGGGTGACAAGAGCAAAACTCCATCTAAAAAAGAAAGAAAGAAATGTGGCTCTTCGCTACAGTGTTAGATTGGAAACTAGTCTCATCAATGGCTTAGTTACATGTTAGAAATCCCTTCTCCCAATTTCTGCCTATACAGAATTCCATTCATGTTTCCTTTCCTTTTTTTATTGTTTGCCTGCCTTACTAATCTTGCCTCATTTACTCCAGTTCTTTTTATAGTTGCCCACATATTTAGGTTGAACCATATGAAATTAGTGTTTTAAAAGTACTTTGGACATAGGGAATTACATATTTCCATATTCTTATATTGGTGTGGGTGAAACCAAAACCCCAGAAAGTTACACAGATCATAATCACCTTACTCCATAGGGCCTCAAAAAAGGCTTTTTTTACAGTGTGGAAATGGATGATTTACAGTATGTTTAAAGTGTGTAACTATTACCATAATCTAATATTCTAACATTTCTATCATTGGAAAAAGTTCTCTCTTGCCTGTTCATTCATGGTCAATCCTTGTTTCCATCCCCAGCTCCATGCAACCACCAGTTTTTCTATTTTTGTAGTCTTTTCTTTACTAGAAATTTCATATAAATGGAATCATAAAATATCTTGACTTATGTCTCTGGCTTTCTTTTACTTACCATAATATTTTTGAGGTCCATCCATATTGTTTCATATGTCAGTAATTCATTTTAAAAATTGTTGAGCAGTATTCCATTGTATGGTTATAGTACCACCTTTTATTTATCTGTTCACTAGCTGCTCAACATTTGAGTTGTTTCCAGTTTTTGGCAGTGAACATTCACTTACAAGTCTTTGTGCGGACATGTTTTTATTTTTGTTGGGTAGACACCTAGGAATGGAATTTCTGGGTGTGTTAACTTTTTAAGTAGTTGTCAAACTGTTCTCCAAAGTGGTTGGAAACAGTTTAACATTTTTACTGGTAAGGTATGATGGTTCTTTTTTTTTTTTTTTTGAGACAGAGTCTCGCTCTGTTGCCCATGCTGGAGTGCAGTGGCGCGATTTCAGCTCACTGCAAGCTCCGCCTCCCGGGTTCACGCCATTCTGCTACCTCAGCCTCCCGAGTAGCTGGAACTACAGGCGCCCACCACCACGCCCGGCTAATTTTTTGTATTTTTAGTAGAGACGGGGTTTCACCGTGTTAGCCAGGATGGTCTCGATCTCCTGACCTCGTGATCCGCCTGCCTCGGCCTCCCAAAGTGCTGGGACTACAGGCATGAGCCACTGCACCAGGCCCTGGTATGATGGTTCTAATTCTGCCACATACTTACTGAAACTTGATATTGCTGGTCTTTTTTCTTAGTCATTTTAGCAGGAGTGTAGTGGTTTCTTACTGTGGTTTTAAAAATTTTTTTATTTCTTGTTGAGGTAAAATATATGTCTATAATTTACCATCTTTGCCATTTTTAAGTGTACAGTTCAGTGGTAATAAATACATGAATATTATTTTCTTTCCCCTTCATACATCCCATTCTTTCCTGGCCTCTGGTAGCCACCAGTCTACTCTCTATCTTCATGAGATCTACTGTTTTAGCTACCAAATACATGTGAAAGTTGTCTTTCTGTGCTTGGCTTATATCACTTAGCATAATGGCCTCAGGTTCCATCCATGTTGCTGCAAATTACAGGATTTCATTCTTTTCAATGGCTGAATAATATTCCGTTATGTATATAAACCATGTTTTTAAAATCCATTCATCCATTGATGGGTACTTAGGTTGAGTCCATATCTTGACTATTGTGTACAATGCTGCAATAAACATGGGAATGCAGATGTTTCTTGGCTATATTGATTTCCTTTCTTTTGGATATATATATATATGTATCTAATAGTGGAATTGCTGGATCATATGGTAGTTCTTTTTTTTAAAAAAAAATTATGTTTAAAATAATCCCAAAGGATTATAAATCATTCTATAAAGACACATGCACACATGTTTATTGCGGCACTATTCACAATAGCAAAGACTAGGACCCAACCCAAATGCCCACCAGTGATAGACTGGATAAAGAAAATGTGGCACATATATACCCTGGAATACTAGGCATGTAGACATGAATTCATGTCCTTTGTGGGGACATGGATGAAGCTGGAAACCATCATTCTCAGCAAACTAACACAGGAACAGAAAACCAAACACCACATGTTCTCACTCATAAGTGGGAGTTGAACAATAAGAACACATGGACACAGGGGAACATCACACACCGGGGCCTCTTGGGGGATGGGGGGCAAGGGGAGGGATAGCATTAGGGCAAATACCTAATGCATGCGGGGCTTAAAACCTAGATGACAGGTTGATTGGTGCAGCAAACCACCATGGCACATGTATACCTATGTAACAAATCTGCACGTTCTGCACATGTAGCCCAGAACTTAAAGTATAATAATTAAAAAAAAATTTTTTTGTGGGTACATAGTACATATATGTATTTATTGGGTACATGGGATATTTTGATACTGGCATGCAATAGTGTAATACTCAGGTCATGGAAAATGGGGTATCCATCCCCTCAAGCATTTATCCTTTGTGTTGCAAACAATCCAATTATACTCTTTTATAATGTACAATAATAAATGTACAATTAAATTATGGACTATAGTCACCTTATTGTGCTATCAAACACTAGGTCTTATTCTTTCTATTTTTTTTTGTACTCATTAACCATCCCCACCTTCTCCTAACACCCCCACCACCCTCATATGGTAGTTCTATTTTTAGTTTTTTGAAGAACCTCCATACTGTTCTCTGGTAGTTCTATTTTTAGTTTTTTGAAGAACCTCCATACTGTTCTCCATAGTGGCTATAATTATTTACATTTCCAGCAACAGTGTGTGAGAGTTCCCCTTTGTCCACATCTTTGCTTGCATTTGTTATTGTGTGCCATTCTGATACAAACTATTTTAACTGGAGTGCGATGATACTGCATTGTGATTTTGATTTGCATTTCTCTGGTGATTTGTGATGTTGAACATTTTTTCATATACTTGTTGGTCATTTGTATGTTTTCTTTTAAGAAATATCCATTCAGATCTTTTGCCCATTGTAAAATCAGATTATTTATTTTTGGTTTTTTGCTTTTGAGTTGTTTGAGCTCCTTACATATTCTGGTTATTAATCTCTTGTCAGATGGATAGTTTGCAAATATAGTCTCCCATTCTATGAGTTGGCTCTTTTGTTTGTTTTGTGGAAGTGTTTTAGCTTACTGTAATCTCAATTGTCTATTTTTGCTTTGGTTGTCTGTACTTTTTTTTTCTTTTTTTTCAATTATACTTTAAGTTCTAGGGTACATGTGCATGTCGTGCAGGTTTGTTACATAGGTATACATGTGCCATGTTGGTGTGCTGCACCGGTTAACTTGTCATTTACATTAGGTATATCTCTAATGCTATCCCTCCCCCCTCCCCCACCCCACAATAGGCCCTGGTGTGTGATGTTCCCCACCTTGTGTCCAAGTGTTCTCATTGTTCAATTCCCACCAATGAGTGAGAACATGCAGTGTTTGGTTTTCTGTCCTTGCGATAGTTTGCTCAGAATGATGGTTTCCAGCTTCATCCATGTCCCTACAAAGGACATGAACTCATCCTTTTTTATGGCTGCATAGTATTCCATGGTGTATATGTGCCACATTTTTTTTATCCAGTCTATTATTGATGGACATCTGGGTTGGTTCCAAGTCTTTGCTATTGTGAATAATGCCACAATAAACATAAGTGTGCATGTGTCTTTATAGCAGCATGTTTTATAATCCTTTGGGTATATACCCAGTAATGGGATGGCTGGGTCAAATGGTATTTCTAGTTCTAGATCCTTGAGAAATCACCACACTGTCTTTCACAATGGTTGAACTAGTTTACAGTCCCACCAACAGTGTAAAAGTATTCCTGTTTCTCTACATCCTCTCCAGCATCTGTTGTTTCCTGACTTTTTAATGATCGCCATTCTAACTGGTGTGAGATGGTATCTTACTGTGGTTTTGATTTGCATTTCTCTGATGACCAGTCATGATGAGCATTTTTTCATGTGTCTGTTGGGTGCATAAATGTCTTCTTTTGAGAAGTGTCTGTTCATATCCTTTGCCCACTTTTTGATGGGGTTGATTTTTTCTTGTAAATTTGTTTAAGTTCTTTGTAGATTCTGGATATTAGCCCTTTGTCAGATGGGTAGATTGTAAAAATTTTCTCCCATTCTGTAGGTTGCCTTTTCACTTTTCCCATTCTGTAGGTTGTAGTTTCTTTTGCTGTGCAGAAGCTCTTTAGTTTAATTAGATCCCATTTGTCAATTTTGGCTTTTGTTGCCGTTGCTTTTGGTGTTTTAGTCATGAAGTCCCTGCCCATGCCTATGTCCTGAATGGTATTGCCTAGGTTTTCTTCTAGGGTTTTTATGGTTTTAGGTCTAACATTTAAGTCTTTAAATCCATCTTGAATTAATTTTTGTATAAGGTGTAAGGAAGGGAGTCTTGCTCTGTTGCCCAGGCTGGAGTGCAGTGGCGCGATCTCGGCTCACTGCAAGCTCCGCCTCCTGGGTTCATGCCATTCTCCTGCCCCAGCCTCCACGCCCGGCTAATTTTTTTGTATTTTTTTAGTGGAGATGGGGTTTCGCTGTGTTAGCCAGGATGGTCTCGATCTCCTGACCTCATGATCCACCCACCTCGGCCTCCCAAAGTGTTGGGATTACAGGCGTGAGCCACTGTGCCCGGCCTTGTCTGTGCTTTTGAGGCCTTACACACAAAAAAAAATTGGCCCAGACCAGTGTCCTGAAGAGTTTCCCCAATGTTTAATTTGAGGTTGTATATTTAAGTTTTTAATCAGTTTTGATTTAATTTTTGTGTATTGTGAGAGATTGGGGTCTAGTTTCATTTCATTCTTCCACATAGTTAATCCAGCTTTCCCAGCAGCATTTATTAAAAAGACTATCCTTTCCCCAAAATATGTTCTCGGCACCTTTGTCAAAGATGAGTTGGTCATAAATGCATGGACTTATATGTGGGTCTGTATTATGTTCCATTGGTCTATGTGTCTATATTTATGCCAGTACCATGCTGTTTGGGTTACTATAGCTGTGTAGTGTATTTTGAAGTCAGGTAATGTGATGCTTCCAGCTTTGTTCTTTTTGCTTAGGATTACTTTGCTATTTGGAGTCTTTTGTGGTTTCATATAAAGTTTAGTATTATTTTTTCTATTTCTCTGAAGAATGTCGTTGGTATTTTGATAAGGATTGCATGGAATCTCAAAATTGCTTTGGGTAGTGTTGTCATTTTAACAACATTAATTCTTCCAGTACGTGAGCATGGAATACCTTTCCATTTTTTGGTGACCTCTTCTATTTTTTTCATCAGAGTTTTATGGTCTTCCTTGCCTAGATCTTTCACTTCTTTGGTTAGATTGATTCCTAGTTTGTTTTGTTTTGTTTTGTTTTTTGTAACCATTGTAAATGGGATTGCTTTTTTGATTTCTTTTTCAGATTGTTCTTTGACATATATAAATGTTATTGACATTTGTATGTTGATTTTTGTATCCTGCAACTTTACTGAATTTTTTTTACCACTTCTAATAGTTTTTTGGTGGAGTATTTAGGGTTTTTTTGATGTAAGATCATGTCATCTGAGAACAAGGCTAATATGACTTCTTCCTTTCCAATTTGGATACTCTTTATCTCTTTGTCTTGCTTAATTGCTGTGGCCAGGACTTCCAATATTATGTTGAATAATAGTGGGAAAGTGGGCATCATCATCTTGTTCCAGTCTTTAGAGGAAAGGCCTTCAATTTTTCCCTGTTGGCTTTTATTATTTTGAAGTATGTCCCTCCTATACCTGTTTTGATGAGGGTTTTTTTGGTTGTTGTTGTTGTTATAAAGGGATGTTGAATTTTATTGAATGCTTTTCTGGCATCCATTGAAATAATCATATGGTTTTTGTTCTTGATTCTGTTAATGTCATGTATCATGTCTATTGATACATATATGTTGAATCATTCTTGCATCTCTGGGATGAATCCCACTTGATCATGACAAGTGATCTTTTTAATGTGTTGTTGAATTCAGTTTGCTGGATTTTTGCATCTATGTTCATATTATATCAATATATCAAAGTGTATTGGCCTGTAGTTTTCTTTTTTTGTTGGTTCCTTGTATGGTTTTGGTATCAGGGTAATGCTGGCCTCTTTGGATGAGTTTGGAAGCATTCCCTCCTTTTCAGTATTTTTGAAGAGTTTGAGTAAGGTTGGTATTAGTTTTCTTGAAATGTTTGGTAGTATACAGCAGTGAATCCATCAGGTCTTGGGCACTTCTTTGATGGGAAACTTTTTATTATGGCTTTGATCTTGTTACTTATGATTGGTTTGTTGAGGTTTTCTATTTCTTCATGGCTCAATCATGGTAGGTTGTCTGTGTCCAGGAATCTAACCATTTTTTCTAGGTTTTTCAATTAGTTTTGCATATAGTAGTTTATAATATTATTTAATGATTCTTTGTATTTCTAAGGTTTCAGTTATATCTCCTTTTTCATTTCTTATTTTTTTATTTGGATCTCTCTTTCTTAGTCTAGCTAAGGTTTGTTGATTTTGTTTATCTTTTCAAAAAATCAGTTTTTCATTTCATTGATCTTCTGTGGTTTTTGTTTTTGGTTTTTTGAGACAGAGTCTCACTCTGTCACCCAGTCTGGAGTACAGTGGCGTGATCACAGCTCACCGCAGCCTTGACCTCCTATGCTCAAGTGATCCTCCCACCTCAGCCCTTCAAGTAGCTGGGACTATAGGCACGTGCCACCACATCTGACTAATTATTGCATTTTTTGTAGAGATGGGGTTTCACCATGTTGCCCAGGCTGGTCTTGAACTCCTGGACTCAAGTGATCTGCCTGCCTTGGCCTCCCAAAGTGCTAGGATTACAGGTATGAGCCACCGTGCCTGGCCTCTTCTGTATTTTTTTAAATTCCAATTTCATTTATTTCTGCTTCGATCTTTATTTCTCTTCTTCTGCTAATTTTCGGTTTGGTTTATTCTTGATTTTTTTTTTTTTTTTTTTTTGACGGAGTCTCGCTTTGTCACCCAGGCTGGAGTGCAATGGCGTGATCTCGGCCACTGCAACCTCCACCTCCCGGGTTGAAGCAATTCTCCCACCTCAGCCTCCCGAGTAGCTGGGACTACAGGTGTCTGCCACCATGCCTGGCTAATTTTTGTATTTTTAGTAGAAATGGGGTTTCACCATGTTGGCCAGACTGCTCTCAAACTCCTGACCTCAAGTGATCCTCCTATCGTGGCCTCCCAAAGTGCTGGGATTACAGGCATGAGCCACCGTGCCCAGCCTATTCTTGATTTTCTAGTTCTTCAAGGTGCATCATTAGATTATTTGAACTCTTTCTACTTTTCTAATATGGGAATTTATTGCTATAACCTTCCCTCTCAGTACTACTTTTGCTCTGTCTCATAGATTTTGGTATGTTATATTCCCATGTTCATTTGTTTCAATAAATTTTTAAATTTTCTTCTTAATTTCTTCATTGACCCATTGGTGATTGAAGAGTATGTTACTTAATTTCCATGTGTCTGTGTATTTTCCAAATTCCTTTTATTATTGATTTCTAGTTTTATTCCATATGGTCAGAAAAGATACTTGTGATTTGTATTTTTCTGAATTTGTTTAGACTTGTTTTGTAGCCTAAGATATGGTCTGTTCTGGAAAATGTTTCATGTGCTGGTGAAAAGAATGTATATTCTGTAGCAATAGGGTGAAATGTTCTATAAATGTCAGTTAGGCCTATTAGATCTAGTGCGTAGTTTAATTTTACTCTTTCTTTGTTGATTTTCTGTCTAGATGATTTGTCTATTACTAGAGTGGCATGTTAAAGTCCCCTACTATTATTGTATTGTAGTTTATCTATGAACCTAACACTGGAGCCTTCATGTATATAAAGCAAGCATTAACTTTATATACTTGGGGGCTCCAGTGTTGGGTTCATAGATATTCATAATTGTTATATCTTCTTGCTGAATTGCCACCTTTATCATTATATAGTGACCCTCTTTGTCTTTTTTTAGTCTTTGATTTGTAGTCTATTTTATCTGATATAAGAATAGATACTCCTGATCTTTTTTAGTTTTCAGTTACGTGGAATATCTTTCAGTCTCAGTCTATGTGTATCTTTATAAGTGAAATGGATTCCTTGAAGGCAGCATATAGTTGGGTCTTATTTCTTTATCCATTAAGCCACACTATGCTTCTTAATTGGACAATTGAGACCATTTACATTCAGTGTGATTGTAAATAAGTATGGACTTACTGCAACCATTTTATTGCTTGTTTTCTCCTTGTTTTGAGAATTCTCTTTTCCTTTTTTTGTTTCTTATTGTCTTCCTTTGTAGTTAAGTGATTATCTCTGGTAGTATATTTTAATTTATTGATGTTTATTTTTAGTGAATATATTATAGGTTTCATACTATCATTACCATGATTCTTGCAAAAAACATCTTATAAATATAACAAATTATTGCAGTCCAGCCTGGGCAATAGAGCGAGACTCCGTCTCAAAAAAAAGAAATATATATATATATATATATATATACACATACATACATACATATATATATATATATAACAAATTATTTTAAAGAGATGACACTTATTTTAGATCACAGACAAAAGAATGGAAACAAAGGCAAAAAAAAATTCTACACTTTAGCTTCTTCTCCCAACATTTTCACTTTTAGTTGTCAACTGATATATTTTTATATTACCTATTTCATTTTCACTTTTAGTTGTCAACTGATATATTTTTATATTACCTATTTCTTAACAGGTTGCTATAGTTATTATTGTTTTTGATAAACTTGTCTTGGAGGCTTCACACTAGAGATATGAATGGATTGTACACCACAGATACAGTAATAGATTATTCTGTGTTTGTCTGTATACTTAATTTTACCAATGGTTTTTATACCTTGAACATTTTTTCTTTGCACACTGGTATTTTGTATTTTCTTCCAGATTGAAGAACTCCATTTAGCATTTTTTGCAAGGTGGATCTGGTAGTGATGAATTGTCTCAGCTTTCATTTGTCTGGGAAAGACTTTATCTCTACTTCTTATTTAAATAACAATTTTTTCTGGATACAAAACACTTGGATGGCAGGGCTTTTTTTTCCCTTTGGGCACTTTGAAAATGCCATTCCACTCCCTTCTGCCTGCATGGTTTCATTGAGAAGTCTGTTTCCAGATGAATTGGGGCTTCTTTATATGTTATTTGCTTCTTTTCTGTAGCTGATTTTAGGGTATTCTCTTTGTCATTGACCTTTGTGAGTTTGATTATTATATGTCTTGTATAGATTGAATCTGTTTGGTGGTCTAAGACCTTCCTGTACGTGGATATTTATATCTTTCTCAAGTTTTGGAAAGTTTTCTGTTGTTATTTCTTTGAATAAGTTATTTATCCCTTGTTCTTGCTCTGCTCCCTCTTAAACACAGGAATTCTTACATTTGGTCTTTTGAGGTACTCTTTTATATCTTATAGGCAGTCTTTGTTCCTTTTTGTTCTTTTGTCTTTTTTCTCCGCTGAATGTGTATTTTCAAACAGCTGATCTTCAAGCAGAATTTCTATACATCAACATTGTTCAAGCTGAGGGCCAAATCAAGAATGCAGTCCCATTTACAATAGCTGCAAAAAGAATAAAATATGTAAGAATACAGCTAACTCAGGAGGTAAAAAAAAATCTCTACAATGAGAACTACAAAACATTACTGAAGAAAATCAGAGACAATACAAACAAATGGAGAAACAGTCCATGCTCATGGATAGGAAGAATTAATAGTGTTAAAATGGCCATACTACCCAAAGCAATTTACAGATTCAATGCTATTCTCGTCAAACTACCAACATCATTTTTCACAGACTTAGAAAAAACTATTTTAAAATTCATATGGAACCAAAAAAGGACTGAAAAGTTAAAGCAATCTTAAGCAAAAAGAACAAAGTCAGAGTCATCACATTACCTGACTTCAAACTATACCACAAGGCTACTGTAACCAAAACAACATGGTACAACACAAAAACAGACATATAGACCGATGGAACAGAATAGAGAATCCAGAAATAAAGCTGCACCCCCACCATGTGATCTTTGACAAAGTAAACAAAAATAAGCAATGAGGAAAAAGGCTTCCTGTTCAATAAATAGTCTTAGAATAACTGGCTATCCAGATGCAGAAGAATGAAACTGGACCCCTACCTATCACCATATAAAAAAATTAACTCAAGGTGGATTAAAGTCCTCAAAAGTAATTTCAACAAAAACAAAAATTGACAAGTGGGACCTAATTAAACTGAAGAGCTTCTACACAACAAAAGAAACTATAAAGGGAATAAACAGATGATCTATAGAATGAGAGAAAATATCTGCAAAGTATGCATCTGACAAAGACCTAATATCCACAACCTATAAAGAACTTAAATAACCCCATTAAAAAGTGGGCAAAGGACATGAACACTTTTCAAAAGAAGACATACATGTGGCCAACAAGCATATGAAAAAAAGGCTCAATATCACTGATCATTAGGGAAATGCAAATCAAATCTACAATGAGATGCCATCTCATACCAGTCAGAATGTCTATTAAGAAGTAAAAAAAAAAACAGATGCTGGCAAGGTTATGGAGAAAAAGGAACGCTTATGTGTCTATATTTACATCAATATAACTCTGTACTGATTACTATCGCTTTATAGTAAGTTTTAAAATCAATTACTATGTGATGGTTAATACTGAATGTCAACTCGATTGGATTGAAGGGTACAAAGTATTGATCCTGGGTGTGTCTGTGAGGGTGTTGCCAAAGGAGATTAACATTTGAGTCAGTGGACTGGGAAAGGCAGACCCACCCTTAATCTGGGTGGGCACAATCTAATAAGCTGCCAGTGTGGCTAGAATATAAGCAGGCAGAAAAATGTGAAAAGAGACTGGCCTAGCCTCCCAGCCTACATCTTTTTTTTTTTTTTCTTTTTTTTTGAGATGGAGTCTCACTGTGTCACCCAGACTGGAGTGTAGTGTTGCGATCTCAGCTCACTGCAACTTCCACATCCTGGGTTCAAGCCATCTTCCTGCCTCATCCTCCTGGGTAGATAGGACTACAGGCATGTACCACCATGCCTGGCTAATTTTTGTATTTTTAGTATGGCCAGGCTGGTCTCAAACTCCTGATCTCAGGTGATTCACCCACCTCGGCCTCCCAAAGTGCTGGGATTACAGGTGTGAGCTACCATGCCTGGCCCCAGCCTACATTTTCCCCCATGCTGGATGCCCTCAAACACTGGACTCCAAGTTCTTCAGTTTCGGAACTCAGACTAGCTCTCCTTGCTCCTCAGCCTGCAGACGGCCTATTGAGGGACCTTGTGATCATGTGAGGTAATACTTAATAAACTCTCCTTTATATATATCTATTCCATTAGTTCTGTCCCTCTAGAGAACTCTAATACACACAGTAAGTCCTCCATTTTAAAATCTTTTTCTTGAAAATTTCATATATTGTATGTCCTTTAAATTTCCAAATAAAGTTTGAAATCAGTTGTCAATTTTTACAAAAACATCTGCTTAGATTTTTGAGAGAGATTGTGTTGAATCATTTAGGCAGAAATGCCATCTTAAAAATATTGAATTATCCAACCATTGAACATGGTATATCTCTCCATTTAATAGGTTTCATTTAATTTCTCTCAGCAATATTTTGTAATCCCCAGTGTACAGGTCTTGTGCTTCTTTATTTTTACTGTTTATTCCTAAGTATTTTATACTTTTTGATACTATTGTACATGAATTATTTTCTTAAATTTTATTTTCACTGTTCATAGCTAACTTTAAAAGTTCAAAGCTAACTTAAAAAGATGTTTAGATCTTTCCCATTTTTAAATTAGTTGCTTTCTTATGGTTGAGTTTTTAAAATATTTAAATAGTCCTTTGTCCAGTATGTCTTTTGCAAATATTTTCTCCCAGTCTGTGGTTTGCCTTCTCATTCTTATGATCCACAGAGTATTTTAAAACTTGCTGTTTTACTTTCACATATCAGGGAGTTTCCTAGATTTCCTTTTTTTGGTGATTTCTACTTTAATTCTGTTGTGGTTAGAGATTATACTTTATTTTTAATGATATCTTTGTTAAGATATCTTTATATATAAATATATTATATATAAATAAATTATATATCTTTATATATCATATCATTTATATATCATAAGTGTACATTTCAGCTCTTAGGATATTCACAAAGTTGTGCATCACTTCAAAAAGAAACCCTATATTCATTAGCAGTCACTCTCCCAGCTGGTGGCAACTACTAAATCTACTTTCTGTCCCTACGGATGTACCTGTTCTGGATATTTCATATGAATGACATCTTTTGCTTAATGGATATCTGCATATCTTTATTAGATATATGTCTGTTCAAATTGTTTTCTTAGTTTTTAATTGGTTATCTGATTTTTTTATTGATGAATTGTGTGTGTATGTTTTTTTTTTAACTTTTCTGATGGTATCCTTTGAAGAATAAAAGTTTAAAATTTTGATGGAGTCCATTTGATCTTCTTTTTTCTTCTTTTGGTCATTTGCATATTGGTGTCATAGCTAAGAAGCCATTGCTTAATTTGGAGAATGTGCTTTGTATGATTTTATGCCTTTTTAATGTATTAAGAGGGTCCATGGCTCAGCATAGGGTCTAAAATGGAAATGTTCTATGTACTCTTGAAATAATATACATTCTGCTGTTTTAGGGAAATGTTCTATAAATTTCAGTTTGGTCATATTGTTTCATAGTGTTGTTTAAATATTACATATCGCTACTGGTTTTCTATCAATTTCTGGCAAGAGAGTATTAAGATTTCTAACAATTGCTCCATTATCTTTTTCTGTGTCAGTTTTTGCTTTGTATATTTTCAGGCTCTGTTGTTAGGTGCATATACATTTATAATTGCTATGTATTCCTTCTGCTATTAGTTTATCCATTCTACCTCTCTCATGGTTACTGATTACATGGCACTTTTTCCAACCCTTTATTTTCAATATGCTTGTTTTTCTTAATTTAAATAGTCTTTTTTGGACAGTGTACTATTGGATCTTGCTTTTTATCTACTTTGACAGTTTTTGCCTTTTGATTGAAGTGTTTAGTTCACTCACATGTAATGTAATTTTTGGTATGACAGATTTATGTTTTTTATTTTGCCATTTGCTTTCTGTATTTCTCATGTCTCTTTGTTGTTGTTCCTCTGTTCCTCCTTTGCTGTTTTCTTTGTGTTAAAAAAGTATACCTTTCTATTTCCTCTGTGTTTTTTAACTATTTAAGAATTTTTTCTTTTAGAGATAATAGTATTTATCTTTAGTGTATTACAATCTATTTCAAGTTGATATCGACTTAAAACGTAACAACTTTGCTTTCCCATTTTCTTTGTGCTATTATTTTCACATATATTACATCTAAATATGTTATAAACACAATAATGCAGTATTATAATTATTCCTTTAAATAATCTTACATTCTTAGAAATGCAAGAAAAAATATTCATATATAGTCTTTTATATTTATCCACATAATTACTATTTCTGTGCCTCTTCATTTTTTCTTGTGGATTCCAGTTACCGTTTCCTTTCAGCTTTAGCATTCTCAGTATGGCAAGTCTACTATCTGAAAATTCTGTTAGTATTTATCTGGGAAAATTTTTATTTCACCTTCACTTTTTGAACTTTAATGAGATAGAATTCACATACCATATAATTCACCCATTTAAAATATATAATTTGTTGGTTTTTCATATATCTATAGGTATGTAAATGATCACCACAGTCAATTTTAAAACATTTTTATCACCTTATAAAGAACCCTCATACCCTTTGCTCTTTTTTGTCACTGTTTTAAGGTAGAAAGTCATGTTACTGATTTGAGATCTTTCTTCTTTCTATTTTTAAAACATTTTTATTTTTGAAATGGGGTCTTTCAGTGTTGCGCAGGCTGGTCTTGAACTACTGGCCTCAAGCAGTCTTCCCACCTCAGCCTCCAAAAGCATTGGGATTATAGCCATGAGCCACTGTGCCTGGCCTCTTCTTTCTTAATATAGGTATTTATATCTATAAATTTTCCTCTAAGCACTGCTTTAGCTGAACCCCATAATTTGTTATATGTTGCGTCTTCATTTTCTTTCATCTCAGTTTTTTATTTTCCTTCTGATTTATTAAACCCATCAATTATTTAAGAGTGTGTTGTTAATTTCCACATATTTGTGGGTTTTTTAAATAACTTTCTTGTTATTGATTTCTAATTTATTCCATTGTGGTTGGAGAACATACTTCGTGTTATTTCTGTCCTTTTAAATTTATTGACTTTTTTTCCCTTATGGCATAGCATATGGTCTAATCTGGAGAATGTTTTATGTAGACTTGAGAAGAGTATATAATCTGCCTTTGTTTGATAGAGTGTTCTGTAGATGTCTGTTACGTCTAGTTCATTTATAATGTTGTTTAAGTCTTCTATTTCCTTGTTGATCTTTTGCCTCATTGTTCTCTCCATTATTGAAGGTAGGATATTAAAGTCTTCAACTGTTGTTGTTCATTATCTGTTTCTCCATTTCTGTCTGTTTTTTCTTCATGTATTTTGGTGCTCTGTT
The DNA here is from genome assembly GCF_000001405.40 of Homo sapiens. Lineage (NCBI taxonomy): Eukaryota > Metazoa > Chordata > Mammalia > Primates > Hominidae > Homo > Homo sapiens. The sequence continues at coordinate 142,770,057 of NC_000003.12, forward strand.
GTTAGTTGTATATATATTTATAGATGTTGTATGTTCCTTTTTTTTTTTTTTTTTTTTTTGAGACAGAGTCTCACTCTGTCACCCAGGCTGGAATGCAGTGGTGCAATCTTGGCTACTGTAACCTCTGCCTCCTGGGTTCAAGTGATTCTTTTGCCTCAGCCTCCTGAGTTACTGGGACTACAGGCATGCACCACCACGTCTGGCTAATTTTTGTCTTTTTAGTAGAGATGGGGTTTCACTATGTTGGCCAGGCTGGTCTTGAACTCCTGACCTCAAGTAATCCGCCCGCCTCAGCCTCCCAAATTGCTAGGAATACAGGCGTGAGCCGCTGTGCCCAGCCATATACATGTTATATCTTCCTGATGGATTGACCCTGTTATTCTTAGAAGGTATTCCTCTTTAGTAACTTTTTAAAGTCTGATATTACCATAGCCACTAAAATTTTCCTGTTGTTGCTGTTTGCAGTATACATCTTTTTCCAGCTTTTAATTTTAATCTATTTGTGTCCTTCAATCTAAAGTCTGTCTTCTGTAGACAACATATAATTGAATTTTTAAAAAATCTAGTCTGACAGCTGCTGCCTTTTGATTGGATTAAGCTGTTCACATTTAATGTTATTGATAGTTGGATTTATGCCTTCCATTTTACTTGTTGTTTTCTGTGTCTGCTTTTTGTTTCTTATGTGTTTCATGTCTTTTTTGTTTCTCTGTTTCTTCATTAGTGCTGTCTTTTGCATTGAGTATATTTTCTAATATGATTTATAAGACTGTTTGCATTGTTAGAATACCTGAGGCTACATAGTTTATAAAGAAAAGAGGTTTATTTGGCTTATTGTTCTGCAGGTTGTACAAGAAACATAGTGCCAGCATCTGCTTCTGTTAAGGACCTTAGGAAGCCTCCAATCATGGCAGAAGGCTAAGGGAGAGCAAAGATGTCACATAGTAAGGGAAAAAGAGCAAGAGAGAGAGAAGGTGGTGCCAGGTTCTTTTTAAAAATCAGATATTGTGGGAATGAATACAGCAAGAACTCACTTATTACTGCAAGGATGGCACCAAGCTGATCATGAGGGATCCACCTCCATGACCCAAACATCTCCAACAAGGCCCCACCTCCAACATTGAGGATCAAATTTCAACATGAGGTTTGGAGGGAACAAATTCCAAACTATATCATGTAGCATTTTTATTAATTATTTTTTCACTGAATTTTTTGAGTTCTTTTTTTGACTGGTTTCTCTAGGACTTGTCATATATATTGTAACTTGTCAAAGTCAGTGTCAGATTTTTTGTTTGTTTGTTTGGTAGAGATGGGGTTTTGCCACGTTGCCCAGGCTGGTCTCGAACTCCTGGACTCAAGCAGTCCCCCCGCCAGCCTTCCAAAGTGCTAGGATTACAGGCGTGAGCCACTGTGCCCAGCAGCTTGAGATTTATACCAGCTTAATGCCAATAACATATGAAAATGTTACTCCTATACATCTGTATTTCCTTTCTCGTAATGATATTTTTGTTATACATATTCTATCTATTAATATTACTAACCCAAGAAAATATTGTTATAATTATTACTTTACCATCTCTAGGCATTTCCTTAACTCATTACAACTTTGGCCCCACCTACCTACTATATGCTGTTATTGGAAAATATTTACACCAAATGTAAATAGAAATATATTACATTTCTATGTTATAGGCCAAACATTACTTTCTATTCTATAAATATTATTCTATATAATTGCTTTTTAAATCACTTGCTTTCAGCCTGATGAACTTGCTTTTATATTTATTGTAAGGCAGTTCTGGTAGCAATATATTTTGTGAGTTTTTGTTTATCTAGTGAAGTTTTTATTTTTCCTTTATTTTTGAACATTCACTTTGCTGGATTTAGGATTTATGATTAACAATTTTTAAATTTCTTTGAGTACTTTGAGTATGTTCTCTCACTGCCTTCTGGCATCTGTTTCTACTGAGAAGTCAGCTGTTAATATTATTTGGGTTCCCTTGTAAGTGACCTGATATTTTTCTCTTGTTGCTTCCGAGATTTTGTCTTTGACTTTCAGCATTTTTACTATGATGTTTCTGTTTGTGGGTCTCTTTGCATTTATCCTACTTGGAGTTTTTTTAGCTTCCTGGATGTGTTGGTTGTTTTTCAAGAAATTTGGGAAGTTGTTAGCTATTATTTCTTTGAATATTTTTCTTTTCCTTTTTCTTTTCTTCTTACAGTACTTCCATTATGAGTATGTTGGTATGCTTAATGGTGTTCCGCATCTCTCTTAGGCTCTGTTCATTTTTCTTAATTATTTCTTCTCTTTGTTCTTCAGCTTGCATAATCTGTATTGATATATCTTCAAGTTTGCTAATTCTTTCTTCTGCCATTTCACAGCTACTGTTGAGCCCTGTATTAGTTTTCTGGGGCTCCCATAATGAGGTACCACAAAGTAGCTTAAAAAACAAATTTTGTGGCTGGGCGCCGTGGCTCACTCTTGTAATCCCAGCACTTCAAGAGGCTAAGGCGGGTGAATCACCTGAGATCAGGAGTTCAAGACCAGCCTGGCTAATATGGTGAAACTAAAAATACAAAAAAATTAGCCAGGCATGGTGGCGCACACCTGTAGTCCCAGCTACTCAAGAGGCTGAGGCAGGAGAATCGCTTGAACCCAGGAGGCGGAGGCTGCAGTGAGCTGAGATCGTGCCACTGTACTCCAGCCTGGGTGACAGAGTGAGACTCCATCTCAAAAAAAAACCCAAATTTTGTTTTGTTTTGTTTTACAGTTTGGGAACCTAGAAGTCAGAAATGAAGATATTGGCAAGGTTGACTTCTTATGAGGGTCGTGAAGGAAGGATCTGTTCTAGGCCTCTCTCCTTTGTTGTAGTTGGCCATCTTCATGTTCACATGACATTCTCCCTGTTTGCGTGCCTGTCTCCACATTTCCCTCTTTTATAAAGACACTAGTCATATTAGATTTAGACCTACCTTGAGGTTTTCATTGTACCTTAATTTCCTTTTTAAAGACTCCATCTCCAAATAAAGTTATATTTTGATGTACTGGTAGACAGAACTTCAGCATATGAAATTTGGAGGGATACAATTCAACCCATAGCAAGCCTCTCTAGTGAATTTCTAATTTCAGTCATTGTACTTTTTAATTCCATAATTTCCATTATAGTCTTTTTTTTTGAGATGGAGTCTCGCTGTGTTGCCCATGCTGGAGTGCAGTAGCGCAATCTCAGCTCACTGCAACCTTCACCTCCTGGGTTCAAGCAATTCTCCTGCCCCAGGAAAAAAAATCTGTGTGCAGAATAACCAGATGTCAGATTTAAGAGAAAAAGATTTCAAACTAGCCATTATAAATATGCTCACAGTACTAAAAGGACAGCATGATTGCGGAAGTAAAGCAGGGTAAGAGGACAATGTCATGTCAAATAGAGAATATCCATAAAGGGAGAAATAATGAAAAGGAATACAGGCCGGATGCAGTGGCTTATGCCTGTATCCCAGCATCCTGACATCTGGTCACTCTGCAGGCAGTTTTTTTTTTTTTTTCCTTTAGGGGGTATGGGTCATACTTTTCCCATTTCTTTGCATGTCCCTTAATTTTTTGGTTGGAAACTGGGCATTCTAGATAATATGGTAGCAAACTCTGTGTGCTAGTCCCCACCCACCCTCTTTCCTGGGGCTTGTTATTGTTATTTATTTGTTTAGTTTTTTAGTAATGGATTGGATTATTTTAATGAAGTCTATCCCCGCCCCCCTCTCCCCCATAGTGGTAAACCTCTAATGTTGCTCCTCAGGGAGGCACCTTTTCCTTGAACATCTAGTATTTGTTTGTTTGAAAACTGGACAGTTTTGTATGTATTATAGCAACTCTGCATACTTTTTTCCTGTTTTGTTGTTTTTTATATTTTTTACATTACTTGCCTAGCCTACAGAATTTGTCTCCTTGTGTTGTACATTTATTGATGTCTGTGCTTTGTTTGTGTTTTAGTCTCATTTTCATTGTTTAGGTTTGATTCCTAAGGACTCTTTTTAGTGTCTACATATGTCAGCCAAAGATTTGGGCTGAGGTTCTGCTAATGCACCTTCAGCCCATAAAGTTTGTACTATCTGCTAATCAATCTGTGGGTTAGTTGGGGAATGCATTTGAAGTTGTGGGCATTTATTAATTTTTCCTTGGTCTTTTCTTTTTACCAACTCTCTGATGTTCCCCACACATATGTAATTTTCTAGTCAGCCAGGAATTTGTGGAGAACTTATGTGAATCCATTTATGGCTTTCTTATTTCCAAGCTCTCCCTGTTAAGTTTCTGGTTGGTCCACTGCTTGCCTCAACTTGGTTTGCAACCTCAGTCTTGCAAAACTGCAAGTTTTCTCTATCCATGTCCACCAAGTCCATTACTTTCAGCCAGTAGAGCTATAGGCTTTTGCCTCTCATTGAATTGATTTTGGCACCCTGGCATGAAACTACAAGTATACCAGCTACAGGATGGCAAAACTACAAACCTCATTGACTGAACTGGGGGCAGGGGTGATGGAGGCAGTTCTAGGCAAGGCTATTCCTGCCTGAAGCACTGGCAGTTTTTCAACAATCAACAATTCTCAATAAACAGTTTCCAGTGGCCTGAAATGGTTGGTCTTTTTGGATAATTTTGTTCAGTTTTATGTATTTTTTTTTTGTGGAGGGGAATTACTGACCTCTTCATACTGTTATTATTTTAATGGTGTTTTGAGTACCAAAATTGATAGATCTTATGAAAGAAGTGGCTTCATTATTCGTCAGATTATATCAAATGCTTTCCACACAATGGTGCTTCATTATAAGTCTAATACAAATGGTTACCAATCTTTTCATTCCACCATTATTGGAAGTTACTCTTGCTGTGCATTTTGTGATTAATCCTTACTATATCTTGAGACATGATAAAGTAGGTTAATACAAAAGCCTATTTTTGAAACAGTGTGATAAAATTAATTAATGTAGACATTGTTGGAAATGGATAAGTTGCACAATTACATATTATTTTTTTCTCAGTTTTTTGACAGTGTAGTATAGGTAAATATGTCTTCAGAAATCCTTAATATACTTATTAATTAACTAGATCATAACTGAATTTCATAAATATTGTTTTCTTAAAAATGCATTATATGGGATTACTTTTGTATCTAAGTAAGACATTAAACCTATAAGCTAAATAAGGACTATATCAATAAACTTGTTTAAATGAAGATTTGGAATTTCCGTATAGAAAAATTCATTACAACAAAGTAGAAAGATAAACAACAAACTGGATTAAAAGTATTTAAGTCGCCTGTAATCCCAGCACTTTGGGAGGCCGAGGTGGGTGGATCACTTGAGCCTAGGAGTTCAAGACCAGCCTGGGCAATATGGCAAAACCCCGTCTTTACTAAAAATACAAAAATTAGCCAGGTGTGGTGGCACGCACCTGTAATCCCAGCTACTTAGGAGGCTGAGGCAGGAGCATTGCTTGAACCCAGGAGGCGGAGGCTGCAGTGAGCAAAAGTTGCGCTGCTGCACTCCAGCCTGGTTAACTGAATGAGAGTGTCTCAAAAAAAAAAAGTATTTGAATCACTTTTGATTGGACAGTAGGCTAATTTCTTTGATATGTAGAAATCTTACAAATTGACTAAAAGCAGGATAAATAATCATTACAAAAAATGGGCCAAAGAATATGAACAGGCAAGTTACAGAGGAAGAAGTATAAATGAATATTAAACATGAAAAGATGCTCAGGCATCTAAAGAAATTCATTTTAAACCACCTATAAAATCCTATTTTCTGTTAGATTGAAATAGTAATACCCAGTATTAATGAAGCTGATGGAGAAAATGAGCTCTCCTTGTTATTATTGCTTTGGAAACATCTATCAGAATTTAAAATACAAATGCCATATTCCCTAGAAATTGAAAGTACACAAAAGATATGCAAACTGAAGAATATTCATTGCTGCATTTTTTATAGCAGAAAAAAATTAGAAGCCACCTAAATGTTCATTAATGGAGAGCTTATAGACCTCCGTCCAGTTGTATGAGATGAATCTGTATATGGTAACACAGAAAGAGATTCATGATATGTTACACTTTTTAAAAAGCAAGCTGTTCCTTTATTATGTCTGATTATGTTCGTGTGTGAGTAGAAAATATCAGGGAGGACATGCACAATTCTCTGTAAAATGACGAGTTTTGAGGATTGCAGTTGGGAGGTGATGGGAGGACATGGATGAGGGAGTATCATGTTTCCAAATTGCTTACCTTATGTTTTATAATAAGCATGTATTTAAATTTATATTAAAAGAAAAATATAATATCTACTAAATTTGTAAATTAAGAATTATATTAATAAATGAACTATAGCAAATTTTTCTGGTTTGTTTTCTATTTAGGTATGGAAATTTGAATATTAATTTATAGATGGCAAAGGGAGTGCTTTTTTACATTACAGACTGTGCATAAGTAAATGATTTCACTCTTAAGATTTGAAACATCTTTCAAACTCATAACCTGAATGAATGAAAAATGTATTATATATATTGAGCATATTAAAATATTTTTATGGTCTGGGCGCGGTGGCTCACGCCTGTAATCCCAGCACTTTGGGAGGCCGAGGTGGCTGGATCACAAGGTCAGGAGATCGAGACGATCCTGGCCAACATGGTGAAACCCCGTCTCTACTAAAAATACAAAAATTAGCCAGGCGTGGTGGCACATGCCTGTAATCCCAGCTACTTGGGAGGCTGAGGCAGGAGAATCACTTGAACCAGGGAGTCGGAGGTTGCGGTGAGCCGAGATCGTGCCATTGCACTCCGGTCTGGTGACAGAGTGAGACTCCATCTCAAAAAAAAAAGAAAAAAAAAGTATTTTTATTACTGAGAGAGAAAGAAAAGATTTATTAGTCATCAAATCCACATCATATTAAAAATTTATGTTATTAGCATATTTTATTTAAAATTATGTTGGGTTCAAACCAGGCACAGTGGCTCACACCTGTAATCCCAGCACTTTGGGAGGCCAAGATGGGAGGATAACTTGAGGCCAGGAGCTTAAGACTAGCTGGGCCACATAGCATGACCCTGTCTCTATAAAAATTTTAAAAATTAGCCTGGTGTAGTGGCATGCACCTGTAATCACAAGGCTGAAGTGGGAGGATCCCTTGGCCCAGGTGTTCGAGACTAAGGCAAGCTGTGATCACTCCACTGCACTCTGGCCTGGGTGACAGAGCGAGACCCTGTCTTTTAAGTTAAAAAAAAGTTGGTCCAGAAATATGAATTTAATTAAACTGGATTAAACAAAAATCTTTATATTATACCAAAGGCATTTTGAATCTATGAAAAGAGACAGTAAAAAAATTTTCTAAAAAGCAATAGATAGCAAGGTTTTTCAATATTTATATCTCAAAATATTTGTTTTAAGTCTTTTTATGGAGGTTATCTTGTAATAAATATATCTGTAGTTTTTCTTTTAATTTTATAATATTTTAAGTATACATTTATGAAAATTATAGATTAAAATACGAATTATATGTGTATAAGTTTATTTTACATTATGGAATCCAATTTTATCACAGGTTTCGTCTTGATATATATCGATGTTTGGCCAGTCCAGCTCTAATAATGTTAACAGAGGAGGATCCAATTCTGAGAGCATTTGAACTTAGTGCTGATTTAAAAGAACTAAGTCTTGTGGAGGTGGAATTCAGGTGGGAATGAATGCAAATTATATAATGTATTTTGTTTTAAATCTTCAACCTCAGTTTCTTCATTACCCAAATTATAATTTGTATATATTTACATTTGATCCAAGAACACTACACCTTGTTGCCACTTACTTGGCAACAGACCCCTGCTCTCCCTCAAAGGAACAGACCCTGGTGCTACTTAAGTCATTCCTTCCCCATCTGCCCTCTGCCACCCTATAAACACCTTTAATCTCTTCCCCACTTTTCAACCTAACCAAAGGCATTGTAGAGCAGTATGAAATACAGTAGGATTATAGCCTAAAGCAGGAGCAAATTTATTCATAGTTGCTCTCTCTCTCACACATATCTCCTCATTCTCTGACTCTATAATCATCCTTGAGTAATGATCCTTCAGATCTTTCAAAAGCATATGGAATGCTTTCTGTATGTCAAGGACATTCCACACACAGACATAGTCCCTTTTCACTATTTGCTCAGATTTTCTGGTAAGAGAAATAATATATGTAATACATGTAAACATAAAAATAAAATACAACTAATTAAGAGGGATGAACACCCAGTCTGAGTTCTCTTCTGAAATGAAGATTAAATGTAATTTTGGCACTTGGCATACCAAAGAAGCACTCCTATTATTTTCCTTTAGGGGGGTAAGTTGAAAAAAAAAAAGACTTTGTAATAGCAGCCTATGAAACTACTAATTTAAATATTGTTTTTAAAAAAATCCTTAGAAAACTACTTTTATTAATAGTAGAGTTGAGAGAAAGCGTTGAGATTTTCCTTTATGGAAAAGTATCCCTGTTGCCCTCTAAAGAAGGAGGAATTGATTACGATTTTTTACTAGCCCCTGTTGCAAGGTTTCTACTGGGGATCTATAACTATTCCTACCTTTTCTTTCCTATACGGCTGCTATTAGAGCCCCATGTCTTGTGTGACACTCTTTCAGTGACTTGACAAAATTGGGAAAGTTCAAATTTCTACTTCCTGGAAGGGCAGTAAGAAACTTGGAGTTTTCTTTAGCTTTAACAGCAGTACTTAATGTGTTCTTCATAGACCTGAGTTCCAGAAACTGAAAAAAGACCTGTTTATATTTTCAAGTTTGGAACTACTGTCTTGTAACTTGGATAATTTAAATTTTGTTTAAACTTGATATGACATGAAGTATGTACTTTACTTTGATGAACACACAAAACATGGTTCAAATGTAACTTGTTGCTACTTTTAACTTTATTAGCACATGAGGCTGTTAAATTATTCTGTTTAAATATGAAAAACTTCCTATTGTAACCTCATAATTTGAGTCTGAGTTATATAAAATAAAACTTACTCAACTCCTTTCAAACAGGATTTGAAGAAACTGCTATGATTATATAATCATAAAATAATAAAGTTAGATTTGGAAGCGATCATAGAAACCCATTTACTTCAATCCAGTGTTTTATAGACAGGGGAGGAGATTTATAAAGGCTAGATTTTTACTAATAGCAGCATCTAATTAGGAATAGAGTTAAAACTAAAAGTAGGAGCAAAGTTATAACTAGAATATATGACTCCTTGCTTCTGGTTTTCTATATTTCCATCTAAACTATACAGCCACTTATTTGTCTTCAGTAATCTATTAGAAATGAATTAGATTAATAAGATGTATAAATTTCACCTTTGAATCTCGTAGTCCATCAAATGTTTATCCAAAGATGGAATATTTTTGTAATAATATATACTTCTGATAAACATTCCAGTCTGCAGTTAGATTCCTAAATCAAGAAGCAGGGAGTGCCGCATTTGTTAAATAAATCCAATTACTTATTTTCAGGAGTTTTGACTACATAGAATGTATAAAGAATGATGAGAGAAATTAAGGCAAAGAAGTTTTTATTCTTAAGTTATGATTTTTATATAGCCAGTTCCTGGAAAGCCCCATTATATAGAAAGACTAACCAGTGGGAAATCTTCCTGTTTCCCCTTCCTTTCAGTTTGGGAAAAAACTGAATAAAAACATTATTTTCTGAAGCCCAACCTCAAGACTATGACTCATAATTATTTATTTCTGACTTCATTCTTAAGTTATGATTAAGCTTAGACATAAAGTTAATGTAATTGATTTTTTTTTTTTTTTTTTTTTGGAGACCCAGGCTGGAGGGCAGTGGCACCATTTTGGCTCACTGCAACCTCCCCTCCTGGGTTCAAGCAATTCTCCCTGCCTCAGCCTCCTGAGTAGCTGGGATTACAGGCACCTGCCACCATGCCTGACTAATTTTTGTATTTTTTAGTAGAGACAGGGTTTTGCCATGTTGGCCAGGCTGGTCTTGAACTCCTGACCTCAGGTGATCACCCGCCTTGGCCTCCCAAAGTGCTGGCATTACAGGCCTGAGCCACCGCACCCAGCCGTAATTGATATTTTTTAAAAGAATTATATACTAAAACTTCTTCATTTCTCACAAATTAGTTTAGGCCTGCCTTTAATAAGCAGTTCAAACCCAAGATTCAAGGAATAGGGATTCTGAAAGAGAGGTTTTTGTTAGGCGCATTTTAATATCTTTCTTTCTAATTTGAATTTCACTCAAATGAGCACTTTAAATATGAATCAAAATGCTATTTTAATATTAGAAGTAACATAAACATATTGTAGATGACTATTGAAAAAGCTCTAGTTAAAAATTTTATGATAATGATTGGATAGCATTAAGATATTATGTCTATTGTTAAGGTGAGTAATATAAAAGGAAGTTTTAGCCAAGCTTACAGAGAATAAGGGAAAATGAGTTAAGCGAAGAACTGGTTGACAAATATTATTAGAATTTTTAGGAATAACATCAGTATATATAAATGAACACTGTGCTCATCTAAGATTATTAGTATGAACACAGGGAACATAATTGTGTTATGGTTTTCCCCAAAGCTGTGGAAAATTCGTGCATCACTAGTTTCCTTTGATTATCCACAGAAAATGACTTCAGATTTTGTGTAACACTGTCAGAATTAAAATGTTGCTGAGTAAAAACGTTTTTAGTGAATATAGCTTAATTAGAAGATGGAAACGACGTTTCTGATAATAGAATGCTGCATTTTATAGGAATGATTATGAGGAACTAGCCCGGCAATGTAAAATGTTTGCTAAGGATTTACTTGCACAAGCCCGGAATTCTCGTGAATTGGAAGTTATTCTAAACCATACGTCTAGTGACGAGCCTCTTGACAAACGGGGATTATTAGAAGAAAGAATGAATTTAAGTCGTCTAAAACTTGCTATCAAATATAACCAGAAAGAGGTATGAGGCTTTCTGTAATATATTTAAATTATTTTCTCTACAGTAGTCTAGTGGCTCAGGGCAAAGGCTTTGGAGTAACTCATCTGGGTTAAGATCCTAGTTCTGCTTCCTAAAAATTGTGTGTCTTGGGATAGTTATTGAATCTGTTTGAGCTTTTGTTTTAATAATTAATTAAGAATATATACTAAAAGGGTTTAGCACAGTAAGTATTAGCATTAAGCAAGTATGCAATAAATGGTAGTTTTTATTATTTTTAGTAATATTGATTATAATTATAACATGGATGTTGATTTAATGTTTTTGCTAAATAGTTGCTACACAGGTAAGATCCTTTGTAGTAGGTACAAACTTTATAGTGAAGTTTCCATCTTGTGTTTTGTCTGTCACAGGTTGGTTTTCATTGATCTGGTTATAAATAGCCCCTTCTATAGTAATAGTGATTTCTATTTAAAAATAAAGTATCAGATACTATATTTCCTGATTCCTCTTATTTATAATTCATTGTGAAACTCAAAAGTGGAGAGGTACATGATATGATAACTAAGTTGAATCTGACTTTTCTGGCATCATCCCTTTCTATTAAGAGATATGCCCATTTCTACTCCCCATGCATACATATACATATGATCCAGGAACTTGAATCAGGAAAATATGCATTTTAAATTTCATTTTTGAGATAATTAACTAAACAGTGATATTCATATGTAGATAATAATAATATCTAATTGATAGTATGGGATGTTGATAAATGGTATTTATTAGGTATTACTTCTAAGACTATTTTCATTGTTAACATAGATGTTTAAATAAAACTTGCTTATCAAATTTATATTATTACAAAAATAGGGCCTGAAATATATAATGATAGAAGGCCAGATACAGGACCTTTGGTGCTAAGGGCAGAATTTTTTCTTACCTTGGTTAAAAATTTGAGCCTCACAAAGTTATTAGGAAATTGATGGAGGAATTGATGGAGGATGTTTATTGGTTAATATATTTGCTTCTGTGTTCCACAACCTAAAAGGGACATGAAGTCCTAGAAAATGATAGAATAAGGGGATTACATGGTATAAAATCAATTAAAGTGATTTAAAAAAAGAACCTCAAAGAAAGGCGTAAAGAACTAAAATTATCCTGTTTAGGAAAAAAAATCTTAAGAGGTAATTTTCTAATGATAGCTATATCCCTGAAGGACTCACAGAGTGGAGTCCAAATGGAACCAAATGTACCATTCTAAAGAAGATGAAAGAAAAGACAAGAAGTAGTAGTAATATTTGTTAGTTGAAAGGAAGATATTTTGCGATTTTAAAGATGAATGAAAATGTAAAGTAGTTTTTAAAACTAGATTTCTAAATACGATCAGTGGGGAAGATATTTTCTCAAATAGTTGGTAAGCTTTGTTTAGGTTATCAATCTTGAATAGCAAACTACTCTGAAACTTAGTGGCATAAAACACTTCATAGTTATTTTATAATAATTTCATAATCATTTTATTATGCTCTTGGATTCTTAGGTCAGGAATTAGGAAAGGGCATGGCAATCATGATTTTTCTCTGCTTCTCCGTGTCTGGGAACTCATCTGGAGATAAATGACAGGGCTATAATCAGCTGGGGGCTTCTCCACTCACATGTCTGGTGTCTGAGCAGCAGCTGAGGCCTCAGGAACAGGGTGCTCAGATGGGTGAGTCCACAGAAGGTGGGGCTCCTGAGAACTCACAACAGGAACCAAGGAGAGGCATGGCCATCACAATGGGCAGACTTTGAGGATGTGGTCTGAGAAGCCTCTGCGGGCTGGCTGGGGTACATACATGTGACCTCTGTGTGCAGCCTGGGCTTCCTCACAGCATGGTGGCTTCAGAGTGGCTTTTTACATGGTAGTTCATGGCTCCAAGAGCAGGTGTTCCAGTGAGCAAGGTGGAAGATGCGTAGCCTTTTAGGACCTACCTTCAGAAGTCACATAGCATCACCTCTGTTAGAATCTACTAGTTAAATCAATCACAAGCCTGTTGAATTGAAGAGTAGGAAATTTTGACTTCCTCCTTCCCCACCTCTTGATGATGGGAAGAAAGCGTGTCCATCTTTCACTGCAGACTTAGAACATTTCTAGTTAAACTTTTTATTCCAAATACATAGTTAACATTACTGCAAATTAAATTGTCATTGTATAGAGGGATAGCAAGGACAGTAATCAGTCCTGAGATTGCTTTGATATTTGGAGGAAAGGTGACACTACTAAATTTGAGATTTACTAAACCTGGTCATTGGTGAGAGGAAAAGCTGTTTCTCTCCCAGGCATTTCACCTTGAGGGACAAATTAAGATTTCCCAAGAACATTGGAATCTGAGCAGAAGAGTAAAGAATGAAGTATTGCCAAAAATAAGTATTTGCATATAACATACACACATCTTCCCATATACTTTAAAGTATCTTTCAATTACTTATAACACCTAATACAGTGCCTACACATCATTTCATTCATGTGGATTCAACATAGTACTTGCTGTGAAGAATATTCAAGTTTTGCTTATTTGGAACTTTGTGAATTTTTTCTTCCAAATATTGTTGATCCATGGTTGGTTTAATCCACAGATGTAGGACACAGAGATACAGAGGGCCAACTCTACAGTATACTAGAAATTTTCTTGAAAGCACAATAAACAACAAAACTCTGTCCAATTCTTTTTTTCACTACAGTGTTAATTCTACAAATTATATTCTGTTTTGGGATAAATCATTTTAAAACAGAAGGTTGACCAAATATTATTGTGGATTACCTGAATAATGTCATTTTATAATAATTTCAAACCTGATCACATGAGTATATATAGAATTATCAGGACCCTTAAGTTATACTTCACAACATGAGCATTATATTGGAAAAATATTGCCTATGAAATTTGTCAACTAAGAAGATTTGTAAACTTTGGTAAATTAGTTTCTGTACCTGAACTAAAATTTTTCTCATATTTGGGAATATTTTTCCTTTCTTCTCACATGAAATTCAGTTTTAATCAGGCTTAAGAGTGTCTTTAATACCTTTTAAGAAATCCGCAGTGCTTTCTTGGAGCAAGAATAGGTCTAATATTTAGCTTTTTATTGTTTTTGCTATCTTGACTTCTTGGCTTCTGGTAACTAAAATCAATAGTTTCTCTAGACTGAAGATGTCCAACATTAGTTAGTGGTATCTTTTTCTATGGATTGTGCATGATAACTTTGAAATTTCATAAATATTATTATGAGTTTTTATATATTAAACATGAAAAAATGGCTAAGTAAGCTAATAATAATAGTTAATACTTATAGAGTGCATGCTATGAACCAGGCGCTATTCTGAGGGCTTTACCTTTAATCTTCACAACTTTATTAGTAGATACTATTATTATTCCCATTTTACAGATGGGGAAGTTGAGGCTTAGAGAAATTTAAAAACTTGTTAAAGGTCATTTACCAAGTAGCAGAGCCCAGATTTGAATCTAGGTAATCTGGCTCCATAGTCTATCCTCTTAACCTCTACATGCTTTTATTGTTAGAAAAAGGGAAAAAACAAAACTATGTTGAATGTATAGAATTGATTTTTAAACTCTTATTCAGTAAACTTTGAATATCAACCAATCAGTATTTAAAGGTTTCCTTTTACTTTTTTTCTTTTTAATGTGTGTGTATGTCCTTTTCAGTTTGTCTCCCAGTCTAACTGCCAGCAGTTCCTGAACACTGTTTGGTTTGGACAGATGTCGGGTTACCGACGCAAGCCCACCTGTAAGAAGATAATGACTGTTTTGACAGTAGGCATCTTTTGGCCAGTTTTGTCACTTTGTTATTTGATAGCTCCCAAATCTCAGTTTGGCAGAATCATTCACACACCTTTTATGAAATTTATCATTCATGGAGCATCATATTTCACATTTCTGCTGTTGCTTAATCTATACTCTCTTGTCTACAATGAGGATAAGAAAAACACAATGGGGCCAGCCCTTGAAAGAATAGACTATCTTCTTATTCTGTGGATTATTGGTAAGTATCAAGTTAGTTTGAAAGGTTTTGTCTTTATTTAGCCCACTGATTCTTTCTTGATTGATGGCATTGTGAATATTGGGTTCAATTTGCAATTTTACACTGTTCACACCACAAGAATTTGAACACTTCCATGATCACTGAAGACTTAACTAACATGTCTGTAAAGATAAATGTTCCTGAACTTGATGATAAGGAAGCATCTCTCTTATTTAATATTTCTTAAATACATGGAATTTTAAAATTATTTATTCTCAGACTCTATGGTTATTCATGATTGTAAAACAGAAAATCAGCTTTAACACATGAATGCTTTTTTGGTGTAAGAATATGAAGTTTTCTTAGGTATTTTGAAACAATCTATTTTATACTGTTGTGCATTTTTAAAGTTAACTATTCTATTTCATTTATAACATTAGTTTTCCTTTTAAGAACCTATGAGCTTTTTGGTTTTTGTTTTGTTTTGTTTTGTTTTGTTTGAGACAGAGTCTCGCTCTGTCGCCCAGGCTGGAGTGCAATGGCACAGTCTTGGCTTACTGCAACCTCCGCCTCCCGGGTTCAAACGATTCTCCTGCCTTAGCCTCCCAGTAGCTGGGATTACAGGTGCGTGCCACCACACCTGGCTAATTTTTGTATTTTTAGTAGAGATGGGGTTTCACTTCATTGGCCAGGCTGGTCTCGAACTCCTGACTTCGTAATCCTCCTGCCTCAGCCTCCCAAAGTGCTGGGATTATAGGCCTGAGCCACCGTGCCCGGCCTAGAACCTATGAACTTTTGCAGATATATCTTGCTTTATCTCTATTTTGGAAACATTGTTTAAATTTAGATTTAAAGGAGTCCCTGGTGACTCATTCCATAAATCATTTCTTTGTAGAGATAGCCAGATCTCTTTAGAAATGATAGTTTTTTAAAAAGTATAAGACATTTTATTCCTGAAAATTATTTTTATAAGTATTACACTGTATAATAAATGTCTTAAATCATCTTCTACAATTTTTACTCGTCTTGCCTTCTGTGTGTCGGGGTGCGTGTGGAGAGTTGAGGTAGAATCACATTATCTGTTTATGGTATTTTAAAGATATTTTCTTTATTTCCCTCTGTATCTTCTACCTTGTTTTTAACCTCAGCACTTCCCATCTGTCCGTCTACTATTTGCTATAGAGTAAAAGGGTAATAAAATTTAGTCTTATCTATGGCACAAAGTACTGAGTGTATTTATCTTTTGATTACTACATTCCTGATTGTTTCAATTATTTAGTACTTTCATAAGTTATTTCACAATGTTCAATTTTAGCTCTTTAGCTATACAAATACTTTTTATATTTTAGAATGTTTATTTGAAAATCAGTTAATTTCAGGTAACTAGATTGTAATTAGAGTTTTGCTTTTAACAGTATTTAATCTATGATGCATTAATGTTTAAAATTAGGTAGATAAAATAATACACATCTAAACTCTAGGTTAAAGAGAATTAAATAATTCCTTCTTGTTAATATTTTTATTTCCTGTAGTTTTGCTCTTATCTAAAATTTAATCTTTTAATTTAGGAAATAATTTAAACTTTACCATATATGGTTTTATATTGGACTGTGGGACTCTTTCAATGTGAAATATGTTTGTATTGCTAGTTGAGTAGTTAAAAAATTCCTGGAAGAATTTTACACATTAGTTTGAAGAGAATCGCTAAGGAGCACTTTCCCTATATTCATTTAAACTATTTCTGATTGTTATATATTCCTTAGTCTTAAACAGATGAAATTTTATAACATTTATCTATAACCTATTGTTTAGTAGTAAGAAAGAATATTTTCTGTGTTTTGTTAGATTTAGTTTACCCCAGTCTGTATAAGAATCAAATTAAAGTTTATATGTCTTAGCAATGAGTAAAAACTCACCGAACTAAAATAGTCATACCACTCTTTGAATAGCATAAATATTACTGCTGTCCCCGATTTTCATAATAATGGTAAAACTATAGCTCTTCCCTTTTATATGATGCTGTTTTCAATGATATTACACGTATATATACATGGGTACCCCCTTACACACATAATATGATTAATTTTCTAACCATATTCTACCTCACTAGAAGAATGCATGTGCATTAAGCCAGTAAAATTCCTGGAAGTATCTTCCTTTCCTCAGCACAGCTTCTGCTTTGAAACAGTTTGATCTGAATAAGCCTTGCCAAGGAAGTCTTCTTAAGCCTTTTATGTAATTAGGTCACTCTGGGCTTTTTTTCAGTATATAGATCCAAACCGGCTCTAAGTGAGCATGGAGGAATATTTTGCTTGCTTGCCTAAATAAAGTCATTGCTTGGTTCAACTTACTATTTCAAGCAATGAACACAGTGACTTTTTAACTCATCATGACCAATTTTTGTATATTTGTTTTGTTTGCTTTCATTAGCTTTTCAGAAAAAAGTAAGGTTAGGTTATAAAAAGCAAGGTAGGTAAAAAGAGAATAATTTGTTGAGGAATGCACAGAATATTAATGGTATCCTTTTACTTAATTTTTGCTATTAAACATAATAGAATGGCTATTATAGAAATGTATTTTTTAAATGTCATGTACCTACTTTGTCTAAGCACAGGCAAAAGCAGATATGGCCCATACACTCGTGAAGCTTATGATCTAATAAAAGCCAAATAAAACCATCAAAAACTTGACTTGAGAATCATATGGAAAAATGAAAACTCAAAAATGGATTAAGTGCTATTGGTTAAAGATCATAGTGTTAGGAGAGTAAGCATATTATAGGGGCATTTGCCCTAGTCAGGGAGGTTGGGAAAGACACGTTGAGGAAGTAATAAGTGAGCTAAGATCTAAAAGATAAATAGATGTCAACTGAGAGAACTGGGAGAGGAAGCTACTCTAGGCTGAGATAAAAGCACATTCAGAAGCTCAGTGGCAAGAGAGAGAATGGTACAAAGAAGGGTCTGAGTAAAGGCTAACATTTCTGGAGCAGGGAGAACCAGGAGAGCTTGATTCAAGATGAAGCTACAGAAACATATTGTACCAGACCATGCATGGCCTTGTAGGTCAGGTTAAGTAATTTTGACTTTATATTAAGAACAAGGGGAAACCATTGCCTACCTGAAGTAGGCAAGTGACATGATCAGTTTTGCCTTTCGAAAAGATCATTCTATCTACAGGGTGGAGGATGAGCTGGGAGGATAGTGCTGTGGCAGGAGTAGATGGAGGGAGACCAATATCGATGCTGTTGCACTAATCCAGATGAGAGCTGATGGCACCTTGGACTTAGGGTGATTGTGATAGAGAAAGAGAGAAGGGAACAGACTTCAGAGATATTTATAATGTAAGGCCAGTAGGACATCGAAATACATAGTATATGAGAGGTGAAGGAAAGGGAGATTATTAAGCAATATTGGTCTTTTGGAAGAGTACTAGGCTTGGGGATTTGTGTGTTGAGGGGTAGATCCTGAGTACAGTTTCGGATATGTTGAGTTTGAAAAGCCTTTGAGATATTTTTTAAATATCCCTTTTAGGGATGTCAAGCAGACAGTTGGTCTGGAGCTTGAGTTAGAAAGGTATGCATATCTGAAAATAGGTGGTATATGAAACTATAGGCATAGGTGAGACACAAGGAGAAAGATAAATTGAGAAAAAGAGAGGACCTAAGATCAAGCCCTTGAGAAATCCCAAGATGGCTGGGATTGCTGCCTTCTAATGTTATTATTAACATTAATTCTAAAAAAAATAGACCCTAAAATATAGAATGTTGGTTATGTAGTGTTTGTATTGCTTGGATTAGTTTCAACTTACTATGTTCTTTGTGATCCAGCTTGGAAACATGCAATACATCAAGTGTATTAGCTTCATTTTTGTGGGGGTATTGCAGAGGAGCTGGGAAACTAACCAATTGGTCTTCACTGTACTTTCATGTCTGTCTTTTTTGATCAACAGTTTTCTCCAATTCATGTTGTAAGTTTTTGTTAAGAGTTTCTTTTAGGTAAAATATTGCATTTCACAGAAATAAACACATTTCTGTAAACATCTTTCTTAGTTTGATGTTTTAAATATTAACAGGAGTGTATCTAAAGTTTAAATATAAGGGTTTTTGTTTGAAGATGTTTCATAAATAAGGATTCGCACACATCAGGATCTAGAATTAGACAATAATTTTGAGTCTTCAAGAAAGTATGGTCATGGAGGATTTGTTTAATATGTTTCTGCTCCACAGCTCTGAGTGGTAGGTGAAGGTTGAACATGAGAAATATCAGAAAGCTTTCATCCCTACTCCTTCCCCAAATAAAACAGTATTTGAGTTAATAAAATGTTACCTGCTAGACTATTTCATTTTACATTTTTAGACAGTTTTCATCTATTCATTTTGAGTAAAAACATACTAAGGTGGAATTGTTAAAAATGTTTTTCCTGTCAAATCTGCAAATGTTTTAAACACTTTTTTTCTGTATAAAATATGGGTACTGCATAATTAAGATGTTTTGAACAGAGATCTTCAAGAATGTTTCTTGTGTTTCCCAGGGGAATTATTTTGCCTACTGATAAGCCAGAGAATGATTCTGATTGGCCTAATTTGATCTCCACCCATGTGTGATGCTACAGCACTCTATTCTTTTGTTACTCTGTAGTCTCCCCGAAAATGACTTAATGAAGGAATGTACCATAAAATGATCCTGAATTATGTTACTGAAGTCTGGTACCCATAAAAATATATAGTTATAGAGGAGCTTCTGGCCAAAAAACGGAAAGTTTTTCTGTTTGTTTGCTTTGGTTTTTATTTTTGTATATTTATTCATTTGGCAATATTTTTTAGCACCTTGTTTGTATCAGGTACTTTTCAGGACATTTGGAAACATCGGTAAATAAAACAAAGATTCTTACCCTTGAAGAGCTTACCCAAAGTGGGGGAAAGATAATCAATTAATAATAGACCTAATAAGTAAATTATATTCAGTGTTAGAAAAGAGATAAGTAATACAAAAGAAAGGTAAAAGCAGAGTTAGGAGAATTGGGAGTGGGGGACAATTTTAAAGTTGCAAAGAGTTTGCAATTTTAAATAGGGTAGTCAGGAAGGGTGATGAGCAAAGACATGAAAAAGTGAGGTAGTTAGTCAAATGGATCTCTGGGTGAGGAGGGTCCAGCCAGAAGGAAGAGCCAGTATAAAGGCCCTAAAGGCAGGAGTCATGTGTTCAAAGAACAGCAAGGAAGCAAGGAGGCCAGCGCGACTAGAATAGTACAAGGAAAGATTAGTAGGAGATGAGGTCAGAGAGGATAGGTAATTTGGAGACTTGCAGGCCATTGTAAAGACTGGTTTTGATTCTGAGTAAAATGGGATTTAAGGGAGGGTGCAGTGCCCACTATGCACAATGAGCAGCAGTGGTTTTGCATTTTTTTGACATTTGCACTCACAGAACAAAACAGGCTGAAACCTGGTACTAGGTTTACTTAAATTTGTAGAAGTAAAAGATTTGAACTTAAATATATAAACTTGAGAGCCTTTGCCATGTAGATGATATTTAAAGCCATTAGATTGGGTGAGATCATTAAAGTAGTAAGTATAGGTAGAGAAAAGAAAAGGATCAGGGACTGAGCCCCTTGTGCGGGGGTGTGTACGTGTGTGCGTGCACATCCATGTGTGTATCCGTGTGTGTCTCCGTGTATGTTTGTATCCCTGTGTATGCATCCATGTGCATGCATCCGTGTGTGTGTGTTTGTGCCCATGTGTGTTTGGCATTAATTTATTTGGTTTCTTACGTTTGTTCCACATCCAAAGATGAAACTTAAGGTTATTTTCTTCAAGTCGTATGAAAGTTAAGGTTATTTTCTTTCAGATTTTAAGAACTTTTCACTAAAATGTTTTTGGTTTTGTTTTTTTTTCTTTTGAATAAGGCCCAAGGATTATTTATTTAATATTTTGAGTCTTAAAGTATTATTTAGTTTATTTATTGAATTAAGAAAGTGTTATCTGATTTTTTTCTTCCTTTTCTCAGGGATGATTTGGTCAGACATTAAAAGACTCTGGTATGAAGGGTTGGAAGACTTTTTAGAAGAATCTCGTAATCAACTCAGTTTTGTCATGAATTCTCTTTATTTGGCAACCTTTGCCCTCAAAGTGGTTGCTCACAACAAGGTGACTATTTACTATGTCAATTGAAGGCACAAATTAAGTTTATTTTGGAAATAGCTAAGATATTTAGCTATGTAACTCAGAGTTACATTGAGCCAGATCAGTGTCTGGTGTGTTTTCATTTTAAGCCTATCTGTGTGCACATAGTTTCCTATTTTTCCAGTAGTTTACAGGTGTTACTTACCTTTACATGATGGTTATTTATTATATAACAGGGACCATAGTTCACATTTGGTATACTTTATCTCTTTTTATCTACACTGGGATTCTTTGAGACTGAAGTCCTTATTTCCTTATTCCCATTTTGCAAGTAAGAAAAATGAAGCCTAAAAATATTAAACAACTTGTCCGAAACCACACAATAGGAAACCAAGACTGGATTTAAATCCTGCCCTGTCTAGGCATTTTCTTTCTACTAGATGCCAATTCCTTATATCTGACCTAGGTTCTTTTAGCTTATTAACCTGTATATACTTAAAATGAGAACAAAGTAACTTAAAATGATTAGTGTTAGATATCTTTATATCTGCCAGAAAAAGAGTTTCCATTCCATTCCATTTCATAATGAATGAAATTGGTTATGTAATATTTTACACATTTCAAATCATGATTAACAGCTTTAAAAGTGATGTAAATGTTATTATTTTTCTAATAACTATATATTTTTATTTAGAATTTGACAAAAATCTACCCTTATAGATAACTTACAATTTTACTTTCATCAGAATTTAAGCTCCCCCAAGCCCAGAAAGGGTAACAAATTGTGTGTTAACTATCTTTGTTTAAACCCTGAGTTTAGAATTCTTCTGGGGTGTCACATTCAAGGAACTAAAATATATAATATTCTCTGTTTTTTATTAGTTCTTAGATTATTGAAAAGGCAAGCTCATTATTTTACATAATTTTACTTTATTAAAAAATTCTGTTTAATTGATCAGTAGTATGGAATATGTTAGGTACGTTCAGTGTCTAGAGTGTGAAATTACTAAGAAAATGAAAATTGGTCATATATAGATAAATGGTTTGATAAAGGGATTGAGAGACATTGCTTTTTCAGATTGATCTCTTTCGTTCTATAAGTGGAGTACCCATATAATTTTTTATCCAAATCAGGACATTTTGAGAGTGAAAGGGGGCACTATTAATAATTATGCCAGGACAACTGGTACAGCATCTTAAACTATCCCAGGCAATGGGGACAATTGACCACTGTGTCTAGGTACAATAATGCCCTCTTTTTTATTTTGTATTTAAAAGGGGGGAAAAAAACTCTGAATTCCAAGTCAAAGCAGTAGGTTAATGTAATATGATAGGGAATTAATTGACAGCACATGTACTTAACGTTTGTGTTGTGGAATTTAAGAAAACTAGCCAACATTTCATTAATAAAAAGCTTAATGATCATTTAAAAAATTATTTAATTTTCTAAAATTTAAGAGTTTCTGGAAAAACCTCTTCATATAGAGTGATAATGCCTCACATACATAATAATATTTTATTTCATTAAAATATTATTTCTATTTTTAAAAAACCCTATAAAACATAAGTGGAGATCCCCTATAAGAAGACAAAATTAAAATGGCTTTCTTTCAACAGTCAGAATATTTGCTTTTATTTTCCTAAATTGAGAGAGCTTATTTACCTTTGGCTTTTTCTTCCTAACCTTAGTTTCATGATTTTGCTGATCGGAAGGATTGGGATGCATTCCATCCTACACTGGTGGCAGAAGGGCTTTTTGCATTTGCAAATGTTCTAAGTTATCTTCGTCTCTTTTTTATGTATACAACCAGCTCTATCTTGGGTCCATTACAGGTAAATAATTAAAATTTCTTAAAGAACATTTTTTAGATGTCATTATTGTTACATCTTTCTCCTTGTCCAGTGGAATACTGTTCTCTCATGATATTAAAGCTAAACTTTGCTCTTGAGAATAAGTAGCAATTAGAAGGACACAGCATGTTTATCTACTTTGCTTCTGGCTCAGTGATAATCCTTTGCTTTCAGGTATTCCAAGTTAATTATGCTGTGGTCCATTAGCCTCCTCCCCCCACTTCATAGACATAGATATGTTTAAAATATAATTACACTTCAGACAGTAGAGTAACATAAAAATCTGCTTTTTATCAAAATGAATCTCACATTTAAAGTTTTAAATATTTTAGGTTATAAGTATAAAGGAGGACCTGTGCAAACAAAAATAATCATATTTGATGATTTTTGAATAAGCTGGATTTAAAAGAATACTTACACTTTCGTTTAATAAATATTAAATGTAATAAGTTGGAAAGTAGCATACTTAGAGCTAAAAAATTTACAGAGGCTATGTAGTTCAGCTTTATATTTTATAATACTTTATAGTTAAAGAAATTGAGCTTTTGAGATGGGATTTGATTTGTCCAAAGTAGTATGATTATTATGTATGAGAGTTCAAGACTAAATTCTCAGTCTCTTTGCACCAAAGAAAAGACTCATAATTGGTTGCATTTACCCCACAGAATTTAGTAACTGGTTTTCAGAAGGTGGGGTCAACTCTGCTAGCTCTATGTAATACTATAGCTTATTATTTCTGAAAATCTGAACAATATTCATTTTTCCTTAAGTCAAAATTTACTAACAATTTAGATTGTCTCATATTTTTAAAGGTGATATTTTAAATAAAAGGCATAATTACCTTCTCCAAACAGGGATATGAAAATAAAATATATAGGAAAAACCTGATTTGATTAGGCTTGTGCTGTCATCCAGCAACAGTGTTTCCTGAAGTGTGGCTCTCTTAACCAAGTCCTGTGAGATGCTCTGAATTAAGTAAGTTTGGGACACACTGTATACTGTATACCTCTTGGGAATTGACAGTGCATGTTATCACATTAAAGCCTCTGAGAAAAAAATTTGTTTAACCTTGTTCAAATCATCATTACCTAAAGTCATTTAACCTCATACCTGTTTTTCATGAAATATGTGCAAGTCTCTGTATTTTTCCAAAACACAGTAAGCCATAGAAACACTGGCTTAAACTATCTGTCCTTTTGATTTATTTTTGCCACTAATATCATCTACGAATGCTTTAATCAAGAGTCTACAGTGTTTTTACATGCACATTGATTTTTTTTTAACTGAAAATGGACGACAGAACTAGGTTTCTATACTGGAAATTTCTTTATGGACTCCTATAAAGGGTTAAAAAGGAGAAAGTATAATATTTTTTAGGAATGAAGAGTCAATTTCTGACTTCTGTTTCCAGCCAACATGGAGTAATAAGGATTGGATTTACCCTTCTATCTAAAGCAATCAAAAAGGAAAAAAGAACAAAATATATGAAACAACAGCTTATAAGAAACTAGATATCAGGCAGTAAACAACAGTGATCTCTAAGAAACAAGAAACAAAGATCACTCCAGCTTACTGCTTTGTGAGAATTTTTAGGCTATTGTGCAGAGTGGGTCAGTGCAGTCAGAGCCTGGCAGAATTCTGGATTTAGCAGCACAGAAAGAAAATTCTGGAGATCTGCAGTTGTCTCCCTTGAGTATTCAGCAGAGTACTGATTAGCATATGCATGTGAGGACACTACCTCGGGCAGGGAAAGAACCATCTCATCCGACGGGATTAGAAGAATACTCAGAAGGGTCTTGCCTCAATAGTTATCTCAAGCCTACACACTGCTCTAGTTTCAACGAACAAATATTAAAAGCAAGATGTGAAAGGATTAAATTTTTTCCAAGTAACTTAAATGTGTTCATTAAAACCTATCCAAAAGCAACACAGATGTTAGAGTTATCAGATAAGGACTCTTCAGCAGTTATTATTATTGTGTTCCATATGTACAAAAAGTTTAAAGTTTAGTAGAGACATGGAAGATGTAAAAAAAAGAAAAAAACACCAAATTAAACTTTCAGAGATGAAATTTTCACTGTGACCTGAAACATGCACTGGATGTGATTAATGACAGGTTAGACCTTGTAGAAAAACACATTAGTAAACTCGAATAGGTAACAATAGAAACTATTCAAAATAAAATGGAGAAGAAAGAATTTTTAAAAATGAAAAGAGTATCTGTGAACTTTGGGACAACTTCAGGTGGCCTAATATTAATACTAATGTAATTGGAATCCCTGAAAAAAGGAGAGACCAAAAAAATTTTTTAAGAAATAATAGCAGACATTTTCCAAATTTGAAGAAAACTATAAACCCACATCCAAGAAGTTCAATAAACCTGCAAACACAAGAAACATGAGGAAAATCACACCAAGGGACATCATATTCAGTGTATCACTGCTGAAAATCAGTGATAAAAAAAATCTTCAAAGCAAACAGAGAATAGCAGGTCATCATATACAGAAAAAGAAAGGTAAGGATGACAGTAGATTTCTTGTCAGAAACAGTGCAAGCAAGGAGGCAGTGGAGTGACATTTGTAAAGCACTGAAAGAAAAAAAAAACAACTGTCAACCTGGAGTTCTCTACCTAGCAAAATATCATTCAAAAATGAAGGTAAAATGTAGACTTCCAGACACACAAAAGCTAAAAGAATACATCACTGGACACCAGCACTACAAGGAACGTTAATAGAAGTCCTTCAGGTGGAAGGACTACAGTAACATAGGGGAATATGGATCTAAACAGAAGAATGAACAAAATACAAATATACCCAAAGGGAATGTAACTACAAAGCTAAATAGACAGGCATTTTTTTGTTGTTTCTTTTGCTTTTATGAAGGATGCCAGCTAATCCACTTCAGCAGATACAAGAAACATGATTGGGCATAAATCAGTAATGCTTTATATTTTAAAGAAAAAACGACATGAAGATAGAATCTGTACATAATTGTGGTAATAATAGTAATAACAGCAGACATTTATTGGGCCCTTACTATGTGCCAGATACTGTTCTAAAGTCTTTATTCACATTTATTACCTCATTTAATCCTCACAACCATTCTAAGAGGCAGACTCTTTTATTTCCATTTTACAGAGGAAGAATCTGAGGCATAGAGACATTAAGTAACTTGCGCAAGGTCACATGGTTGGTAAGTAGCAGAACTGGGATTCCGCCTAGGTGGTTTGGCTCCAGAGCCAGTGATCTTAATCACTATACTAAATCGCCCCCCAGGTTGTATAATACTACAGAATAATATGATTCCCTCATTAACTCTTACTGTATAACTTCTGTGGGCAGGCTTTAATAATTTACAGTTTTTTAAAAAGTTATTCAAGTCACATGTTTCAAATGAATTAAACAGCCTTTTACACTGACAGTTGGATAATTTAGACAGAAAGAACAACCCATGGCCACACAGCACTCTACCCTTTTTTCCTTATTTCCTTATTTCCTT